>NC_000008.11:137828767-138130844 GCF_000001405.40 Homo sapiens | reverse complement strand
CACTGGGGATTTTTATCTGAGCTCCCGAGTCAGAGCTGGGCATAGACTCTGGTTCTTCATGAGGAGTGCTGTATTTGCTCTGTAACCTGGGAGACATTTGTTCCCTAGTCGTGCAGCACATGGTATTGTGTTTCCTGACCTAGGCAAGTGCCCATGCTCAGTACAGAACCATAAGTTGGTAGCAGCTTCTCCTTTCTGGCCAAATGATGGGCCCTGTCCCTCTGATGAGTGCATTTCATGTTGTGTTTCCAATTTTCATCAGCAATGTTCGTCATTCCCTGGTCCTTTGAAAGACTGTGTAGCCCGCGGTTATGGAGCCGGGATGAATCTGATGATCATCATCTTCTCCAATAACCAGATGCCATTTTTAACTTCAATATGCTGTCTGGACATAGTGAGAACTAATGGCAATAAACGTCCAGCTGCATGGTGCACCTCTTTTTTATAGGGGTGCTCTGCTGTCTTTGTAAACCCTCTCTGGCCTCTGAGCATCTATTATAATTGTGTAGAAAGTACATCTCTATATTGTAAATAAGAGTGTCGAGTGTTGCGTGTCATGCCTCATTTGAAAAGGCTTTTTTATGTCTCTTTCTATTGAAATATAGATATCGAATATATAAATATATATACATAAAATATATATAAATATATATTATGTAAAACAGGGACATTCTATTATTGATTGTAAAAATTATAAACAAAATGCCTGCCAAGATAATGGTCTTGTATGTCTTCATTCTCTGCGTAATTTTTGTTTTTGTTTTTATGATTTGTTGTTTCCCAAAATGAGTTAGAAATAAAAATGCCCAATATTGAGATTAATTGGAATTTGTTGTTTATAAGCCAAATAAATCCAGGGAAGCAGGTATGAACCCAAAGTCATCTTGTAGCAAAACAAATACCCCAATGGCAGTTTGAAAGCAGAGGGAGTGCTGTGAACCTGAGAGAAGGTGAAGACGGAAAAGCCCCCTGTTGGCTTCCACAATTCACAGGTATCTACTGAGCAGCTTCCATCCATCTGTGCCAGATGGGAGCACAGAGGTAAAATGCACAGTCCATGCTGACCAGGAACTCCAGGGAGATCCGGTCTTATCATCACAATGGGATATAACAAAAGCGCTAAGGAAGGCCGGGGCTGGTGCTCCTTGGTCCTAGGTATCCACTCCTTATTGCCTGGGGAAGGCCAGGAAGGAAGCGTTGAGAGTGAGACTTGAAAGGTGAGACTATTTACCTTGCACAGCCCGTCACCCCAGTGTGCACTCTTCCATTATATCATTCATTCATTCATCTGGCGAGTTTGTCTTGAGGACCTACTCTGTGCCAGGGATGCATTGGTAAAACTTAGTAGCTTACCATCTAGCAAGGAACACAGCTGATCAAATGGGAAATCGAAGTGGGTGGCCCCACAGAAGGGGTATGGTTCTGTGTGTGCTCAGAGCAGGGGCATCCACCTACAGCAGGGATGTGGGGTAGAGATGGTCAGGAAAGGCCTTTGGGAGGGTTTGGTGTCTAAGCCGAGACCCGAAGGCTGAGTAGGAGCCGGCTCGGCGAAGGTGGGTTATGTGGATCCCTCCAAGAGGGACAGAATGAGCAGAGGGCTTCAGGCGAGAGCTGAGGGCTGGGAACCTTTGACCACTGCAAAGGCAGATGGAGAATATGGTTGAGCACAAAAGTAGCAAAACAGAGGTGTGAGAAGTCAGCTGCCATGCAGGATTTTCTTCTTCTATCAGGAGGAAATTTCCATTGTTAACACTAGCAGGACAATTTCCACTTGGTAAGGAGAGCCCCTGGGAGAGCAAGGCCTGCCCCTGCCATCATGTGTCGCTCCATGCTTCACCCTCTGCTAGAGATCTGATCCCTCCTGTCTTGGGAGAAGTCCAGCCACATCCTCCACCATCACTCATTTCTGAAATTTTCTTTTGAGAAGCATAGTAGACATGTCTGCTGGGCTTCTCATGGAGAAAAACTGTAACAAATGGCATTATATAAACAGGCTAAGAAGAGGGAATAGTCATTTGGTTAAAATTTTTTTTTTTAATGCATGGAAGCAATAAAGTGAAATTCTTGTATTGGTATTTAAGGTGATCACACAAGCTGCTTTTGATCATAAAAATTTTATAAAGAAAGTTATTCAATCCTCAGCTTACAGTTAAGCAGTCTGCAGCCCCCACAAGCTTGGGGTAACTTAGTCAAAACTATAGTCCTTCCTTCGGCCACAAATGTTTCCTAATAGCCTGGCACAAGCCAGGTGTTGGTCGTAAAGCTAAAATAAAATAAAATAATCTTCCCATCCTGATGGAGGGTATACATGCAAGGGGAAAGTAGACAGAGAGCAGAAAGTTATAGGCACAGTGAGTGTGGCCAAGCCCATGTCCAGAAGGAGCTTTGGGAGAAACCAACAGGGAGATCACCCATGTAGTACATGAATGGCAAAGAACACACTATAAATAATGGCACATAACCAAGGTGTTTCTGTAAAGAAGAAAAATAGCCTTTAAAAGTGCTAGGAGGCGAACAAGTGTTCAGCTGGCTCTCGCTGTGTAAGATGATGGCATCTCTCTCTACGCACATGGCTACTTATTTGAAAGCTTGCATTCAGGTATTTGCAAGCTCCTGAATGTAATTGCTACTTTTTTTCCCCCATGCCATTAGCTTTGGTTTCACAGCATATATTTCTGAGCATTAGAAATAACCAGGGCTGCTAGGGACAGTTGTGGGGGTCCTGAAGGAAAAAAGAAGTGTGGCCATGGCAAAGAACACATAGAACAACAATTACGCTTTCTGTTAATTTTCTCGCAAGGCACCCATCCCAATATAGCATTACACGCTAGCATCTGGATCATTTTATTTCAATTGTTCACTCACTTATTTGTTACATGTTTTATTGAACATCTATTTTGTGTTGGGTACTGTACTAGGAAATCATGTCATCCTAGACACTAGAAGGATCTGGGGTAATGATAAAACTGAGTGTTTTACTTTTTTTTTCTTTTTTTTGAGACGGAGTCTGGATCCGTCACCAGGCTGGTGTGCAGTGGCACGATCTTGGCTCACTGCAACCTCCACCTCCCGGGTTCAAGTGATTCTCCTGCCTCAGCCTCCTGGGTAGCTGGGACTACAGGCGCATGCCACCACGCCCGGCTAATTTTTGTATTTTTAGTAGAGACGGGGTTTCACCTTGTTTCCCAGGCTGGTCGCAAACTCCTGAGCTCAGGCAATCTGCCTGCCTTGGTCTTCCAAAGTGGTGGGATTACGGACGTGAGCCACCTCACCCGGCCGTGTTTTACTTTTAACTGTTGGTGTCTAAAATAATGAATATCAGAATTGGAAGAGGAAAAATGGGCTGCTTCATATAGACTGTATCTGATGTCTATATCCTGAACTGTGCATTTCCAGCTTCACTTGACCAGACAGGTCTTGATCTATATATGACAAAGCACGGTCATTGTGGTGACATTATATACAATATTGTGTATAGACACACACACACGCACACGCACATATACTCTCTAAATGAAGAGAAACCACCATGGAGATTTTTCAAACTCTTTAAGGTGGCTTTCTCGGGATTTCTGTGCTTTTTCCTCCCTTTCTGCCTTTATTTATCAATTTTACCTTTTTCTTTACTTGTTTCTAGCTTGATTTTCCATGGCACCTGGGCAATTATGTGTGATGTTAATTAAGTTTCAGTAGAAAACACTATGGACAATTTGGAAAAGTGGAACTCTCTCCAGAGCTTTTTATGTTCAATGGAAATAATATAGTATTCAATAATACAGAGTTTTCAGTGCACAAACCCTGTAATAATCCATTTTAATTATTGGGAAAAGGATCCCAGTGACTTCTGTTACAGAAGAGAAAGAGCAGAATATATAGAACTGAGCTTTTAGATCAAATGTAAATGTATGGGTGTTGCTGAATAGTGTTTTGCGAATCATTAAACCAGGTTATTTCTCTATATTTGATCTCTTTATGACCAAATTATAAAGACTGTGTGTATCATTGTTTCATAGATGTAGTTGTGATTACAGTACTTTAGAAAAACAGTCCTCAAACCTCAAACTTTGTGTCATCACAGAATCAGAAACTTTTACAACTAAAACAAACATGGACTCTTGTCCATCTAACTTTTAACAAATGAAGAAGAACAAAAATGGAAATAATTTACAATATTCAAATTTGTTGGTTAGATTTTTGCATATATAGTTTCATTTAATCCCACACAACATATAAATGATGCTGGGAGAAGTCAAGTAACTTGCCTACAATTACACAGTTTAGCAGTGGTAGAGTCAAGATTTGAACTTCTAGCCTTCATTTTATCTTTTATTCTATGATTTTTCCAACCCAGAGAGTTACTTAATTGTAAAAGTCACATGTCTTGTGAAAATCAAAGCCAGAGTTCAAGTCCACATCTCCTAAACCATAACCTTTTGAGCCTTCTATTATAATATATTCTTATATGAGACATCTACATAACCAATAAATTAAACAGCAAGAAAAACTTAGTGGCAAAGGTAGTTATATAAAGCATTGTCAACAGTGTAGTTGGATGAACTGTTGCATTCTTTGCTGATCATTTATGTTTCTCAAGATTCTCTTTTCTCCTAGTAACCTGGAGTTCCTTTTCCAAAACCACACACCTTTCTTTCCACAGCTGTCCCAGGCCATGTTCTTCCTTCCATACATTATCTCCTTCTGCAACTCTCACGTTGCAGTGCCTGATCGTATTCATCCAGGATTCATTCCCTTTACCATAGGGTTTGAATCTACAATAAATGGTTCCTAGATTGCAGATTCCTGCTTCCGGATGAATTTGAGCTCAGTGCCTTGCCATCAGAGCTAGGTTTTCTCACGTTCCCATAAGCCCACTCTTTTCTCATTTCTCATCACATTTTTATCTGTGTCTCTATAGATCTCTCACATACGAATATTTTTTCCTCAAGGGCAGAAACCATGTCTAATTCTTCCAGTACACCTGATCCTGCACACGCTGCCTGACACAGAGTGGGTGTTCAATGTGTCTTTGCTGAAAGGGTCAGTCCTTTGAAAGCTCATGTTTTCTTTCCAGCCCCTCATGTCATCCACAGCAACTGTTGCTAATGCAGAGTTTGACATTGGCTCGTGTTTACTCTCTAAGCTTCTGAATTTGCAAGAGAAGAGGAGTTTCTTCAGACATCACAGTGGAATTTCGTGTAGTGGGAAGCATCATTCTATCTTTAGGCCTCAGTTTCCTTGGAAAGGCTTGGAAATACCTAATTGAAAGGTAGTTCAGGGGTGCAAACAACATAGGAAAAGTAGAGATCTGGAACAATGCCTTTTACAGAGTGAGCATTGAAAAGCTTGGTGAGTGGCTTGGGAATGTTTTATAGCAAAAGGTTGGTTATAGGGAAGTATCTTTGAAATAAACACATTAAGAGATTTCTTACATGGCTTTAAAGTGATTCATACATGATGGCTTAAGGAAGATTACTTGGTTTGAAACTTTAGCCTTAAGCTTCCATCAGAACATTCCACTGTGACTCCACAAGCTTCCAGACTGGACGTTTTCAGGTCTATTCAGTGCATTATTGAATGATCTATGTCATAAAACTATTTTTCTGTTTAGGGTATATTGTACACCATTGTTGAGAGTTGAGGAAAGGCTGCAGCTTGACACATAGCTGAGAGCAGTATTACATCTAATTTAAGGTGTTTGAAAGATTTAATTCTGTAAATGTCACTCAGAATCCTTTGTATTGCATCAAACTGCAAAGACATATTGAAATGTCCTTTAGCCCAAGGTTAAACTTATTGCATATGGCAAAATACCCTGCTTATTTTTCTTGCCCTGAGAAAGAAAACTGAATAATAATCAAGGTGCATCTGATAACCTATTCCTATATCTTTGCATATATATATATATACACACACACATATATTTCCTTTTAAATAGTAGACTTCACTTGATCCCCAAATGCTATCTTCTCTACATACAACTTAACATGAAAGTCTGTGATTTGATTTTCATTTACAATTTTCCCATAACTCATATTAAATACATTTAGTTTTTAAAACGTTTAGTCTCTGCTTAGCTCTGTGCTAAGCATTGGTGGTTACAGAAATTAATTAGATGTGACTTTGCTATTCAATAATTTATAATCTAGTTGGGGGAGAGGATGGCTGCATTCATAGTGCAGGATAGATTAATGAGGCAAGAGAGCAAGCGGGAAACATTGAGACTAATATCATCCTGATATCGATAAAAGCAAATCACATCCCTGGTATTGGGGTTTGGGCTTCTCATCTGGGTCTGGAAGCAGAAATCCAGTCCAGATGCGATGCTGCCATGACATCAGCCACACCATTCGTGTAGGATTTCAATGCTCCATTGGGCCATCCCTAGATCAGTGCCAAGATAGGGAATGTATAAAAACAGAAGGTGACAGGGGCAGATTACAAACCAGTTCGTCAAGAAGCACCTCCTCCTGTCTGTAATACAAAGTCTGGATACTCAGTAAACAACCTTTACATTTTTCCAAATTAATAGACAAAACCAGATTATTGAATAAAAGGCACACCAATAGTGTCCATAAGCATGCCCATGCTTAGACTTGGCCAAGGGGACCAGCCTGTGGCTTCTGTTTATTGATCACACAGGGCAGGGCTGTGTAATTTCTATTATTTTATTTTTATTTTCAAATGTGACCTCCTACATTGTAGAAGGCAAAGAGAGGCAGGGTCTTTTGTCATGGTCTCTTTATCTGAAAAAGAAACAATGTATAGCTTGATGCCACTGTGAATCCTAATGCGTATTCTGGTGACAATATCTGTATACAATAATTACAATCTCCTGCACTCTTGCAAATTGTCGGTAAAACAGCCACTATAGTAATTACAAAGTCATTAGTGCCAATACAATTCTACTATTTTTCTACATTTGTTTTTTGGTTGGCATTTCGTGTTACTTGTGATGTGTATTAGTGACAAACAACAACAATAAAAGAAAATCCTTTGACTTTCTTTTGCCAAGACCTTGTGTTTATGGAATGCACAGTAGCCACTCTAGGAGTGCAGTCAGGGCTGAAGGAGTTATTTCGACATTTCGTCAGAGGATACATGGCACATGGCTGTTATTTTTGGGAGGCACCCTTTAGAAAGGACCTGGGGTATCCTGACTTTTTAATGATCGCCATTCTAACTGGTAGCAAAGACTTGGAAGCAACCCAAATGTCCAACAATGATAGACTGGATTAAGAAAATATGGCACATATACAACATGGAATACTATGCAGCCATAAAAAACGATGAGTTCATGTCCTTTGTAGGGACATGGATGAAGCTGGAAACCGTCATTCTCAGCAAACTATCACAAGGACAAAAAAACAAACACCACAAGTTCTCAATCATAGGTGGGAATTGAACAATGAGAACACTTGGACACAGCAATGAGAACATCACACACCGGGGCCTGTTGTGGGGTGGGGGGAGGGGGAGGGATAGCATTAGGAGGTATACCTAATGTAAATGACGAGTTAATGGGTGCAGCACACCAACATGGCACATGTATACATATGTAACAAACCTGCACGTTGTGCACATGTACCGTAGAACTTAAAGTATAATAAATATAAATAAATAAATAAATATATATATATATATATATATATATGTAGAGAGAGAGAGAGAGAGAGAGAGAGAGAGAAAGGATCTGGGGTATCCTGGAGTGGCTGACAGAATCGGAGAGAACTCGTAACCGGACCCTTGGAGGATTGGGTCAGGGAATGGGATGTGTCATTTAGTAAACTAAAGACCTGGTCTTCATCTCTATATTCAGTGCACCCTGATTACTCGGAGTTTCTAACAATCAAAGCTGCTCATCCAAAGTGCACCTGGAAGAATAGGCTCTGGTCTCTAGATAGTGGCTTTGCTGAATGTGTCTAGTTGACTGGAAGAAGCACGCAATGGGAATGTCTAATACATTGTTTCCCGCTGTCCTGAAAGGCCAGTCATGATGAGCATCTGTCCACTGCCCATTTCCAATAGAAACCACCCATGATTACAACCCCTGCTAGGAAAGGAGGCCCTGGGCTATTCTGTCTGTCCCTGTGGCATGGTGTCTACATCACTTGACCCTACCTCCACTGACTGTAGCTCATAGGACCAGGGATGGGTAACTGAGCCATGCGCAGAGCTTCCATAGACCAGTCAATGACCTGTGATAGACAGACAGGTAGAACAGGAATGGAGAAAACTGGCCACACTCTTAAGGATATCTCCAGAAGCTAAACTGGAGAATGCAGTGAGCATCAGGTTTGTGTAGTAGGAGGAGCAAAAGGTAATCAATCTGAACATGTGTCTGAGTCACTGTCAAGTGGAAGCAGGGAGCTAGTGAGAGGTGGCTCCGACTGCAGAGGGGGCAATGAGGTGACTGGCCCCTGCAGCTTCCTTAGATCCCTAACTTCTGTCTCTGTGAGATCACGAGAAACCATAGTCCTGTGTCTTCTCAGTGGCACCAAGGATTTTGTATCTGAGTGATATGTAGGGTTCTCGAACAAGGAGAGTTCAAAATCATGTGAATTACAGTAAAAGGTGGTAGCTCAAACTGTCTGTTTAAACACATATACTTACCCATTTTAAGTTTTTTTTTTTTCTTTTTCTCTTTTTTTTTTAATTTGTTTTTTTAATTATACTTTAAGTTTTAGGGTACACGTGCACATTGTGCAGGTTAGTTACATACGTATACATGTGCCATGCTGGTGTACTGCACCCACAAACTCATCATTTAGCATTAGGTATATCTCCCAATGCTATCCCTCCCCCCTCCCCCACCCCACAACAGTCCCCAGAGTGTGATGTTCCCCTTCCTGTGTCCATGTGATCTCATTGTTCAATTCCCACCTATGAGTGAGAATATGCGGTGTTTGGTTTTTTGTTCTTGCGATAGTTTACTGAGAATGATGATTTCCAATTTCATCCATGTCCCTACAAAGGACATGAACTCATCATTTTTTATGGCTGCATAGTATTCCATGGTGTATATGTGCCACATTTTCTTAATCCAGTCTATCATTGTTGGACATTTGGGTTGGTTCCAAGTTTTTGCTATTGTGAATAATGCTGCAATAAACATACGTGTGCATGTGTCTTTATAGCAGCATGATTTATAGTCCTTTGGGTATATACGCAGTAATGGGATGGCTGGGTCAAATGGTATTTCTAGTTCTAGATCCCTGAGGAATCACCACACTGACTTCCACAATGGTTGAACTAGTTTAGAGTCCCACCAACAGTGTAAAAGTGTTCCTATTTCTCCACATCCTCTCCAGCACCTGTTGTTTCCTGACTTTTTAATGATTGCCATTCTAACTGGTGTGAGATGGTATCTCATTGTGGTTTTGATTTGCATTTCTCAATGGCCAGTGATGATGAGCATTTTTTCATGTGTTTTTTGGCTGCATAAATGTCTTCTTTAGAGAAGTGTCTGTTCATATCCTTCACCCACTTGTTGATGGGGTTGTTTGTTTTTTTCTTTAAATTTGTTTGAGTTCATTGTAGATTCTGGATATTAGCCCTTTGTCAGATGAGTAGGTTGCGAAAATTTTCTCCCATTTTGTAGGTTGCCTGTTCACTTTGATGGTAGTTTCTTTTGCTGTGCAGAAGCTCGTTAGTTTAATTAGATCCCATTTGTCAATTTTGTCTTTTGTTGCCATTGCTTTTGGTGTTTTAGTCATGAAGTCCTTGCCCATGCCTATGTCCTGAATGGTAATGCCTAGGTTTTCTTCTAGGGTTTTTATGGTTTTAGGTCTAACGTTTAAGTCTTTAACCCATCATGAATTGATTTTTGTATAAGGTGTAAGGAAGGGATCCATTTTCAGCTTTCTGCATATGGCTAGCCAGTTTTCCCAGCACCATTTATTAAATGGGGAATCCTTTCCCCAATGCTTGTTTTTCTCAGGTTTGTCAAAGATCAGATAGTTGTAGATATGCGGCATTATTTCTGAGGGCTCTGTTCTGTTCCGTTGATCTGTATCTCTGTTTTGGTACCAGTACCATGCTGTTTTGGTTACTGTAGCCTTGTAGTATAGTTTGAAGTCAGGTAGCGTGATGCCTCCAGCTTTGTTCTTTTGGCTTAGGATTGACTTGGTGATGCGGGCTCTTTTTTGGTTCCCTATGAACTTTAAAGTAGTTTTTTCCAATTCTGTGAAGAAAGGCATTGGTAGCTTGATGGGGATGGCATTGAATCTGTAAATTACCTTGGGCAGTATGGCCATTTTCACAATATTGATTCTTCCTATCCATAAGCATGGAATGTTCTTCCATTTGTTTGTATCCTCTTTTATTTCCTTGAGCAGTGGTTTGTAGTTCTCCTTGAAGAGGTCCTTCACATCCCTTGTAAGTTGGATTCCTAGGTATTTTATTCTCTTTGAAGCAATTGTGAATGGGAGTTCACTCATGATTTGGCTCTCTGTTTGTCTGTTGTTGGTGTATAGGAATGCTTGTGATTTTTGCACATTGATTTTGTATCTTGAGACTTTGCTGCAGTTGCTTATCGGCTTAAGGAGATTTTGGGCTGAGACAATGGGGTTTTCTAGATATACAATCATGTCGTCTGCAAACAGGGACAATTTGACTTCCTCTTTTCCTAATTGAATACCCTTTATTTCCTTCTCCTGCCTAATTGCCCTGGCCAGAACTTCCAACACTATGTTGAATAGGAGTGGTGAGAGAGGGCATCCCTGTCTTGTGCCAGTTTTCAAAGGGAATGCTTCCAGTTTTTGCCCATTCAGTATGATATTGGCTATGGGTTTGTCATAGATAGTTCTTATTATTTTGAAATATGTCCCATCAATACCTAATTTATTGAGAGTTTTTAGCATGAAGGGTTGTTGAATTTTGTCAAAGACCTTTTCTGCATCTATTGAGATAATCGTGTGGTTTTTGTCTTTGGCTCTGTTTATATGATGGATTACATTTATGGATTTGCGTATATTAAACCAGCCTTGCATCCCAGGGATGAAGCCCACTTGATCATGGTGGATAAGCTTTTTGATGTGCTGCTGGATTCTGTTTGCCAGTATTTTATTGAGGATTTTTGCATCAATGTTCATCAAGGATATTGGTCTAAAATTCTCTTTTATCGTTGTGTCTCTGCCCGGCTTTGGTATCAGAATGATGCTGGCCTCATAAAATAAGTTAGGGAGGATTCCCTCTTTTTCTATTGATTGGGA
Source organism: Homo sapiens (assembly GCF_000001405.40). Lineage (NCBI taxonomy): Eukaryota > Metazoa > Chordata > Mammalia > Primates > Hominidae > Homo > Homo sapiens. The sequence continues at coordinate 138,119,634 of NC_000008.11, read as the reverse complement.
TAGTTTCAGAAGGAATGGTACCAGTTCCTCCTTGTACCAGTGGTAGAATTCGGCTGTGAATCCATCTGGTCCTGGACTCTTTTTGGTTGGTAAGCTATTGATTATTGCCACAATTTCAGATCCTGTTATTAGTCTATTCAGAGATTCAAATTCTTCCTGGTTTAGTCTTGGGAGGGTGTATGTGTCGAGGAATTTATCCATTTCTTCTAGATTTTCTAGTTTATTTGCGTAGAGGTGTTTGTAGTATTCTCTGATGGTAGTTTGTATTTCTGTGGGATCGGTGGTGATATCCCCTTTATCATTTTTTATTGCATCTGTTTGATTCTTCTCTCTTTTTTTCTTTATTAGTCTTGCTAGTGGTCTATCAATTTTGTTGATCCCTTCAAAAAACCAGCTCCTGGATTCATTAATTTTTTGAAGGGTTTTTTGTGTCTCGATTTCCTTCAGTTCTGCTCTGATTTTAGTTATTTCTTGCCTTCTGCTAGCTTTTGAATGTGTTTGCTCTTGCTTTTCTAGTTCTTTTAATTGTGATGTTAGGGTGTCAATTTTAGATCTTTCCTGCTTTCTCTTGTGGGCATTTAGTGCTATAAATTTCCCTCTACACACTGCTTTGAATGCGTCCCAGAGATTCTGGTATGTTGTGTCTTTGTTCTCGTTGGCTTCAAAGAACATCTTTATTTCTGCCTTCATTTCATTATGTACCCAGTAGTCATTCAGGAGCAGGTTGTTCAGTTTCCATGTAGTTGAGCGGTTTTGAGTGAGATTCTTAATCCTGAGTTCTAGTTTGATTGCACTGTGGTCTGAGAGATAGTTTGTTATAATGTCTGTTCTTTTACATTTGCTGAGGAGAGCTTTACTTCCAAGCATGTGGTCAATTTTGGAATAGGTGTGGCGTGGTGCTGAAAAAAATGTATATTCTGTTGATTTGGGGTGGAGAGTTCTGTAGATGTCTATTAGGTCCGCTTGGTGCAGAGCTGAGTTCAATTCCTGGGTATCCTTGTTGACTGTCTGTCTCGTTGATCTGTCTAATGTTGACAGTGGGGTGTTAAAGTCTCCCATTATTAATGTGTGGGAGTCTAAGTCTCTTTGTAGGTCACTCAGGACTTGCTTTATGAATCTGGGTGCTCCTGTATTGGGTGCATATCTATTTAGGATAGTTAGCTCTTCTTGTTGAATTGATCCCTTTACCATTATGTAACAGCCTTCTTTGTCTCTTTTGATCTTTGTTGGTTTAAAGTCTGTTTTATCAGAGACTAGGATTGCAACCCCTGCCTTTTTTTGTTTTCCATTTGCTTGGTAGATCTTCCTCCATCCCTTTATTTGGAGCCTATGTGTGTCCCTGCACGTGAGATGGATTTCCTGAATACAGCACACTGATGGGTCTTGACTCTTTATCCAATTTGCCAGTCTGTGTCTTTTAATTGAAGCATTTAGTCCATTTACATTTAAAGTTAATAGTGTTATGTGCGAATTTGATCCTGTCATTATGATGTTAGCTGGTTATTTTGCTCGTTAGTTGATGCAGTTTCTTCCTAGTCTTGATGGTCTTTACATTTTGGCATGAATTTGCAGTGGCTGGTACTGGTTGTTCCTTTCCATGTTTAGCGCTTCCTTCAGGAGCTCTTTTAGGGCAGGCCTGGTGGTGACAAAATCTCTCAGCATTTGCTTGTCCGTAAAGGATTTTATTTCTCCTTCACTTATGAAGCTTACTTTGGCTGGATATGAAATTCTGGGTTGAAAATTCTTTTCTTTAAGAATGTTGAATATTGGTCCCCACTCTCTTCTGGCTTGTAGGGTTTCTGCTGAGAGATCCGCTGTTAGTCTGATGGGCTTCCCTTTGAGGGTAACCCGACCTTTCTCTCTGGCTGCCCTTAACATTTTTTCCTTCATTTCAACTTTGCTGAATCTGACAATTATGTGTCTTGGAGTTGCTCTTCTCGAGGAGTATCTTTGTGGCGTTCTCTGTATTTCCTGAATCTGAACGTTGGCCTGCCTTGCTAGATTGGGGAAATTCTGCTGGATAATATCCTGCAGAGTGTTTTCCAACTTGGTTCCATTCTCCCCATCATTTTCAGGTACACGAATCAGAGGTAGATTTGGTCTTTTCACATAGTCCCATATTTCTTGGAGGCTTTGCTTGTTTCTTTTTATTGTTTGTTCTCTATACTTTCCTTCTCGCTTCATTTCATTCATTTCATCTTCCATGGCTGATACCCTTTCTTCCAGTTGATCGCATCAGCTCCTGAGACTTCTGCATTCTTCATGTAGTTCTCGAGCCTTGGTTTTCAGCTCCATCAGCTCCTTTAAGCACTTCTCTGTATTGGTTATTCTAGTTATACATTCTTCTGAATTTTTTTCAAAGTTTTCAACTTCTTTGCCTTTGGTTTGAATGTCCTCCCGTAGCTCAGAGTAATTTGATCGTCTGAAGCCTTCTTCTCTCAGCTCATCAAAGTCATTCTCCGTCCAGCTTTGTTCTGTTGCTGGTGAGGAGCTGTGTTCCTTTGGAGGAGGAGAGGCGCTCTGATTTTTAGAGTTTCCAGTTTTTCTGCTCTGTTTTTTCCCCATCTTTGTGGTTTTATCTACTTTTGGTCTTTGATGATGGTGATGTACAGATGGGTTTTTGGTGTGGATGTCCTTTCTGTTTGTTAGTTTTCCTTCTAACAGAGAGGACCCTCAGCTGCAGGTCTGTTGGAGTACCCTGCCGTGTGAGGTGTCAGTGTGCCCCTGCTGGAGGGTGCCTCCCAATCAGGCTGCTCAGGGGTCAGGGGTCAGGGACCCACTTGAGGAGGCAGTCTGCCCGTTCTCAGATCTCCAGCTGCGTACTGGGAGAACCCCTGCTCTCTTCAAAGCTGTCAGACAGGGACATTTAAGTCTGCAGAAGTTACTGCTGTCTTTTTGTTTGTCTGTGCCCTGCCCCCAGAGGTGGAGCCTACAGAGGCAGGCAGGCCTCCTTGAGCTGTGGTGGGCTCTGCCCAGTTCGAGCTTCCCCGCTGCTTTGTTTACCTAATCAAGCCTGGGCAATGGCGGGCGCCCCTCCCCCAGCCTCGCTGCCGCCTTGCAGTTTGATCTCAGACTGCTGTGCTAGCAATCAGCGAGACTCCGTGGGGTAGGACCCTCCCAGCCAGGTGCGGGATATAATCTTGTGGTGCGCCGTTTTTTAAGCCCGTCGGAAAAACGCAGTATTCGGGTGGGAGTGACCCGATTTTCCAGGTGCTGTCCATCACCCCTTTCTTTGATTAGGAAAGGGAACTCCCTGACCCCTTGCGCTTCCCGAGTGAGGCAATGCCTCGCCCTGCTTCGGCTCGCGCACGGTGCACGCACCCACTGACCTGTGCCCACTGTCTGGCACTCCCTAGTGAGATGAACCCGGTACCTCAGATGGAAATGCAGAAATCACCCGTCTTCTGCGACGCTCAGGCTGGGAGCTGTAGACTGGAGCTGTTCCTATTTGGCCATCTTGGCTCCTCCCAACTTAAGTTTTTTTTTAAAGCCGTTTACATACGTGTTTCAGTCTAGTTTGTGAAATAGAGAAGGCAAATATTGTTTCCCCAAATTTAGACAGAGACAATCTGAGATTCAGGGAAGCTTAAGAAATCAATCCCCTATTTCCAAGACAATTATGGACAAAAAGACTTAAAGGTGGCTCTAATCTTATCCAAATATTTTGAGAGTCTACAGAACCTGAAATTGATGTATAAAGTGCTGCATAAAGACACACTGTGCTGTTATCACAGGTGACAAATGATGCATGTGCTGATTCTCCTCTTAGGTCCTTACCAAGCTCTGTGAGCCAAGCCCATCTGATGGGTGAGGTGCAGAGTTTAAGTGTTTGACCAAGATTGTGTTACCAGTAAATGGACAACACCAGCATTCCCTCTCCAATCTTCTCTCTAGGTCTAGTAGTGTTTTCCATTCAAATGTTCATGGAGATGCAGTCGAAGTTACTTTTATAGTGGCTGCTGCCTACAAACAGCATCCCCAGGGAAGGACAATAGGTCTTGATGGGGAAGTAGGAGGGCCCTAAGCACCGAGTGCATGGAGGGCAGATGTGAGGGACACTTTGAACCAATTCCACAATTTGCCTCAGGCCTTCTGTTTTAGAAATCCTTAAGTCACTGAGTAAACGTGACATGCAAGGATGTGTGCAGGGGCAAAGAGGTGCAAGACAGCAGGCCAGGCACTTTCTTAATCCTACAAGCCAGTGTCGTGATCCACATCTTACAGCTGAGGGGATTGTGCTCCAGCAACTGGACTTCACAATGGAGCTTGGGTTGATCTCTGAGGCTCTTCATCTTCCCTACATCATTGTCAGCCAGACCTGGATTCAACTGACCCCTTGTAACTTCTCCCACCTAATCTACCTCATTCTCCTGTGCCCCTCCTACTTCCTCTTCATCTTCTCCTGTCCAGGCATGGAGCTTGTTTGCTGGTCCTTGAGCACCTGAGCGTGCTACTGCCTCAAGGCATTTTCACGGCAGTTCCCTCTCCTGGATGCTCCTCCTCCAGGGAGCAGCAAGGCACACTCCTCTGTATTCTGATCTTCATTTCACAGTCCTTCTCAGCCAGGATTTTCCTGAACCTCTGATAAAACATCTCACTGCTCCCCATCTCTGCCCCAGAAGCTTCAGAGCCTTCTTCCCGCTTCATCTTTTCTCCTTGGCATTTACCACCGTCCACCTTACTACCTGTCTTATTCATCTTATTGGTTGTTGGTCTTTCCTCTCTAGGGTGCCGGCTCCATGGCTCCATGAAGGCAGGCGGTTTGTTTTGTTTTTGTGGCCTGCTTTCCACTTCTGAATTCCAGTGCCCTGGCACTTAGGCCATCTATTAAAAATGTGATGATGAATGAATGAATGAAAACGTGTCTGACTCACAGTAAGTGAATATTGGCTAACAAATCCCTAAGCCCGAGTTCCTTTTTGCTAGAGCACACCCCCACCTCCCTACCTGAAGCATCCGTCTTGAACTGGTTCTATCTAACTAAGCACAGGGATCCTCTCCAGTGCTGTCTGATTATCCACCTCTTCCACCCAAGGGAAACACACTATTGCAGCCTATGGCTGGAAATGTAACCTACAGGGAGAGCCTCCCTGGGTTTTATGCCTGGGGCAGAGACAGGAATTCACAGGGCCTGCAGAGGGCGCCCAAAGCCCAGCAAATAGCGGAACTCTCACGGAAGTTCAGAGGACTGGAGCTCCTGCTTCCTAACGCTCTCTGCTTGGAATTTGAGCCAGAAAAAGAGAAGACGGTGTGTTAGTCCGTTCTTACACTGCTAATAAAGACATACCGGGACTGGGTAATTGATCAAGGAAAGAGGTTTAATTGACTCACAGTTCCACATGGCTGGGGAGGCCTCACAATCATGGTGGAAGGCAGGTGAGGAGCAAAGGCACGGATGGCAGGCAAGAGAGCTTTGTGCAGGGAAACTCCCATTTAGAAAACTGTCATATCTCATGAGACTTATTCACTACCACGAGAACAGCATGGGGGAAACCGCCCCCTTGATTCAATTACCTCCCGCAACATGTTGGAATTATGGAGGCTACAATTCAAGGTGAGATTTGGGTGGGGACACAGCCAAATTGTATCATTTGGGATTTGTTCTTTGGATACAAGAGAGGAGCATGGAAGTTAAGAAGTTAGAATCAGCGAGGTGCAGCATGATGTCTTAGAATTTTTAGCTAGGATTAGCATGATGAATGAATTTACTCCAGTTCAATCCTCAAACTGTTACTGAGGGATATTGTGTGCCAGCCATCGGTCTAGGAATGGGACTCCGTGTAGGAATAGCATGCCCCCCTTACCTGATTCTGGCTTTTTATTCAGTTACCAGCTAGAAAGTTGCCTCCTTAGAAAGAGATGTGCAGGTTCTCCTCTGAAAGATGGTATTCAATAGTTGCATTTAAAGAGAACTCTGTTGCTGTCTGTAGGGGCAATGATGTAATCCACAGGAGTTCTGTGGGAACCATTTATTCTTTCAATAAACAAATATTTATTGAGAACCTATAATGTCCCAGGCTGTGTTATAAGCACTTGAGATGATCGGTTGCCCAAACAGAAAAGATCCCTGCTTTGATGAAACTTATATTCTAGTGAGGGAGTTATACATTGACAACAAACAATAAATGAAGAAGGGTGATTGATTTTTGTTATACTATGTACTCCAGGAAGTTCTCCCAGCTGACCAGAATTGGATTTCTTTTTTCCTCTCTCTTCTCTGTAATATTCTTTATCTGTGTCACAGTCCACACCATGCTGGTCCCAATAATATTATTGATCAACCCCTTTAAATCAACCTTTCTTCACTTTTCTTATCTATAAAACAGTAGCAATAACTCTGTCTGCCCTGTGTATCTTACACAGTTTCAGGGAAACCCAGATCCACATTTCTTAGCCAATGACCTCGGCCCTCTTTGTCCTTTACTTTTCTCTTGGAGGCCTCTGCTAATCTGTCCCCATGGGATTCCCGGAGGGGTGCTAAGGTTGCCTGATCCAGTTGCTCCAAGATCATGGACAGAGTCAGAGAATGAAAAAAGACAGACATTTGCATAGAAATAAGCAGGTAAGGCAAATTTATCCCCCAAATCTACCCCTTTTAGGTCTGCAATGCCCACCCCCCCCCCGCCCATTAAAAATATTGCGTAAAATACTATTTCATTCAAACCTCACAGACAGCTGTCAACTTTGCAAAACAGTTGCCAGCTTGGCATTGTATTAACACTGAGGATGGGTGAGCAACAGTTTTGTGCTTGTGTAAACAAAGACACATTGTAACCCCTTCCCCTGTCTCCACCCCCACTTGAGGGAACTGGAGTCTCCATCTGCAGACTCAGAAAACTACTGTGCCTTAGGAGGACGCCCTCCAGACTCCCCTGAACATCATTCCCTACTCAGACAAGTCTCCAAAGTCTTTACATGTGTGAAACATTGTTGACATTCTTGCCTCTTGAGCTATTCTGTAAATATGAATGCTTCTTTGTTACTTTCCCATTATTCCTGTAGAGAAACTGGGACCCAAAGATAATGCAAGGTGATATAATGTGCAAAGAGCTCTAGGGATATAGAGGCAAGGAGCAATGATGCTTAGGGGAGGTGGGGTGGGGGAGTTATAATGAGGGGGAGATTTGGCTGGATTGTGAACAAAGATCCAGAGTTTTCCAGATAGAGGATGGAGGGAGGAGGAGCAGGCAAAGCAAACAGCCTGTGCAAAGGCACGGGTACAGGTGTGCAGGAATGCGTCTGGGGACTGACGAGGGCTGCCTTATGCTGAGGGAGGAGGGAGGCTTTGGGGTAGGTCCTGGCTGCATGTGAAATTAGAAGAGCATCATAAGCACAATTTTCTGAACTGGAATAGGACGAGTGAATGGATATTATAGGTCGCAAATCCACGTTACAGAGCTTATGCAATAAAATGCTTAATATGCAATAAAACTCTAAAGTGCACAGCAAATCGACGCTAAAAGCTTAGGACATGATGGATGGCATCAGTCTGACCATTGCTGGGTCAATTCTGATGGCCATATGGGAGCAGGCTGAATGCCAGCCGCTAGAGCAGGGGACTGTCAGGGCACATTGCATAATTCTAAGAACAACTATGATCTAGTGTTGAGTGTTTTTATTGTGTGTACATTTTTAAGTGATATTAGTTATAAAAACTGATATTATTACATGCTAAGAACTCTGCCTAGCACCATGCATGTGACACAGCTTGCTGAAAATGGTGAAAAGCTGACGTAGCACCACAAACCCATCTCTAACCAGTCAAAGGCAGTTGGATACCAAAATCCCCGGTGGGACGCCTGGTGCATGCAATTGCTGGCCCAGTGCCTGTCAAATAATCAGCCCAGACATGGCTAGGTAACCAACAACACTAAGAGATTGGTGCTTTGCTAAAGTGGATCAAAGGTAGCATGCAGGGACTTTAGTTTTAAAGAATGTATTCTACTTCTCCCCCACTGACTCTGATCTCCCAGGGCTTTGGTTCCTGAAGGGATGGGGCCTCCTGTTGCTAGTAAAATTTCTATCAATACCATTCTTGTTTCACTCTCTTAGTCTATTTCTTTAAACACAGGCATCATGCCATATAGTCCTCAAAACCCCATGAAATACGTATGAATATTACTTCCATTTTATTGATGCAGAAACAGAAACTTGGAGAGTAATTTGCCGACAACACACAGCTGACAGGGAGACCAGGACACCAGCACTTAACGTCAGGGAGTCTGGGCCAAAGTCTTTGTTCTTAGAGAAATACCACACTGCCAGCATCAATTCCCCTCTGTTATCTTTTTATTGTTCCTCTTTATTTACTTTTATTTCAATGAATTAGCTTATTCCAAAGAGAATATTACAGGCATAGTCATTTGACAGATGGGGTGTAGGGAGAGAAATGGCAGGGTCATGGAGGGAAATGACCTACTACTCACTGTTTCCAAAGGTAAAAATAATTGACTAAAGTTTCCTGAAGATCTGCTCTGTTCAGCAACACTAATATCAATTCCTTCTTTCCTTAGACTACAGAGACATTGGTGTTTTTAGAGCTGGTAGTTCCCCTTAAAATCATCAGTTCAATCACTTTATTTTACCAATGAGAAAACTGAGGCTCAGAAAGGGCACCTCAGTTGCTCCAGGACACACGGTTCAGTGACCTAATCTACAGGATACCAGGAGATTTGCCCCCAGCCCCATACTGGTAGCACCACTCCCTGCGTCCCTTTGTATATATGTGTGGTATTTATTAACAGCTTCTAAGCCAGGAGGTTTTACTCTTGCTTCTCCATCAGGAGGCTGGGGGTTGCTTTTGTTCCGAATCTCCTTTCCTCTACCCATCTCATAAAAAAAAAAAAAAAAAATGATATCCCCTCCGCCAAAAAAAACAAAAAACCGAAACAAACAAAACAAAACTTATGTCTGGCTCAGGAACAGAATAACTTTTCCTCATATTTTAATCAGTAGGCTCTCTAAGTCCTTTTAAATTGACACCAGTTGTTAGACTAATTCTCATTAAACCCTGGGCATGTAGGTTGAACGTTAATATTTGCTTTTTGGCTTCATATCATCTTCATTTCCCCCAATAATATATTTTCCAATAAGTGAAACGGAAAAAGCTTTTGGCCATGTTTCCTTTCCCATGCCCTTTTCCACCTTGCCCTCACTTCTGCCCACTCCATGGGGCCCATGGAGGCTTCTCCGCCTGCATGGAGGATGGTAATTAAAGATGAGTCAGAGTAATTGGAAATGGATCTTGGGCTCAGAACATCAAGGGAAAATAAAATCTGTCCTTGCATTTATAAAAAAAGCTCATTTCACAGACATCATTTAAAGATATACATGAAAAACATCACCTCCTGTTAAAAAAAAAAAATCTTTAATGGCTTCTCATTGCTCTTAGGGAAAATCATCTAAGTTTCTGCTGAGATCTGAGCACAATCATGACCCAGCCTGGTGTAAGCTCTGATTCTTTTGCTTACCGTTAAATCTCCCAGAACCCAGCACAGTGTCTGGATCATGAATTGTATGTGTTGTTATTATTCATTCATTCACTGTCTACTATGAACCTACTTTGTGCTAGGCGTTGAGGATGGAGGGGGGCTAAACAATCTTGGAGACTCCCTCAGTCAAGTGTGCACGTCGCATCCCAAGAGTGGAGACTTCTGGAATGATGAGTAAGGAGCTCAGTGGACTTTATCCCCAGCACAACCACAACTTCTCTGGTGAGAATTATTTTAAAAAATCATCAGAATTTCAAAAACAAATTTGCACCAAATTAAGTAGGGAAGAAAGAGTTTATTCAAGGCCATTGCAATAGAGGAGCGAGGCCAGGACTCAGTCAGAGCTGAACTTTGCTGAAACAAAAGGCAGGAAGGACTTCAAGTGCTGGAGTGTGAAGGAGATCATGGGCCATCTGTGTTTGTCAATTGATTTTACTCAAGAAAAGTAAACATTTTCACCTTATGACAGGAGGGAGTCCAACAACTTGGAGCAATGCACTCACCAAAGTCAGGCTCCCACCTTGTAGCAGAGGCTGGGAGAAAGGGACGGTACTTCTGTGACGATTGTGTTGCAAAGAGATGGTTCCCAGGGTCCGGAGATAGACAGTTCTGGGTTGTGAAACTGACAAAAGGCTTGGTAAGAGATTTATATCACAGGGGCTCGGAGAAATAATGCACAATTAATAGTTTTCTAAAGTAAATATTCCAAGAAAAGAGAGTCCAAGGGTCCTAGAGGCAGGAAGAAGCCTGTCTAAAGTTTAGTCAAGGTGGTGAGGAAAATGTGAGGGCTGTCTTGGAAGTTGTCCTAAGGGCATACTAAAATGGAGAAACAGTCATTCAAGAAAATGTACTAACTCTCAGTGAGAACAGTGGAAGCCTGTGACATTTGAGCCCGACACTGCTTCACTGCTCGCATCAAGGTCCATGTTACAGAAGTTCTATCTTGGCACATTCAGCCGAGGAGATGGGCTTCCTCTCCCTCAGTTCCAGTCTGGGCTATGCTTTCACTGTGGAAGGGGCAGGCTGCCTTGTGATGTAGAGACTCCATTTCCAACAACCATGTAACCTTGGGAAAAGACTCTAAGCTCCAGAGGAGAACAAAGAGCACTCACCACCATGATTGTAGCCTTGGGAGGGCTTGAGAGCCTTGTTAGGCCATGCCTGACTTCTGACCCATGGAAGTTGTTAGATAATAGATGTGTGTTGTTTTAAGCCCCTAAAAATGTGATCATTTTATGGTGCTCTCTGACCTACTACATCACTCCTTCTTTTACATCCACGTTACAGATCAAGCATCTGCAACTCACAAAAGGAGCTCGCCAAAAGTCGTAGAGCCAACAAGAAGGGCCAGAATGGGGGTGGGGGTGGGCGGGGTATTCCTTTTCTTCCAATCTGAGGATTTCCTGGTTTTCCAAGCAATCTCACATCTGCGCGGCTTTCTACTGATTCTTGCAAAAACTTTGTGTGGTGGCAAAGTAAGGGCTGCTATTGTGAGTATTAAAGGATTGATAGTTGAGAGAAGTGAGGCTCCTAGAGGCTTGGGGATTCATCTAAGGCGGCATCTCTGGCTCTAATATTGTTACCTGCACCATCTTCCCCATCACAATTCTTTTGTTGGGATTAGGAATGTGGGATTTGGTTGAGCAGTGAAAAAGCAGTCTTGGAAATCTATAAAATTCTGACTTCTGAAGGCAACTGACATCACCACTGGGGATGATGATTGCTCAAACTAATTTTGGATAGCAGGATGATAAGTTTCTACATCTGGAAAATTCAAAAAATAATGTCTTCTTAATCTCCTGCATAAATTTCATCAACATCTCCTTTGTCACTGAAAAGAGTCTGAAGAAGAAAAAGAAAAAACTCATAATGTTATGTGTATTTAATTTAGATTTTATGAGCTTCTGATTTGCCCTTCTTTAAGTCAGAAGAGCTATGAGGAACTCTGCTGTTCTTGCCAGCGTATTTGGTAAAATGAATTTTAAAAGACATAACAGGTCTTGCACCTAATTGAATGAGTGCATTTGCAGAGATTGAGCTGATCAACCTATGCAAGAAGACAGACCTGGGGCGAATCCTAACTCTCTCTCTGAGTGGCAGAGTGAGCAAGTGGCTTAACCATTACTGAGTCCTGTTAGAAAATGAGGGCAATAATAACTACTACATAGTTGGGTGGAGGTTTATGCGAGATGTCATTCGGTAGATATTTGTTTAGCTGAACTATACGTATTTGGCACAATACTTAGTACAAAGCATATTTCTCACTAATATTAATTGTGCTTTTCACATGTTCTTCTACCCAGAATACTTATCTGTTTATAAAATCAGAATTTTTTATTCTTTCTTCCTCAAAATTGCTCCTACTCCAGTGTTCACTGTTCCAGTAAATGAACCAACACAGATCTAGATGCGCAAGCCCAATGCCCAGGAAACCTTTCCTGCCTCTCTCTCCTCACTGGTCCATAGTCATTGCTTTATTAAGTCCTCTGACACCTCCATCACAACATATCCCAAATTCAATGACTCCTCACCATTTTCATGGGTCTATCCTAGTTCAAACTACCATCATTGTTGGTTTGGATCAATGCAAGAGTCTCTCAATGATTCTCTCCACCTTCCTGCTTGACCTAATTCACTCATTCTCTTGAAGTGGTCATACATATCACTCCCTCTTTAAAACTCCAGTGAGGCTGGGTGCAGTGGCTCACGCCTGTAATCCCAGCACTTTGGGAGGCTGAGGTGGGCGGATCACAAGGTCAGGAGATCAAGACCATCCTGATTAACATGGTGAAACCCCGTCTCTACTAAAAATACAAAAAATTAGCCGGGCATGGTGGCACATGCCTGTAATCCCAGATACTCAGGAGGCTGAGGAGAATAGCTTGAACCAGGGAGGCAGAGGTTGCAGTGCCATTGCACTCCAGCCTGGTGACAGAGCAAGGCTCTGTCTTAAGAAAAAAACAAAAAAACAAAAAAACTCCCAGTGACTTTATATTTTGGTTGGAATAAAGCCCCTTATCCTAGCTTTTTGGATCATATTTGGCCTGGTCCTTGTGCACTGCTGTGCCCTCTTCTGACCCTTCCTGGCTTTCCTCTCCGCCACACAGAACACACCCACACCATTCCCACCCCAGAGCCTTTGCCTGGGACATGGGAATGATTTTATGGCAGGTTCCTCTTTGATATTTAGGTTCTGCTTAACTTTACCTCCTCAGAGAAGCGTGTGACCACCCACCCTAAAGTTATTATCTGTGCCCCTGGGATTATTCTCTGTCTAGCACTCATAATCACATGAATATTGTGGTTTATTTTTTAATCACTGTCCTTCTCTTCCAACTAGAAAGTAAATTTTATCAAAGCCAGCATCTTGTCTGTTTTGTTCATCTCTACCGAAGGCATTTAAAAAAGTACACAGCATTGCATAGACATAGAATACATATTTATAGAATAACTCGTCTACCTTCAAAAGTGGAGCCCGACTTTTTTTTTTTTTTTTTTTTGAGATGGAGTCTCACTCTCTCACCAGGCTGGAGTGCAGTGGCGTGATCTCAGCTTACTGCAAGCTCCACCTCCCGGGTTCAAGTGATTCTCCTGCCTCAGCCTCCCGAGTAGCTAGGGCTACAGGCGTGCGCCACCATGCCTAGCTAATTTTTGTATGTTTAGTAGAGATGGGGTTTCACCATGTTGGCCAGGATGATCTTGATCTCTGGACCTCGTGATCTGCCTGCTTCAGCCTCCCAAAGTGCTGGGATTACAGGCGTGAGCCACCGAGCCCGGCCTAGAGCCAGACTTGAACGTTGCTACACCACACTCTAAGATGCTCCAAGGTGAGCCTAAGCCACCTGTTTATGTTCTCATTTAATGTGGTGTCTGAACAAGGTGAATCTCTGAGATTTGCATTAAAAATATATGTGCCTGTGCAATTATACTTTTCTCCATTAGAGGAAAGTCTACGGCTTTTTAAAATTTGTCCTTTAAAGGGCCTCGCACAATGCCCCAAACAGTGCAGGGCAGCTATTTGAGCTGGACAAGCTATAGTGCACAAGGGTCTCTAAACATCCAGGAAATAAATTGTTTTATATCATTTGGCCCCTTGCCTGTGGAAGTTGGAAATGAAAACAAAGCTATTCAAAGCAAAAAACAAATAAAAAACCTTAATGTTCTCATTGAATAATGTTTCTTCTTGAAAAATGCTATCACAGCAATAAAATGTTCAAGCCAAATAAGCACATTATTTGTGCACACATTTTGCATTAATAGCAAATCAGTCACTTCAAGCCCCTATTGAATAAATGTTAACAAATATTTAAAGACTGTCGGTTTGAACAGCACCAAATAATTGCCCTCTTCAGTGCAACTCCTTTTCTGCATCCAGCTGACTTCCTTCTTTCTATCTCTAGGTGGGGCCATGGGGCCCTGACCTCCCATTGCCCTCCTGGAAAGACCAAGTCTATTGCTACTTTCCAGGACTAACCCCATCCTGCAGCAAGAGATATGTAACCAGCTGCCTTACCTTAAATGCAGTGGTTCCCAAACTTGCTGGAAGATAAGAATCACTGGGTGAGATTATTAAAAACACATGCTCCTGGCCTTTGTAAATATCCAACATAAGATCATAGCTTTATCTCCTTCACCAAGCAACTGAGTTCAATGAAAACCATCCTTTCTTCTAACCAAGTAATTCTCAAACCTGACTGTACATTAAAATCATCATGAAGAAACTGGTAAAAACCCTGATGGCTCCTCCTTACCCCAAATCAATTCGATCAGAATGTCCCATGTACCATATGTTTTCAAATGTCCACAGTGATTCTGCTGTGCAGCAGAGTTGGGAATCACCGTGTCTGACCCTGATGTGATACTTCAAGCCTGATGACTGTTTTTTAATCATTCATTAATTTACTTATTCATACTTTCATTTATTCACTCATTCATACCTTCATTTATCATTCACCTCAAGTGCTTTGTATGCAGACTCTTTTAAAAATGTATCTGTGAGACCTCAGACATGTGACTTAACCCCTCTAAGAATCAGTTGCCTCATGTAGACTTTTGGGACAAAGACACTCACCTACATTGCTAAATTGTTGTGAGGGTTTATTGAGATAAAATATGAAAAGCAGTGGGTGAATAATAAGTGCTCAATAGATGATGGTTATGAAATTATTCATTTATTCTACAAAACATATGTGAAGCACCCTCTAGGCGCCAGGCTCTCTGCTTGGCTCTGTGCTTATTGCAAATCTAAAATTCTCAAACAATATGTTCCATGGTTGCCAGCATCCTCAAACTTGCAAATATCAAGACAGATTACCATGTCTCCCAGAAAATGTCATACACTACAACTGAGAAGAGTGACCCACTCCAACCATCTGATGATACTCTTGACTAGGAGAAGCACTCTCAGAAAAATACGGATGGTTTCAGATTCTGCCTGGAAAAGCATCTTTCTCTCTTCTGTTTCATGGACATGTCTTTGTCACCTCCTGACTTCCTTGCAGATATCTTCCCTTAGAGAATGAAGAGTGGATGATGGCCCCACATCATGAGTTGGCCACATTCTGGAATTTTTCTTCCGTAATTTCTCTCAAGATTCTTCTGTGTCTCCAATGTTTACTTGAACAGTTTCACAATCAGTATTTGTGGATTTATTCAACAAGAGAACTTAGGCTCTGTCAAATCTGTTTGTCCCTCTAGTTAACAGTTTTCTATCCTAACTCTCTGGGCTCTCCTATTTTTTTTTTCTTTTGAGTTTCGCTAGTACTAAATTTTGTCTTTCTTTCCCCAGCCATAAATAAACAGGCTGGAGGCAATTGGGCGGGGCAACACTTCTCACTCTGCTTCTCTGTTCAGTTCCCCTAAGTTCTGAGGGATGAATGCATCAACTACTCCCACCAGGCTCGCATGAAGAGCATGTATTTACCAGCGGTCTGTACTGACAAACACTGGGCTAATTCACTGCCCTCATTTGTCTGTTCCTTTACTCAGCTCCTTCTACCTTGACCTCCAGACAATCTGGCCCTACATGGATTTTGACTTATTTTTATCAAATGCAGAGAGGCAGGGTGACTGGCCACATGGCCCTTCTCCACTGGACCTCTGAGTGTCTACCTCAATGCTGAAAACATTAATTCCTCCCCAAGTGTCTCTTGGGAAATGCTCTCTATGAAAAGTGAAGAAATCATGCTGGCTGCTTCTACGTAGACCTAATGTCTTTCTTAACACACGTTCTCTATTTCTCCTACTTTTACAAATCTATACATTATGGTATGTCTATTCTCAAGAACTCCAAACTGTGCCCACAATAGTCAGCAGTTGATTGGCCCTGCGGGGGTTCCTATGTGCTCCCTGGGGCTCCTGCAGACACACGGAGAGGGGGACGCTACCTGGTGGCGCTGTGTTCACTGTTAGCTACAGTGACTCACCCACCCTCCAGGCACCGCGTTTGTTCCAAGGCAAGAATTTAGTTATCCTCTCAATCATTCATTCACCCATTAAAAAAAATCTTTATGGAGAATCTCTTCAGTGGCACATACTGTGACAGGTACAGGAGATAGTAAATCAGGCAGGAGCACTGCCTTAAAGGTACTTGGAGTCGTATAGAGAAGATAAATATGGGATAAGATAAATTGCAGTGCAGTGCGATGAAAACAAAGTAGAGAGATGTCAAAGGTGAAAAATGGTGCAGTGGAAGAGGTAGGACAGGCTGTCTGGGGCAGGGAGGAACATCTCAAAGAAGTGATGCTCCAGTGTTGAGTGTTTTATTAGGTCTCAACATGGAGAAAATAAAACATTCCAGGAAGAGAAGTTGTCTTTGCAAGCACTACACTTAGTATTCATTCACTCACTCATTCAACAGTTATTTATTAAACAGCAGGAATGAACAAAACAGAAAAGAAAAATTTCCTGTTCTCATGGAATATACATACTCATAATGTTTCAGATGTTATAACTAGATCGAAATGATTGAAGAACAACATATGAAAAGGCAAAAGTATTAGATGGAGCTGACCCTCGAGAGAGGGATCACAGAAGGGTTTGAGTGACAGCTTGGCATTTTGGCGCCATTTTGTATAACAGCGTTCTTCAACCTTGGTACTATGGAGAGACTTGACTGGACAATTCTTCCTTTCTTCCTTGTGGGAGCTGTCCTGTGCACTGTAGAGTATTTAGCAGCATTTCTGGCTTCTACCCACTAGATGTCAGTAGCAACCTCTCCCCAATTTATGACAACCAAAAACATCTCCAGACATTACCAGATGTATCCTGGGGGACAAAACTGCTCCCATAGAGAAACACTTTCATTCACTGATTCATTGAATATTTGCTAAGACTTACCTCTTAGAGTAAACCAATGAGAAATTTTAACGTGAAGAAACAACAGTATGTTGATCCTCCTTGTTCCGGGCCTCAGAACAGAGAACATCATTCCTCATTGCCTTTCAGATGGAATTTCATGGGTGAAGCAGAATGTATAAGAAACGAATGAAAAGCAGAAACACTTTGCAGGTGCATTTGTGGGCCCTTAGATGCCTAGCCTTCATCAGGATGCTTTCCAAGGAGTTGAAAAGCTACAGCAATCTCTCATCACTGTGGTTTTATCTTCACAAAACGGCAAAATATAGCCTCAGTCTGAAGGGCTAAAAGGTAGATGTATAATGTAGTGAAAAATTATCCATGACTTTCAAGTTCTTTTAATGATGCGATTTGTGATGGTTAGGACTTCCCCTTGGGGTTTCTTTCCTCTCTGATATCAGTGAATGCCAATCAGCTTAATTGTTCCATTTAGCATCCTATTACTTTCCATTGGGAGCCCACATAGTACTCATCTCCTTAATTAACTGGCAATCGGTTTGAAAATAGGGTAACTCAGGTGCACCCAAGTCTTCCATTACCACCAAAACTTTAGCAATACCAGCTTAGAATTCCTTCCTGAGAAAGAAAGCTATGTGGCCGAGTTCCCACTCGACATCATACCTTGGAGGGCTCCAAAGCATCTTCAATTCAGCACATGCCAAGCTCTCCTCCTGATCCTCCATCCTTCTGATTTACCTCCTCTAGCTTTCTCAGTCTCAGTAAATGGTGCCATTATCCATCCAGATTCTGAACCTGAAGAACCTCAGAATCACTCTTGACAACCCCCTTTCTGATTTTCCATGTCCCCTCTATCACAAGGACCGCTGCTATCACCTCCTTAACATCCCTCGAATCAATGACCACATCTCCTCACATCCTTTGGCCACCCACTGTGTTCTCAGTACCTAGCCTGGTGTTTGGCATGAGGTAAGTCTTAGCAAATATTCAATGAATCAGCGAATGAAAGACCAGACTCATCTCTCTATGCCAACTGCACCACATATTGTTTATGTCTTTAAGTTGAAAAGAGATAGAAAAATAGGTGAATGGAAAACTGGAGATTCAGGATCTCCAATTCTCAATCAACACTCAATCAGCCACCAGTGTTTCCTAAGATGCATATGCCAAGTGGATATGCCTGATTGTTCCAGCCTTGGCTACTTTCCCACATGCTTTTAAGAACCATCTAATCATACTGCGCTGGCTGGTGTGGGTGTGCACCAGGAGGACTCCATTGCAGCTCTGGCCTATGATCTGGATGAAAATCACAATTTTTCACAGGCCTTAGCTGCGCCCCAGGACTCCCATATCATCCAGTCATGTAGGAAAAACCAAGTGAGATAATCTAATCAAAGAGATAAGAGGTTGTCCTGCCATGACTATGCCAAATGTCATGCCCAGTGTTAGGTTCCAGGCCATGCTGAGTTCCGAAGAGAGTGGGTGGATGGGTGGCAGATAGCTGAAAGAACACTCAGGTTGTGTGGGGGGGTGCGGCATAGGCAGGTGAAAGATGGCTTTATTCAGCTGCTCTCTCATCAGCAGCTCTCTCACATGGTCTGTTTCTGTCTCAGCTGTCTGCTCCCTTCTCAGCAGCCGGCTCTGCAGTTCATGCAGCTCCCATGCACAGCTGCATGGCCAGCTCTCCCTATAGGGTCAGCAGTTTAACTCTTTCTCTCTCCAAGTATGAGCCACTGTGCCTGAGCCATGCCATGCCATGCTGTATGTATAGCGTCAGCAGGGCAGTTATACCTTTTTCAAACAATAGTGGCTCTGAGCCAAGTATGAGATTATACAAACAGGTTATATACCAAGTGGCGATATGCGCCTGCGCTCCAAACTCACGGAGTGGTGCAGGATGTTTACTTCAGCCTATTCTTGACCAAAGCACATCCATGTACCTTACAGAGGTTGAGTAGGAATCTGAATCCCAAAAGATTAGGACCATAGAAATAGCATTTGAGGGTGAATTGCATGTTTCCTCGACTCCCAGAGATGCAAGAACCACTGAGAAAGGGGAAAGGCTTACCCTGCACACCCCCGCCCATAGCCTTTGGTACGGCATATGCTGGGTGGGGGTAAAAAGTTTTAGTCAGATGATCATAGAAGTTTATCAGGGCAGAGTCAGAGAAGGACAGGTGTGCCCCATAATAATCCATGAGTTACCTTATGCATGTTTTCATGCTCTGCCTAAGGCTAGGATCACCCAGATCCCCAAACTGACTATTCCCTGATAAAGCCCAAGATTTTATCTGTCTCCCACCCCAACACAGCAAAAGCCCCATTAGCAAGTTACCTTGCTCCCAGTAACGTCACTGAGGAATCACATCCTTGTTCCTTGATATGATTTGGCTGTGTCCCCACCCAAATCTCATCTTGAATTGTAATCTCCATAATCTCCCCACATCATGGGGGAGACCCAGTGGGAGGTAATTGAATAATAGGGGGATTTCCCCATGTTGTTCTCATGATAGTGAATGAGTTTTCATGAGATCTGATGGTTTTATAAGCGTCTGGCATTTCCCCTGCTGGCACTCGTTCTTTCTCCTGCCTCCCTGTGAAGAGGTGCCTTCCACCATGATTGTAAGTTACCTGAGGCCTCTCCAGCAACATGGAACTGTGAGTCAATTAAACCTCTTTCTTTTATAAATTACCTAGTCTAGGGTATTTCTTCATAGCAGTGTGAGAATGGACTAATACATTCCTTATTAAAGTTTCCACTTCTGGAGCTTTAGTTTGTATGGTGTGTAGTGATGAGAGCAGTTTAAATATCTCCTTTGGTTATCGGAGTTTACACAAACATCTCTTTTCTGACCACTTTAACTCGTAGACCTAGGATAAGCTGGAAGGACAGAAAGCTGAGTGTTGGCAATATGCAATTAAATCAAACAGAATTCCAGTTCCACAAAGCCAACACTTCTGAGCACAGCCTCTGAGCAGGAAGAGCACTGTGACAGGCACTGAAGTTGGCATCCAGATGAGCAGATGATATGAGGTTGTGCCCCCTCCTCTGGGAACTCACTGCTCAAGACTGATAAACATGCACAGGGAACCACCCTGGTAATGGGGAGGCCACAAGAGGTTTCTGGCTAAGTCACATATGACAGTTTAGGACAGGATTTCTCAACCTCAGCACTACTGGCATTTTGGACTGGATTATTTCTTCTGTGGGGGTCTGTCCTGCACATTACAGGATGTCTAGCAGTGTTACTGACTTCTACCCACAAGATGACCTGTCCCAATTGTGACAACCAGAAATGTCTTTAGGTATGCTAAATGTCTTAATCCACCTTGGATTGAGAACCACTGGGCTCAGATGAAGTTAATTCTAACTGAGATAAAAAAGATGGATTTGGGCTTGACTTAGAAAGCAGTGATTTATTTCTACAGGCACATCATGAAGAGAAGAGCACCTCTGGGAAGGGACATTTGTTGAGCAAAGGCCTGGAGGACAGAGACTGGAGAGTTTGTGCTGGGAAAGTTCCTGGTGTGGTTTGATGGGACAGTACTTTGGTTAAGGAATCCTTGGGTCTGAACGTGAAGAGTTAGAAACACAACGTTCATGACTCTGGATTTCATTCAATCCCACAACTGGACAGATAGCAATTTTTATTTTCCAATTTTCCCAGAAAAGTAATCCAAGTTATGCAGAGGTTAAGTCCTATCCCAAAGCAATGTAGGCAGCAGTGGGCTTCTCCTGCATCTCCCGTGTCTGGGAATAAAATGATTGCCTTTGGGTGGAGCATCTGAGGTCTTGGATCACCTGGTTGTCTAGTCAGGTTACTGAAAAGTGAGGGGACCCAAAAAGAGCTAAATGATTTATGATGTGACGAAACAGCAAAGGTCTCCTGTGTTTTTCACGCATACATAAATTGGGAAAAAGGACATTTTCCCAATGTCCTGTGGTGCGATCTCGGCTCACTGCAACCTCTGCCTCCTGGGTTCAAGCGATTCTCCTGCCTCAGCTTCCCAAGTATCCGGACTACAGGTGCGTGCCACCATGCCCGGCTAATTTTTTTTTTGTATTTTTAGTAGAGACAAGGTTTCACCGTGTTAGCCAGGATGGTCTCTATCTCCTGACCTGGTGATCCGCCCGCTTCGGCCTCCCAAAGTGTTGGGATTACAGGCGAGTCACCGCGCCCTGCCGGAAAAAAGGACTTTGATGGAATGGGAAACCGAGTCCCAAAACCCTCATTGGCATCCCCCAGCTTCTTGTGGAACAGAAATTTAGAGGTAGAAAGAGGTTGGGAGGGAAAAGGCGGACTCCTTTTCACAAAGCTTATTTTACCAAATGTCTCCATAGACTGTACATGCTGCTGACTGTCTAATGAGGCACAGATTGAAGATGGCTAAAAACTCTTGTAGTGAAACCAGGGTGATGATGCCCAGAGGCACGGTGAGGAAATTCCTCTAATTGCAATTTTAGTTATTATCAACATGCTCCCATACTGCAGGGATAACTGCCAGAGAGCTGTTCTTACTTTCCCTCTCCAATCTCCAGGTCTTTTAGAAAAACAGGAAACCGGCTGGGCGCGGTGGCTCACGCCTGTAATCCCAACACTTTGGGAGGCCGAGACGGGTGGATCACGGGGTCAGGAGATCGAGACCATCCTGGCTAACACGGTGAAACCCCGTCTCTACTAAAAATACAAAAAAATTAGCCGGGCGTAGTGGCGGGCGCCTGTAGTCCCAGCTACTCGGGAGGCTGAGGCAGGAGAATGGCGTGAACCCGGGAGGCGGAGCTTGCAGTGAGCTGAGATCGCGCCACTGCACTCCAGCCTGGACTCCAGCCTGGGCGACAGAGCGAGACTCCGTCTCAAAAAAAAAAAGAAAAACAGGAAACCTGGAGCCATCACCAACTTTAAGACCAAGGATAGGCCTGCTTTTCTTTAGAATTTTAGCATCCCACCATTTTACAGAGACAATAATATGTGGCAGGCCTTGGGTTAAAATGATTCCTGCATGCACTTTGCTAATACTACTAATATAATCATCACTATTAACATTGATGGCTTACTACATGCCAGATACCGTCATAAATATTTAATATGCATTAATAATCATATTGAACATTTGGGGGTATATTTAGTGTCAGACACTATGTTACATACTATATACCTTAAATTAACTAAATTTTTAAAATAATTCTGTGGGATGAATATTATTGTCAGACTCTATGTACAGGTAAAATACAGGCTTGGAGAAGTTAAATGACTTGCTCAAAGTCACAGCTATCATGAGAAAAAGTAAAAATTCAATGTTTGTTTAAACCTTGTGCTGTTAATCCCTGAAAGCGGCCTGAGAGTACCAAGTGCTTTGAAGCAGCAGAGTCTGACACTTAACAAATGCACGAGCCATAAGCTCAATGAAGTTTTACGATATTTTTTTGTAAAAAACTTTTTACAACTTTGACACAAATACACTAAACCTAGATTGAACAATAGAACAGAAACTCCTGTCTCTTTCCTATCACTATAAATTCCTGAGGCTATTACGGTCCCAATGCCTGTTACCACTGATTATTTTTGCCTGATTTTACACTTCACCTTATTACCCCTTCTTTGTTTGCATTCCTTCGCTCAACTTCATTTTTGTAAAATTCATCCCTATTGTGTATTGTGGAAAACCAATCATTCTTATCACATTCCACTGTATGAATATATGACCATTTTACTTATCTATCTTTAGACTTACATTCTGGTTGTTTCCACATTTGAGTGTTAAGAGTAGTGTTGCTATGAACACTTTTGCACATGACTTTTGGTGCACTTATGGGTACATTTCTGTAGGTATATACTAGGCATGAAATTATTGAGTAAAGGGTATTTATGTTTTCACCTTTGGTAGACACTGCCAACAGTTTTTCGAAGTGGTTGTACCAATTTGTACCATTTGTATTAGCATATGAAGGTTCCAGTTACGCCATTACTTTACAACAGTTGACATTGTCGGTCTTTTAAAAGTGTAGATATTCTAGCGATTGGGTAATGGTATCTTATTATGGTTTAAATTTGAATTTCTCTGATCACTAAACAAATTGAATATATGTTCCCATATTCATGGGTCACTTTAATATTCTCTTTTTTATTTTGCATCTTTTAAAATTGTGTTTACATTTTTCTCATTGATTTGAGGAATCAATGAGATTCCTCATGAGAATCTTACATGTCATCTTTGTAGATTTTATACTTGTTCCAGGATTTATATTTGTATTATCCTAATGATGTTCTTTGATAAAGTTCAATTTATCAAACATATATTTTATTGTTGTAGCTTATTGCATTCTATTTGAAAAATCTTTATCCTATTCCAATGCTGTGAAGATATTTTACTGTTCTCTTCTAAACTTACGCATTTCACTTTCACAGTAAACTTCTAAGTTTATCCTAAATTAATTTATTTCAGTCCTAAAGTAGAAATAAAAATTCTTTTTTCCATTTAATATCTTCTGACAGCAGTATTTATTTAAAAATTCATTTTCTCCCCATTGTTCTTAGTGTATCTTTTCATGAATCAAATGATCATACATGTGATGTCTGTTTTTGAACTTTGTTTAGTTCTATAGTTCATACTTGCACAAATAACACAATGTTATAATCACTGTGGCTTTATAATGTCTTACTCTCTGCTAATAAGTCATCCAACCTTGTTTCTGTTTATGTGTAGCTCTTACTGTTCCTTTGCATGCTTGTATATATTTTACAATTAACTTATTCATTTTCATTGGAAACAAAACCAAAAATATCAGGAGATGATTAGGATCACCCTAAATCTGTTGTCCAAATTATGTAACATTGGCATATTTTTAATAGTGATTCTTCTAGTCTATTAACAGAATATATTTCCCCTTTTATTTGTTTTATTTAATTCTTCTCCTTTGTGTTTTGTAGTGTTGTGAAAGATGTCTTGCATGCCATTTATTGGATTTATTACTATTTGACATTTTAGTTCTATTTTAAATGGCATTTTAAAATGCATTATTGATATAATTTTGATGGAATATGGAAATACAATTGAGTTTTTTATATGAATTTGCCTTCAGCAACTTGTTAAGTTCATTTATTAATTTTAAAGGGTGGCTGTCAACATCCTTGTTTTTATTTTTGTAATTACATAATCTGCAAATAGCAACACTTTGTTTCTTCCTTTTCCTTTCAAAGATTTCCCATTTTAATACTTTTTTTGGATAGGATACAGAATATTTCATAGATAATATTTATTAAGAAAGATTGTTTTTATTCACTATAAATTGGTTTCTATTCAAATAGTGTTGACATTTATAAAACGATTTTTCTCCATCTACTGTGATAATCATATAATTTGTATTTATTGTGTTAATATTGTAAATTATATTAATTTTCAATTACTAAGACTTTTCTGAAATAAGCTTAATGAGATTGAAAAATAGTATATCCTCATTTTACTATATGTCAATTAGATATCAATTTTACATTAATAACTCATTGAAGATTTTTGGATTCATGTGTAAGAGAGAAATTGGCTAAGACTTTTCATTTTTTTTTTTTGTTATTTTCCTTTCAGGTTTCCGTATCAAAGTTTTGCTAGGGCCTCATGATGCAAGTCGAGAATTTTTCTTTTTTTCTCATTCTCTGGGAAAAGAAAAGAAAACACTGCATGACATTAATGTTGCGTTATTTTTTTTTTCTACAAATACTTCTAAAAGTGCAAGGGTCAAGCCATTTATTCCTGAAGATCTTCTCCTGTGCATTTTTCAAGTATTTAATGTATACGATTATTCAGATTTTTGTTTCAGTTTCAGGAAAGATGTGTTTTTATAGTAACTCATCTATTTTATCCGAATTTTAAAATGTTTGACTTATATACGTTAATAAGTTATTCATATTTTGTGTATTTTAATTTCTATAGGATATGGAATGCTGTCTCCTTTTATCATTCTTTGTATTCTCTTGAATGTTCTCTGTTTCTTACTTCGAAGGTATAACTTTGTTCATAAAGTTTCTCATTATACTGTTCATCTACGAAGGATCTATAGAGATGTTTTCTCTTTTATTCCTGATATTGGCAACTTGTTTATTCTTTCTTTTATTCTTATTTAGTCTGGCTAATGATTTAGCATTTTATTGAGCTTTTCAAAGAACTACCTTTTTTTCCCATTGTTTTTCAAAATTTTTCTTTTTGCAATTTTATGGATTTCTGCCTTTCATTATTTTCTTTCTCTACTTAATTATTCTTCTAGTTCTTTAGAATTGAAGCCTATATCACTGATTTGAGAATGATCTTCCTTTCTAATATAAAAATTTAATGTTGTAAATGTCTCTTTAAACATTGCTGTAGCTATATCCTACATGTTTTACTGTCATATTTTAATTGCAACTTCAAACATTTTTGATTGTCCTTTTCACTTTTTATTTCATCCCTGAATTATTTATAAGTGTGTTGTTAAGTTTTCAATTTTTTCCATTTTTAAAAAATTTTTAATTTTCATGGGTATTGATTTGATTTGGCTCTGTATCCCCACCAAAATCTTATCTGGAATTGTAATCCCTACAAGTCTCAGGAGGAGCCTGGTGGTAGGTGATCGAATCTGGGGATGTACTTGCCACTTGTCCCTTGCTGTTGTTGTGATAGTGAGTTCTCACGAGATCTGGTTGTTTGAAAGTGTGTGGCACTTCACCCCCACCTCACCTCCCCCACTGACCCCTGTCTCTCCCCTGCTCCACCATGGCAAGACCTGCATTTATGTAAAATGCTGATAGTGATATGGACACTGAAGTCCAGGCTGAGGTGGTCTCAGATGGCGATGAGGAACTTATTGGGAACTGGAACAAAGATCACTCTTGCTATGCTTTAGCAAAGAGACTGGCAGCATTGTGCTCCTGATCTAGGGAATCTGTGGAACTTTGAAATTGAGAGAGATAATTTAGGGTATCTGGCAGAAATTTGTAAGCAGCAAAGCATTCAAGATGTGACCTGGCTTTTGCTGAAATTGCAGAGTCCTGTGCATTCACAAAAAGATTATTTGAAACTGGAACTTTTGTTTAAAAGGGAAGCAGAGCATAAAAGTTTGGAAAATTTGCAGCCTGACCATGTGATAGAAAAGAAAAGCCCATTTTCTGGGGAGAAATTCAAACCAGTTGCAAAAATTTGCATAAGTAATGAGGAGTTGAATGTTCATAGCCAAGACAATGGGGAAAGTGACTCTAGGCCATGTCAGAGACCTTCCTGGCAGCACCTCCCATCAGAGGCCCAGGGGCCTAGGAGGGAAAAATGGTTCTGGGGGCCAGGCCCAGGGCTCAACTGCTCTGTGCAGCCTCAGGACATGATGCCCTGCAGCCCAGCCACTTCAGCTGTGGCTAAAGGGGCCAAGGTGCAGCCCAGGCCATGGCTTCCTAGGATGGAAGCCCCAAGCTTTGGCAGCTTCCACATGGTGTTGAGTCTGTGGGTACATAGATGTTAAGAGTTGAGGTTTGAGAACCTCTGCCTAAATTACAGAGGATGTGTAGAAACATCTGGATGTCCAGGCTGATATCTGCTGCAGGGGTGACACCCTTAAGGAGAACCTCTGTTAAGGCAGTATGAAAGGCAAATGTGGGTTTGGAGACTGGTGACAGTGTCCCCAGTGGGGTATTGCCTACTGGAACTATCAGAAGAGGGCTACTGTCTTCCAGAACCCAGAATGGTAGACCCACCAACAGCTTGCACTGTGCACCTGGAAAAGTTGCAGGCACTCAATGCCAGCCGTGAAAGCAGCTGCAGGGTTTGTACCCTGCAGAGCCAAAGGGGTGGAGCTGCCCAAGGCTTTGGGAGCCCACCCCTTGAATCAGAGGGCCCTGGATGTGAAACATGGAGTTAAAGGAGATTATTTTGGAACTTTAAAATTTAATGATTGCCATGCTGGGTTTCAGCCTTGCATGGGGCCTGTAGCCCCTTTGTTTTGGCTAATTTCTCTGCATCAGATTTCTTTTACTTAAAGTTTGCAATGTATATCTTATCCCATGCTTTACTTGTAACCTATACACATCTTTATGTTTAAGGTGTTATTTTTTGTTTTTGTTTGTGTGTGTGTATGTTTGAGATGATATGTAGTTTGGCCTTGTTGCTATCTAAACTGAAAATATCTATCTTTTAATTGATGTATTTAGAGCATTTACATTTAATATAATTATGGGTATATTCGATTTTAAATATACCATCTTGTTAGTTATTGTTTTGTATTTGCTTCATCCACTTTTTGTTTTTTGTTTTTCATTTTTCTGTTTTTTAATTAATCAGATATATTTATAACTTTATTTTATCTCCATTATTGGCATAATCTATCTATCTATCTATCTATCTATCTATCTATCTATCTATCTACCTACCTACCTACCTTTGATTTTTAATGGTTATCCTATAGCTTTAAAATACCTTTTCAATTCATTATGGCCTACCTTTAAAAGATCCAGGAATCTGACTACCGTGTATATATCTAAAATAAAGGAAATCAGTATTTAGAAAAGATATTTTCACTCTTATGTTTGTTTTCTACAGCACTATTCACAGTAGCCAAAATATGGTTTCAGACTAAGTGCCATCAACAGATGAATGGATAAAGAAAATATGGTACATATGCACAATGGAATATTATTAAGCCATAAAAAATAACAAAATCCTGTCATTTGCAGTAATATGGATGGAACTATAGGTCATTATGTTAAGTGAAATAAGCCAGACACAGAAAGACAAATATTACATGTTCTGACTACATGTGGGAGCTAAAAATGTATATCTCAAAAAGAGAATAGATTGGTGGTTACCAGAAGCTCAAAAGGGTGAAGAGAAGTTAACTAATGGATATAAAAATAAAGTTAGATAAGATAAATGAGACTTAGTGTTCAATAGATCAGTAGAGTGATCATAGTTAACAATAATCTGTTTTATATTTCAAAATAGGAGCAAATAATCTGAATGTTTCCAGCATAAAGAAAAGAAAAATGCTTAAGGTGATGGTTATCTCAGTTACTCCAATTTGATCACATTATGTGAATATATCAAAATATCACATGTACCTAGAAGATATATACATCTGTTATGTATCAATAAAAATAATATAAAACTTCATGTAAAATGTTGAAACCTTATAGTCTTATAAGAATATAATTTCAGTCACCTCTATCTTTTGTTCTATTTTTGCTATGCGTTTCTCTCTACATATGTTCTACAGCTACAATCCATTTGTACTATTTTTGCTTTAGACAATTATCCTTTAGAATCTTTTTAAAGGAGAAATGCTTTTATGTTTATCTTGTTTCCAGGTCGTTAGTTTATTTATGTAAATCTACTTTTAGTCTTGTATCATATTGTTTGTGCTTGAATATGTTTTTAAAAGATTCCTCGTAACATAATTCTGCCAGTTTTAAGTTTTGTGAGATTTAGTTGATTTGTTTGAATTTTTCTTTATTTTTGAAAGGTATTTTTACTGGACTTCGAATTTTGAATTGAGAGTTTTATTCTAAATGACAACTATCTATTTTCCCAAATATTTACCCATTTTCCATTCTTTTTGTCTTTTTTCTACATTTTTGTGTTTCCTTTTGGGTCATTTGACTTTTGATTAAATCGTATCTTCTGGAATTCATTTAGTGTAAATCTGATGGAAATTAAATTAATACTTTGTATGGAAATGTCTTTATCTCCTCCTTTGAGAATAATTTTATTGGATATATCATTTCAGTATTTGTTTGTTTGTTGTCTTCCAGCATTTTGAAGACATGTTCTCTTGTCTTTTGGCTTTCATCATTTCTGTTGATAAGTTCTATATCGCTGATATTGTAGATTCTTTAAAGGTATTGAATCAGTTCTTGTATTTTGTTTTTATTTTTTTAACTGAATGCTTACGAGATTACCTCCATGATTTACGTTTACAAGACTACTACTAAAATAACCCCATTGTGATTTACTTGCTTTATTTATTTGCCTTGGGGCTCACAGTAATTCTAGAATTTCTGGCTTGAGTCATTTGTCAGTTTGGGACAATTCTTAGCCAATATCCCCTCAAATATTTATTCTCCCTTATATTATCATTCTTCCCTCTGGGCATTTATTTTACATGCACTGAATCTTTCTATTATGTTTTATGTATCTCTTGTGTTTTTATGTTTCTGTCTCCTTTGCTCTCCATTTTTGAGATATTTCTAACTGACCATTTTCCAGCTCATGAATGTTCTTTGCAGCCATGCCCAACAAATTGTTTGACCCGAGTTAAGCTGTACATTTTACTTATGAATTTGTCATTGTTAAGATTTTTATTTGATTTTTTGTACAGATGCCAAATTTCTAAAGATTTTCATCAACATTATAATAAATTATTTTAAAGTCCATGCTTGAGATCTCCAATATCTAAGTTACATATGCATCCGTTCTATTTTCTTTTTTTTTTAAGCATGAGTCCTGTTGAGTGTGTCTAAAATAATTGCTGAACATTGTGGAGGTTCTGCATACTGGTATCTTTCTCTTTAGAACATTTTCTTTATCTTTGTATATAGCAGTGGATCAGATCTCCTCAATCCACCCAAGGACTGAACAGGTTTGAAACTGCTTAGTAGTCTTTGTAAGGCTTGCGCTTCCTCTATTTTACCACTCCTAGAATTTAGTCCTCCAGAGGTGCTAATTTAGAGTGAGGGATATTTCTTAGGGATCTTTCTTAGTGGGTCTTGGGTTGCAATTACAGTTTTTCCTCCATAGCGACATTTATAAAAAACTCTGTTCTGTTTTTCAGCTGCTTTCTGAGTGACTTCTTAGTCTCTTGGGCTGTTCAATTGGGTGGCAAATGCTGCAAGGGAAAAACTGGCAAATAGTGTTGAGTTTAATTTTCTGCTTCACCATCTCAGGGTTTTGTTTTTAATGCTGGTTCTTGTAACCTTAAACCCTGACATTTTTCTTCCCAGCCCAGTGAGATTACCTAAGGTCTGGTGGGTTCTCAGGCTTTTACGATCTATCCCTCTACCTAACTTCTTAGTTTTCTGCCTAAACACAAGAATCACTAAATTTCTCAGCCAAAAAGCAACATGCAGATGTTGGGCTCAACTCAATGAGCTTCTATATTCTCCTTTCCTCGATAATTTGGCTCTTCACTTCTTAGTTGTTGAGCAGCTCCTAAAAGCCTTTAAAAGATATGTTTCTGTTGTTGTATTTTATGTTTTCATACTTTTTTTGGTGGAGATATGGTTTTGCTGTAATTTTCTCTAGCACAGCTGGAAGCTAGGCATAGTTTATTAATCCATGGTATTGATACAATATCCAACATACAGTAGATAACTAATTATATACATACATGTGTATTCAATTAATTTCCTCACTGTTTAGTAAGGGATGTACATCTAAACAAATAAAATAAGATACAGCATGCTAACACTTTATGATAGGGCATGTGCAAGATAGAGTTATGGCAAAGGGAGTAATGAACCACTCCACCGGAGGTTGTTGTTGGGTCAGAAATTCATAACAAAGGGAAAGGTATTGCGTCTGGATCTTAAAAGATAAATAACGGTGCTCCAGTCAGACAAATGTGTGAAAGAAACATCCCAGAAGACAGGGAAGTATGTGTAAAACTCCAAAGGTTTAATGTGCCACTGTGCTTTAAGGAAGCTCTAATTTGATCTGATTTTATCTTCTGTGGTGGGTTAATCAACAGTGAATTACTTGAACGATTTTTATTAGGGGAGTCATTGGTTCAAATTTATATGCCTAGAAAAATACTAGCAATAAATACCTCAGAATTTCGCAGTAGTTACTGATAAGATAGAGTGTATGGGTGATTTATTTATGCACAGTTATGGGCTGCATAACAATGTTTTGATTAAAGATGGACCACAAATATGATGGTGGTCTCATAAAATTATATTGGAGCTGAAAAATTCCTATCTCCTAGTGACTTCCTCGCCATCGTAATGTTGTACCACACGCGTCACACACGTTTATGATGATGCTGGTGAAAGTAAGACTACTGTGTTGCCAGTCCTATGAAAGTATCATGCATACAATTATGTATGGTATTTAATACTTGATCATGATAATAAGCAACTATATTGTTGGTTTATGTATTTACTATACTGTGTCATTTTTAAATCTATATTTTAGAGTGTACTTCTTTTAGTTATATATTAAAAAGTAAACTGTAAAACAGCCTCAGGCAGGTCCCTCAGGAGGTATTACAGAAGAAGGCATTGTTACCTAAGAGATGACAGCTTCATGCATGTTATTGCCCCTGAAGACCTTCCAGTGGGACGAGGTGTGGGGGCAAAAGACAGTGATGTGGATGGTCCTGAGCCTGGGTGGGCCTCAGCTAGTGTGTGTCTGTGGCTTAGTTTTCAACAAAAGCATTTAAAAAGTTAAAAAAATGATTTTGACAATAAAAATGCTTATAGAATAAGTATACAAAGAAAGAAAATATAGTTTTACAGCTACACAATGTATTTGTGTTTTCAGTGAAGTGTTATTACAAGAGCTAAAAAGTTAAAAAAATAAAGTTTGTAAAGTAAAAGTTACAGTAACCTAAGGTTAACTTATTATTGAAGAGAAATTTTAATAAATTTAACGTAGCCTAAGTGTACAGCTTTGATAAACTCTACAGGAATGTACAGTAATGGTCCAGGCCTTCATGTTCACTTGGCATTTACTCCCTGACTCACCCAGACCAACTTCCAATTCAGCAAGCCCCATTCATAGTAAGTGCTTCCTATGAGTGTACCATTTTTATCTATTATATTTTTTACTGTACCTTTTCTATGTTTAATAGACAAATACTTATCATTGTGTTATAATTGCCTATAATATTCTGTACAGTAATATGCTGTACAGATTTGTAGCCTACATATTATATAACCTAGGTGTGTAGTAGGCTACAACATCCAGATTTGTGTAAGTATACTCTATGATGTTCTCACAATTACAATATTGGCTAATAGCACATTTCTCAGAATGTATCCCTATTGTTGAGTGATGCATGACTGTTTTTGTGAAAGTGCTAACATTTGTACAATGAATATATATAGCTCTTATAATCAGGTAACCAGCGATAGAGACATATGGAGTGCATTCAGTGGATAATGACTAGGGGATATTTTCCACTGAATTAATTGAATGGAATTCCCAAATATAAACTCTTATTTTAGGTCTAGAGTTCAGTTCATCACTGTCTTTCTTAACTTTTCAAAGAAAGAATATACTCTCAAATGCAGAAGTCTTTTTTCACCAAGGCTTTTATTTATGGGCCACTGAGACTTTCTTTACATAATTTTTTGCCTTGACTCGACTCCTTTTAGGGTTGGTCATTTATAAAGACTCCAGAAAAGGATTTCTCAGAGGGAACTGCTGAATGGACTGAAAATTACTGGTGAGTCTCTTGGCTATGATTTGTTCAATACATTTCATCTTTGTCATAATAAACACCTACACAGCATATTGTTTTCTTAGCAAATGCATTGTTCTAAAGTAAGTGAAGAAGCCATTTCAGAAATACTTCATAGCTATAATGGGAACAGATGTTTACCATTGAACCATAGAATGCTGCATTGAAGGCAGTGCTTCTCAACCTTGCTGCTTTATCATGGCGTTTCTAACAAGACATTTTAGACACTGTTTTTCTTACTACTCCCATAAAATTTAAATCCCCCAGATATATCATGATATATCTGTTTAGTACAATATGATTATTTGTGCTTTATACACAGAAGAACACGGTTTTCTCCCCCTTCACCTATAACCAATTTCCATTCCCTTAAGAATGATATTGTCAATATTGAGAATACATGATGGAACGGCACACCCAAGGGAGAGGGAATACCATCATTATCATTATGGGCCAATGAGCTTTTTAAGGCATGAAGAGGAGATGAATAATATCAAAAGAATAATGCTGTCCCTATGTGTTATCAGATAAAATAAGCTGAGGAAAATAAATAAAACCTTTATTTCTGTTTTTTTTGTTTTTTTGTTTTTTGACAGAGTCTCTGTCGCCTGGGCTGGAGTGCAGTGGCACAATCACGGCTCTTTGCAGCCTCCACTTCCCAGGTTCAAACGATCCTTCTGCTTCAGCCTACCACGTAGCTGGGATTATAGGCACCTGCCACCATGCCCGGCTAATTTCTGTATTTTTAGCAGAGACAGAGTTTCACCATGTTGGTCAGGCTGGTCTCGAACTCCTGAGCTCAGGTGATCTGCCCACCTTGGCCTCCCAAAGTGCTGGGATTACAGGTGACAGAGCATGGAGGAGGATGTAAAAAAAATTTTTTTTTTTTGAGGCGGAGTCTCGCTCTGTTGCCCAGGCTGGAGTGCAGTGGCTCAATCTCAGGTCACTGCAACCTCTGCCTCCTAGGTTCAAGAGATTCTCCTGCTTCAGCCTCCCGAGTAACTGGGATTACAGGGGCCCACCACCATGCCCAGCTAACGAGCCACTGCGCCTGGCCAATAAAACCTTTCTTTAGGAAATCAAAATTTAACACAACTTGTGTTAGTTAAGGCAAAGAAGTCCAGCCAAATAAAATCCAATGTTTTACTTGTTTATCATAATCTTATTCCTCATGTCACAGTCCTGGACAAAGGTTTCTCTTGGCACGTATGGCCCTCCTCCGTAAGTCATTCAGGAATCTAGGATAATAGCATCTTTTCTATCTTTAATGCTTGACTTCTATGGCTAGGCTACATAGCCAGGAAGGTGACAGAGCATGGAGGAGGATGTAAAAAAAATTTTTTTTTTTTTTTTGAGACGGAGTCTCACTCTGTTGCCCAGGCTGCAGTGCAGTGGCTCAATCTCAGGTCACTGCAACCTCTGCCTCCTAGGTTCAAGAGATTCTCCTGCCTCAGCCTCCCGAGTAACTGGGATTACAGGGGCCCACCACCATGCGCAGCTAATTTTTGTTATTTTTAGTAGAGACGGGGTTTCGCTATGTTGGCCAGGCTGGTCTTGAACGCCTGACCTCAGGTGATCCACTGGGCTTGCCCTCCAAAAGCGCTGGGATTACAGGCATGAGCCACTGTGCCTGGCCTAGAATATTTTTATGTACTAGGAAGGCTGGGAAGTAGTACACGCCACATCTGCCAAAACTTCAGCAGCTAGAAGTCAGAGTCATGGTGATGTGTCTGGAATTGGTGGGATCTAGGTCTCACTGACTTCAAGAATGAAGCTGTGGACCCTTGCGGTAAGTGTTACAGCTCTTAAGGTGGCGCATCTGGAGCTTGTTCCTTTTGATGCTCAGATGTGTTCAGAGTTTCTTCCTTCTGGTGGGTTCGTGGTCTCGCTGGCTCAGGAGTGAAGCTGCAGACCTTCGCAGTGAGTGTTATAGCTCTTAAGGTGGCGCGTCTGGAGTTGTTCCTTCTGATGTTCGGATGTGTTCGGAGTTTCTTCCTTCTGGTGGGTTCGTGGTCTCCCTGGCTCAGGAGTGAAGCTGTAGACCTTCCCCGTGAGTGTTACAGCTCTTAAGGCAGCACATCTGGAGTTGTTCGTTCCTCCCAGTGGGCTCGTGGTCTTGCTGGCTTCAGGAGTGAAGCTGCAGACCTTCATGGTGAGTGTTACAGCTCATAACTCTAGTTTGAGGGCAGTGTGGACCCAAAGAGTGAGCAGTAGCAAGATTTATTGCAAAGAGCGAAAGAACAAAGCAACCACACTGTGGAAGGGGACCCCACCGGGTTGCCACTGCTGGCTCAGGCAACCTGTTTTTATTCTCTTATCTGGCCCCACCCACATCCTGCTGATTGGTAGAGGCGAGTGGCCTGTTTTGACAGGGTGCTGATTGGTGCGTTTACAATCCCTGAGCTAGACACAAAGGTTCTCCATTTCCCCACCAGATTAGCTAGATACAGAGTGTCCACACAAAGGTTCTCCAAGACCCCACCAGAGTAGCTAGATACAGAGTGTTGATTGGTGCATTCACAAACCCTGAGCTAGACACAGGGTGCTGATTGGTGCATTTACAATCCCTGAGCTAGACACAAAGGTTTTCCACTTCCCCACCAGATTAGCTAGATACAGAGTGTCCACACAAAGGTTCTCCAAGGCCCCACCAGAGTAGCTAGATACAGTGTTGATTGGTGCATTCACAAACCCTGAGCTAGACACAGGGTGCTGATTGGTGTGTTTACAAACCTTGAGCTAGATACAGAGTGCCGATTGGTGTATTTACAATCCCTGAGCTAGACATAAAGGTTCTCCACCTCCCCACCAGGCTCAGGAGCCCAGCTGGCTTCACCCAGTGGATCCCGCACCCACCGGGGCTGCAGATGGAGCTGCCTGCCAGTCCCGCGCCGTGCGCCTGCACTCCTCAGCCCTTGGGTGGTTGATGGGACTTGGCGCCATGGAGCAGGGGGCGGCGCTCGTCAGGCAGGCTCCGGCGGCACAGGAGCCCACGGAGCGGGTGGGAGGCTCAGGCATGGCGGGCTGCAGGTCCCGAGCCCTGCCCCGCGGGAAGGCAGCTAAGGCCCTACGAGAAATCGAGCGCAGCGCCGGTGGGCTGGCACTGCTGGGGGACCCAGTACACCCTCGGTAGCCGCTGGCCCGGGTGCTAAGCCCCTCATTGCCCGGGGCCGGCAGGGCCGGCCGGCTGCTCCAAGTGCGGGGCCCGCCAAGCCCACGCCCACCCGGAACTCCAGCTGGCTCGTAAGCGCCGCGCGCAGCCCCGGTTCCCGCTCGCGCCTCTCCATCCACACCTCCCTGCAAGCTGAGGGAGCGGGCTCCGGCCTTGGCCAGCCCAGAAAGGGGCTTCTACAGTGCAGCGGTGGGCTGAAGGGCTCCTCAAGTGCCGCCAAAGTGGAAGCCCAGGCAGAGGAGGCGCCGAGAGCGACCGACGGCTTTGAGGACTGCCAGCACGCTGTCACCTCTCAGTGATACCTAACTATAAGAGGAAATGGTTTTCAGTGAAGAGCCAGAATTATCTCACATATTAAGTGGGCTTTAACTACTGCCGATGTATTATCCCACTTTCTCCTCCAACAGCCCTGCAAAAAATGTTATCATGCAAATGGGGACTAAGTTTCAGAACTCAGATGAGCCAAATGGTTACTTGTCTTGAGAGATAAATATGCCCTTGGAACTGAAGACGGAAAAATTTTCAGAATCCTGGAAGCCCTGGGGAAGGAGTGTGAAGAATAAAACCAGGCAGGCCTTGCTTGAGAGTACATTTCTTTTTTTTTTTTTGAGATGGAGTCTCGCTTTGTCGCCCAGGCTGGAGTGCAGTGGCGCGATCTCGGCTCACTGCAAGCTCGAGAGTACATTTCTTGAAACAGGGCTACAATTCTTTCTGCCTGGTATCATTAAAAAGGAGGTGACAATTTGGCCTAAGAAAATTCACGGAATCCATTTTGAAAGAAAATTATGAGTGGAAAACACCTGAGTTGAAAAGTGGGGAAGTTTCTCAATCTGCTTACTCCAAGGAAATTCTTAAAGGAATTATAAACACTTAACCTAATAAGTTAATTTTTAATTGTAAAATAGACCATCTTCAATTTTTTGAAGAGCCCTCGTGTGGAGGAATGCGATCTCATGGAAACAGTGGCCTAAAGAAAGTTCTCCTATTGCTTTTTACTTCCCTTTGCTTGAAAAAAGATAAACAGCATAGAAACCTCCAAGAGGCTACCGAGTTCTCTTTGAACTTTTTTCTCTGCAGCTGCGCCTGGAACTGCTCCCTGCTGCACTTTACTACCTCTGTTTATAAGAGCAACAGTCCCTCTCCTGAAAATTGGACTGAATTCCAACAAGTCGGCAACTTGCATGAAGACAAGGTACAGTGCCTCTCAGTCATATTTTCAGGCCCCAGAAGTCCTATTTTTTTCTGTGATATTCATAATGTTGTACCTGAGCGAGTTAGAGAAAATGCCACACTTTGAGACGAATTAAGAGTCCGTTTATTTAGCCGGCGGCCAAGAGACGGCTAACGCTCAAAGTTCTCTCGGCCCCGAAGAAGGGGCTAGATTTTCTTTTATACTTTAGTTTAGAGAAGGGAAGGGGGGTCTAGTTAAAACAATTTTACAGAAATAAAGTAGGCAAAAAAGTTAAAAGGATAAACGGTTACAGGAAAGTAAACAGTTCCAGGTGCAGGGGCTTTAAGACTATTACAAGGTGATAGACGCGGGGCTTTGGGTGTTATCAATTGGACGAATTCCTGGGAATTACGGATATTGCTGGCCACAGTATCTCATCAGTTAACTGCATTCTTGGATGTGCTGGGAGTCAGCTTGCACAAATTAAGTCCTTGAGGAAGGGGCTGCCAGTGAAAGAGGCAAGATGGAGTCTGTCTGGCTCTCTTAGCCAAGGGAGAGTCAGTTCAGGTGGAAACAAGGCTAGGTGATTAAAGGAAAAGGGAGAGTCTAAAAACAGGGTTAGTAAAAACAAGGGTGGGCATTACATTAACATCATAGCTTTTCCTACTTTTTTTTTTTTTTTGAGACAGAGTCTCACTCTTGTCACGCAGGCTGGAGTGCAATGGCATGATCTTGGCTCACTGCAACCTCCCCGTCTCCCGGGTTCAAGCCATTCTTCTGCCTCAGCCTCAAGAGTAGCTGGGATTACAAGCGCCCACTACCACACCTAACTAATTTTTGTAGCTTTAGTAGAGCTAAAAACATGGGATTTCACTATGTTGGCCAGGCTGGTCTCAAACTCCTGAGCTCAGGTGATCCGCCTGCCTTGGCCTCCCAAAGTGCTGGTATTACAGGTGTGAGCCACAGTGCTTGGCCCCTACTTTTATACTGATTTTTATACAAGCATTTTCTAGGACATATGGAAAGTTACTTGTGTAGTTTTATTTCTACTAAGACCCTGCACTTACCTGATGTCAATAACCACATCTTCTCTTTGACCTGAAAACTTGCCTGGCATCAACCTCATGACTCATTTTTCACAAAAACTTCCAGTAAACTTTC
This sequence comes from Homo sapiens, assembly GCF_000001405.40. NCBI lineage: Eukaryota > Metazoa > Chordata > Mammalia > Primates > Hominidae > Homo > Homo sapiens. The sequence continues at coordinate 138,081,916 of NC_000008.11, read as the reverse complement.
ACTTACTGGCCATGTTGGTAACCCTTATCCATGTCCACAAGTAGCAGAGTTGAGGTTTGAGTCCAGGTATAAGTAACTCGAAGGCCTATTTTTTTCCTTCCATTTATACTATCCTACCTCTTTAAGTTTTGCCATTATATAAAATATTTTATTTTTTCATGGAGTCAATAAAATCTGATTTTGATCATTGGTTTAACCATAAGCTCCAGTCAGTGTTCTCAGTTGCAACTAGCAGAACTCCCTTCAGATGATTAAGCAGAAAGAAATTGTATTAAATGCAAGGATACCTCTAAACACTGACAGGGCTGCACAGCAGGCTCTGAGCTTCCTGGAATGACTTCCAAAGTCACAAGGCAGAATGAACTATCCAGGGAGTTTCTGCTTTTACCAAGGTCAGGAAACTGTGAATTAAAAAGCCCAACCCTATTAGCAAGATTCAGGATTATGCTGCTTTTGTTACAATCCTCGCAGGTCGAATGGGTGCCTTTTATACCCTACCACTCTCCCCAGGGGTAAATTCCAAACAAAACTTCCCGTAAGTGTTAATGTCTCTAACCAGCACCTCCGGGAAATGTAGTTTTTAGCTTTCTTTCCTTTGTAAACCAGGTGAGCCATGGGATGGGCATTAAGTGAGCCAATTCACTGAGCTTCTGTATTCAGATGAACAAATCTACTTTTGACAAATCTGTTGGCCTCTCTTCACCTTTGTCTTTTTGTGTAAAGATAGATGTTATTTCGGTACTGCCTGACTCTCAGGGATGTTTGTCAGAATGGGATGCTGAATGTTAATGCACTTTAGAAACAGAAACAAATATCTTCAAGATGTTGTAATTAATATAGACATTAGAGAATGTGTGAGCAAAACTTGGAGGTCATTTTCTACCTAAATGGACAATTGTATGTGGCCTTAAGAGTGTTAATAGGAAGGAGGCAGCCTAACATTTATCCAGTACATGCCATGTGCTAGAAACATTTACAGATGACTTTATAGTGTCCCTCATATTCATGAATCATAATGATGCTGGAGATTAGAAGCCAACTCTTTCCTCACGAAGATGATTTGGTTTTGTTGAATGCCATAGCAGGATGAGGTGATCACAAGACAGACATCATTGCTCTTCAAAAGAATGGAGTATTCTATTTATTAAAAGTATCTGGAATTCTATTGTGTGTGAGTCTGTGCAGGAACACAATGAGTCTCAAAGTGAAAAAAACTTTGGATTCCTGGTTCCTACAGCACTTTTGTTCAGATACTCTCTGTTATTTTGCTACGTGAAAAGGGAGCTTGAATTTCATGTGAAGTATAAAAACCAAGGAGAGGAATCCTGCTTGGGGCCATCAAGTATTATAGCATTGTGGTCATGAATGATTAAATAGATAGGAGAAGTATAATTCTCAATAAACACCAAATGAATTGTTTAGATGAAACTCAAAGTTTGCCAATTGAATTTTTTGAAAGGCACATAATTCTTTATTTGGTTTTATTTCTTCTCCATCCCAAAAGAATATTGAACGATGGAACTTGGGCAGCACAAATGCCTTGGATTCTTAGTCCTCAGTGTTACTTTGTTTTGTTTTAATTGGCTCTTTTAAAGGGACTGTGTGGTCAAGAGGCAAACACAGAGCAAACAGAGGGAGGGAGAAGGGGGCAGTCTGCACCGGCCTGGGTTTTGATCTCCCATCTATTACTTATTAGACTGAGATTTCTGGCAATTTTATTGAACTTTTGGATACACGGTTTCTTCATCTTTAAAATATGGATAATTATTGCAATTTCAGGAGCTTAGCGACTATTGCATTAAATCATAAATGTAGAGTATTTATCTTGACAAATAGTAAGTGCTAATAAATGGTCATCCTCGTACACTCATTTCTTTTCCTAAATCCAGAGTTTCTAAAATCCAAGAGTCCCTTAAATTCAGAATATCATCTCTAAAGAATATGGCTGATAGTAATACATTTAGTATCATATATATTTGTGATTAATGGGACAGAAATTACCCCCATTCATTGCCAGGGTGGGTGAAGGGCAATATCAGTTGAGGTGCCCAGTCATGACCAGAGGAGTAGGCACAATCTCTGGTCATGTTTAGCAAGAAAATCCCACACAAGTAACCCATTACCTAACCGATAATAGGAATGTAGAATTCTTTTGATGGGAGATCCATGAAGGGTGAGATTGTTCCCTTAAGGCAGAAAAAATCTGTACAGTCTCCTTGTAAGTGGGAGGGCCCATGTTACAAAAACAGAATTCCAGGGGCGAGAAAAAGGGTAAGCAAGAGAAGAAATTGAAGAATGAGTTCTAGAAGGAGATGTTTATTAGACAGATTACCAATTACCCAGACAGAGATTTGCACAAAAAACAAGAGACTGTAAAGACCCTAACTGGGGTTGAGGTAGAGTCTCTGCCATAGAGAGTTCACTTATTAAAGCTGGAGTACAAATTCAGGACGGGGTAGCCAAGGGGCCCTGAGACTGGGTCCTACAGGAACTAATGAGAGATCTTCTGGTATAAGTTGGGTGGAATGAGCAGGGTTTGGGTTACAAGCTGGCTACTTGGCCTGATGCAAGGAGCTTCTGTTACTTCAATAAAAATCTAAAAAGTCTACTCCAACCTCTTTTTGTAGAACATATAGCGTATACCTCATTGGCCTTAAAACTTATATTTGAATTCAAGATATCTAGTGTTGAGTTTTGATCCCTCTGTTTCTTAAGCTAGTCATTCAACTTGTGAAACACTGGTTCACCCTAACTACTCGGTTGTAAGCATCCAATGTGGTAGTAGGTATGAAGAAATAGAGCAGTGGTTATTTTTTGTCCTAATCTGGTACTACCTAATATGGTAGCAACATGTGTTTATGGAACCCTTAAAATATGTTGAAATTGAGATATTCTGTAAGTGTAAAACACACACTGAATTTCAGAGACATAGTGTGAAAAAATGTACTATCCTGCGAATAATGTTTATATTGATCACATGTTAAAAATCACATTTTAGACATATTAAGTTAAACATAATCCACCATAATATCTGTGGAAATGAAAAGGAAAAGTTAAATAGAATATATTGTTGAAATTAATTTTACTTGTTCATTTTTACTTTTAAAAATGTGTCTATCAGAAAGTTTAAAATTACGTATGTGGCTCACCTTACTCTCCTTTGGAGAGTGCTACTCTACACAGTCTTTCTCCTTCTTCTCTTTCTTCTCCTACACAGTTGTCTCCTTCAGGCAACAGCTCTAATTTTTATTTGTGGAGTGGCTCTAGTCCTAATGGTAGAATATATGAGTAAGCGCAGCACATTACACTGGCGATTGCTTCAGGAGTGAGCCTTGATTCAATCTCATCCATCAGACAGGATGTGATGACAATGGCAACATAGTCTAACCTGTACAACTTCTACTTGACAATGCAGAGTCTACCATGCTAGGGACTATGAGGCAGAGCCTGAGAATGAAGCCAATCAGAGGAAGCAGATCCAAAAGCTGCCTCAGATTAACACTCAAATGGTCTCTGCAGTCAAATTCATCACTTGGGTTTTCCAGTTCCATGAGCCAACACACCTTCTTGCTTATGTCACATCAGACTTCTTTTTTTCTACTTCCAATACAAAGAATTCTAATTATTTCCAAGGACCTTTCAATGGTAAGGAAGGTCCTGCATATACACGGCCTGCCTGTGCTGATCATTTCTTCTGGAAAAGATGAAGCTTAGGAATGTGTAGTGACTTGTCCAAAGCCACAAGGTAAAAAAAGCTCAGGTTCTGAACTAGCAAAGGATCCTCCTTACTCCCAGACAATGCAAATCCCACTGCCACTCTGGCATAAGAGTGAGAATAAGTGACGCACAACAGTCCAATATCTGATGTTCAAACACTGGGTCTGGCTCACACTCCCTTTGTCTCTCCTGCCCTGTCTAGCCTTGTAGTGGGTACACCAACCCTGATTCTAAGCCAGTTTTTCCTTGTCAGGAATCAAGGCTCAGGGTACATTAAACACTTTGGGCTATCAGCCAGGGAGTCTTGAAATATTCCTATTGCATTAAACTCCAAATCAATTGTATGCTGAATGAGCCCTGAGTACCTGCTTAACCATGGTGTGCGTCTTTCTCTTGAACCTTGAATCCTGGGCTAAGGGTAGAGGTTTTCCTTACCTTAGTCACTGGAATCACCATTTTGCACTCACTCTAGGAGGGGTGAGTGGGGCATGGGAAGAGGGGATGTTTTACTAAGTAGGCCCTCTACATGGAATCATAAGCTGGAACAAAGGTTTCCCCCCTAACAAGAAGGACCATAGAGAAAGATATAACCAAGCTGTACACGAGTTGATTTTCTTTTTTCATAACCTGCACATCTACTAGTCTAGCTGGTGCCTCAACACCAAGTTCACAATCATCTTAGCTTGTGGTGGCCTTTTCTAAATACTCCTCTAGAACAATTACTTTCTTCAATACTTTTCTGTACCTCTGAATTGTCTCAATCTCTGAATGAGGATATCATGGAGATGCCCAGAAAAGTCCAGACCTGACATTTGTGTGAGCCCACTTAGCACGTTAGACACGGGGAAACGTGTGTATTGGTAAGAAGCTCACCATCTCATCAACAGGAGGGAAAAGCCAGTTGAAGGACTAGATGCTGCTGGTACATTTCTGAAAAATAAAAACATGTGAAATATGAAAGAAGTTCTATGATTTTCTACTTTCTAAATTATAATGAAAAATCTTGCATAATGACCATCTTGGAGCCTGCTGAACCTGAGGTGGGAGCTCTGAATGCTGGAGAACATCTGTTTCCAAACACCAGCCTGCCTTTTCCTTCTCAACAGGTGTCTGAGAAAAGCCTGGAATGTGCTGCCCTCAGATCCATACGGGGAGAGTGGAGGAGGGGGCAGCCTTTGCATTTTCTTTCGTAGAACTTCTCTAGTATCTCACTGTGGCTATTACTTTTTCACACTTGGGGTGAATGTATGTGCAGCACAGAATGCTGTTGACCCTTTTCAAGATTAGCATGAATAAGTCCCTTGTTAGATAGATGAACTTTGTTTCTTTATTATTTATACATTATTATATGTTTTAGGTGTTGCATAGTAAAATTTTAATGGGTAAATAGAGAAAAAAGTAAATAATGTGTTCTCAGCTTTTTAAAAAAAGTTTTGGATGCTATCAGAGGAAAAAACAAAAGTTGTTTATTGTGAATACTATAGACTGAATTCATTGATGTTCATTCCAAACTCCCTGTATGTATTCTTGTCTCACAGGGGTCAGAAACTTAAGTTATTTGCTAGGTTTTCTCAACTGTACTTGCTACTAGGTTTCTAGATGTGATTTAGAGCATTCCAATTACGCATTTCTTTGAATTCAGAACTAGGATAAGGTGAAAGGCATCTATTTATTTGATGCTGATTGTGGCCTGATTGTGGAACTGGTGGTTTGCAGGTGGCTTCCCCGATTGGCAGGCAATGTTCTGATACTAAAGCCTCCTCATCCCCAAGGAGCAGCAGCACCTGGCGAGCTAGTTTTGCACTGAGCTTTGGGGCCCCTTCCTGGAAGCTCGCTTTAGTAGTCTGTTTCTTCAGCCATTCCAACAATTCAGTGATCTGCTTAGTACTCTAATAAGTCCCTTCAACTAGCAGGAGACAATTCCATTCTCTGAAAATTAACCTTAATTGAAATATTATTCAATGAATATGCTTAAAAATAGGAAAAAAAAAAAGAATTTAAAACAAAATGTAATATTCCAAGTAGGAGAAGACTGACATTATCAACATCACAGCTTCTGTCCAGACATCATCATCTTCTCAGTGCTGCCGAAACCCTCCCTTCACTTGGAGTGTGTGCAGTCACAAAACTCTGTTGACTCCTACTAAAATTTGTATAAATGAAGTCCTCAAACTTTCTAAAAAGTGTATTATGTCCCTGCTGTTTTTCCTCTAAGAGATTCTTGGGCTTCTGTTCATCTCTTGGAGCAAATGTCTCCTCATCCGCTTTAAATTAGGCCAGGCAGAAAGTGGAAAAAAGGCTGTCTGGACTATTTAGCAGATCAAGGAAATAAAGTTTATGTTTTGTCTTTAGAAAGGAAGGGAAAAGGCAAGGTGAGTATTATAAAGTCACGAGGAAGGCAGAGCGTGGTGGCTCACGCCTGTAATCCCAGCACTCTGGGAGGCTGAGGCGGGCAGATCACCTGAGATCAGGAGTTTGAGACCAGCCTGGCCAACATGGCAAAACCCGTCTTTACTAAAAATACAAAAAAATTAGCTGCTGTGGTGGCATGCGCTTGTAATTCCAGCTACTCAGGAGGCTGATGCAGGAGAATTGCTTGAACCTGGGAGGCAGAGGTTGCAGTGAGCTGAGATGGCGCCACTGCACTTCAGCCTGGGCGACAGAGTGAGACTCTGTCTCAAAAAATAAATAAATAAAGTCATGGGGGTGATGGGAGGCTCTCCATATGACTGTGGGACCTGTGGATGAGGCTCCACATGGTTCCCAAGTGGCATGGTGAAAGCTTCTCGAGGGAGAGGCTGTCAACCAGCCTTTCTTATAAGCAATTCATTGTGCTCAGATGCTTAGAAAGAAAACAGCTTTTAAAAGCAGACACCATGTTAAAAATCACATGGGTAGTCTATGGGCAAGAAACCACAACACAAAGAATGTTTGACTCCTTTCTTTAAAGACTCATGAGAGAAGCAGAGAGTCTGGATTCAAGTTCTAAGTTCTTTGTTCTATTTTTTAAAAAATACATATGCAGATCAAAATCCCGGGCATAGATAGAGACTTACTCCAAAGCCTATTGGTCATCATTCTGATAGCCCCTAGCACACAATTCTCTAATTCTGTATCTATGCAGCTCTCTCTCCCACTGAAGGGCTTCTTCAGGCAGGGGCTATGTCACAGTGGCAGAAGCATGCATTTCAAAACTGGGCCGAAGCAAATTAACATCCAGGCTTAGCCAGTTTTAAACACTACTTTGTCCACAGTTTTAAATTCTCACCATGGCTGCTTCATTAATAAAAATGGGTAAAATCATGTCTCATAACTCAATCCAGAATGAGATAACGTGTGCAAGACACTTAACAGAATGTCTGGTTCTTGGAGAGCAATCAAAACCACCAGCTAGTATGTGCTATTTTTATTTCCAGGACTGAGTCCTAGAGCATCCAGTAAATAATAATAAATAACAAATGCTAATCAAATTTAAGTGCATACATGAAGGAACTTTGAGTCAGAAGTGAGTTCAGTTCAGTGGCTTACCCTGTAGTAGTTAACGGACTTGGACAAACCTATCTCGCTGTACCACTGGAGTCCTTATTTATTAAAGTCATAATAACAGCTTATTTCTCACAGAGATACTATGATAGCAAATATGAATGTGTAGTTGAAAGTTCTTTGTAAATCTCTATAAGTGAAGGCTATAAATATCAGTTAAGAATTACTCTTTGTCTCTGCCAGCATTCTCACTTGCTGGTTTTCAAACCTAGAAGAACACCTTTCAACTGCCTTCTGAATATATATGCAGGAATTCAAGATAGAATATTCTAACATTTGGTTAAACCCCTAAAGGGGTAATTCTTAAAATAAGGGATCTTCTATAAAGACTTTTCCCTTTGATTACTAAATGTTTCTTACAAAGTCATTATTGTTTTGAAAAATGCATGCCATTTCTATAGCACAAATGTAGGACGTCAAATGGGAGCTTCATGGACCAGCTACTATGTGCAGTGGTAGAAATAGAACAGAGAAGTTGAGATTTTAAAAGCTTGAAAGGGGAAAAGAAGACAGTGTGTGAACTGTTCAATGCTGTGAGGAAAGCAATGTGTTCTCTCTCTTTTAGTCTTCGTGCTCACGCTCACATTTGATCTCTTTAATGTAGTCTCACAAAGACGTTTGCAGTTACACGTTAGAAATTAGCATCATTCTTTTTTGAGAAAGGAGAGAATGTGAGAGACTTCTCATGCTCTTTATAAAAATTTTTCAATACTTTCTCTGGGTGGTCCAAAAACCGTGTTTGAAATGTGTGAGCAAGTAGTATTCTTGGCATGGCTGGTATGAGATTTGCATTTCCTCCAAAGGCACCTTTTTGTACCAGGACCTAGACTTTCCCGACCTCTCCTTTCTCAGAAACTGAAGAAAGCAAGATTCTTTAAGGCCAGGATTCTGATAAGGAGCCCCATTCAGTCCAGGATGATATTTAATTCTCTTGTAGTCCCTATAATACATTTCTACATTTGTTAAAGATTTATTTTTTATTTCAATAGGTTTTTAGGGAGCAGGTGGTGTTTGGGTACATGAATATGTTCTTTAGTGGTGATTTCTGAGATAAAACCGCCTTCCATCCAGTCATTCAAAAGGCAGGATCTGGGTGGTAGAAAATTATTCATCTCAGGCTTAAAAATCATTTGAGACCCAACCCAGCCTAAGCTCCCTTCAGGCTCCAAAGGTTTTCTTGGCTATACCTGTACAAGGAAACTGGAAGGGTTATCTATTTTGATTATTCTCTGTCGTTGTAGGGAGAGGCAGGGCAATTTATCCAAGAACACACAAAGCCGGATTGTTTAATCAAATTAAAAGGGAGTAAGCACACTAGAGCTTGAGTCTCAATGAAAGCAACAGCAATGGTTTCTTATACTCCAAAAATATTTTGAAGCATACAAAATGGATTCATATAGTTTTTTCTTTTTTTATCGATTGTTCTATTTTTATTTTATAATTTCAGCTTTTATTTTAGATTCAGGGAGTACATGCACAGGTTTGCTACATGGGTATATTTCGTGATGCAGAGGTTTGAGATACAAATGATCCCATTACCCAGGTGGTGAGTGTAGTGCCCAACAATTAGTTTTTCAACCCTTGCCCCCCTCACTCCCTCCCCTCTCTAGTAGTCCCCAGGGTGTACTTTTGCCATCTTTATGTCCTTGAGTACTCAATGCTTAGCTCCCACTTATAAGTGAGAACATGCCTTTCTTGGTTTTCCGTTCCTTCGTTAATTCACTTAAGATAATGGCCTCCAGCTGCATCCATGTTGCTGCAAAAAAACATGATTTTATTCTTTTTTTATGGGTAGGTGGTATTGCATGGTGTATATGTGCTACATTTTCTTTATCCAATCCACCATTCATAGGCACCTAGGTTTGTTCTATGGCTTTGCTATTGTTAATAGTGCTGTGATGAACACACAAGTGCATGTGTCTTTTTGATAGAATGATTCATTTTATCTTGGATATGTACCCAGTAATGAGATTGCTAAGTTTAATGGTAGTTCTCTTTTCAATTCTTTGAGAAATCTCCAAACTGCTTTCCACAGTGGCTGAACTAATTTACATTCCTATCAACAGGATAAGCATTCCCATTTTTTCTGCAGCCTCACCAGTGTCTGTTGTTTTCTGACTTTTTAGTAATAGCCATTCTGAGTGGTGTGAGATGGTTTCTTATTGGGGTTTTGATTTGCATTTATTTGATGCTAGCAATGTTGAACCTTTTTTCATTTGTGTGTTGGCTGCTTATATGTCTTCTATTGAGAAGAGTCTGTCCATGTCTTTTGCTAATTTTTGAATGGGGTCATTTTTTGCATCTTCAATTATTTACATTCCTTATAGAATGTGGATATTAGACTTTTGTCAGATTTATAGTTTGCAAATATTTTCTGCCATTCTGTAGGTTGTTTATTTTGTGGATAGTTTCATTTGCTGTGCTCTTTAGTTTAATTAGGTTCCATTTCATATACATTTTCGAATAGGAGTTTCAGAACAGGTTGGTTTAGGAAATTTCCATTTTTTCATTAAATTTTTTATCAATGTGGACTCCTATGTAGTTTTAAGAAATAATGCAAAGATACCCTATCTACCCTTTATTCGGCTTCCGTCAATGGTAACATCTTGTAAAACTATAGTGCCATATCATAGCCATGATTCAGCTCCCTCCAGTGGTAACATCTTTTAAAACAAAAGTACACCGTCATAGCCATGACGCTGATACAGTCCATTAATCTTATTCAGATATCACCCATTTTACTTGTACTATTTATTTATAGGTCTATGTGTGTGCATGTGTGTGTGTAGTACCATAGAGTTGTGCCACCTGTGTAGGAGCATGTATTCACCACCACAGTAAAAATACAGAACTGCTCAGTTATCACAAGAATTCTTCGTTTTCCCTTGATGACCACACCTGTTTTCCTCTACCCACCTGTTCACTCATCCCTAAATCCTGGCCACCACTAATATTTTCATTTATGTAAAAAATTACATAAACAAAATCATTCAGTTTGGGATGTATTGATTTTTTTTCACTAAACGTAAATTCCTGAAGTTTTATCCAAGTTTTTGCATGTATCAATAGTTGTTTTTTTTTTTATAGAGAGAACTAGAATTTCAAGGTATGTATGTACCATGGTTTGTTTAATCATTCACCCGCTGAAGGACACGGGCTGTTTCTTGGTTTTGATTATTAATAATAAAGCAGCTATGAGCAATCATGTCTAGGTTTCTGTGTGAACATATGCTTTCGTTTTCTAGAAGAGCACAGTTGATTGAGTGGGATGGAAATTGTGTTTTGTTCTATAGAAAATTGCCAAGCTGTATTCTAGCCATTTTGCATTTTCATCAGCAAGGCATGAGTGATTCAGTTTCTCTGCATCCTTGCCAGCATTTGGTATTTTTACTTAAAACAATAATTTTAGCCATTCAGATAGGTCTGTAGTGATAGCTCATCATGATTTTAATTTGTATTTCTCTCGTAGCTAATGGTGTTGAAATTCTTTATATGCACTTATTTGCCCTCTGTTTATCCTCTCAGGAAAATGCCTGTTATTGTCCTTTGCCCATTTTCTAATTGGAATGTTTGTTTATTCATTTTATTTTATTTTTTTTTAAGTTTTGAGATCTCTTTTCCGCATTGTAGATACTAGTCTTTAGTTGGAAAAATGGTTTGCAAGTAATTACCCCCAGTTTTCAGGGGTTTTTTTTTACCCTCATTTTGATGAGGTGTAATTTATCAATTTTTCCTTTTGTGGGTCAAGCTTATAGTATCAAGTCTAAGAACTGTTTGCCTAGCCTAAGAACCTAAAAATTCTCTTCTATGATTTATTATATATTTATATGATATAATATTTATTATATTTTATATAGCATAATATTTACTATATTTCTATGTCTCACTTTGGAGAACATGATTGGTTTTAAGTTAGTGCTTGTGTGAGGTGAGAGGTTTAAGGTCAGGGTTCACTTTCTTGCTTGGATTGAATGGATGATCAACTGCCCCAGATCTATTGGTTAAACATTTCTTATTGACTTGCTTTTGCACCTTTGTAAAAAAACCTGTTGAGTTTATTTATTTGGGTCTATTTCTGGGTTCTCTATTCTGTTCCATTAGGCTATCCATCCATGCCTCTACCAACACTCCGCTGTCTCAATTACTGCATGTAAATAGTAAACCTTAGTATCAGATAAGTGATTACTCCTACATTCTTTGTCAGACTGTTCTAGCTATTTTAGGGCTCACTCCTTTCCACACAAGTTTTATATTAAGCTTTTTAGGTCTGTAATAAAATCTTGCTGAGGTTTTGATAAGAATTGCATTAAATTTATACATCAATTTTTAAATAATCTTTACTAGTTTAACACTTCCACTTCATGAATTTCTATTTACTCTCCTAATCTATATTTGATATATAGCTCCCTATTTACTTAGATCTTTTAAAAAAGTCTTTAATCAACAATTTGTAATTTTCAACATACATACTTTTTTGTTAAGTGTATACCTAAGTATTTTATTTTCTTTGGAGAAATTGTAAATGTTATTTTATCTTTTAACATAGAAACATCAGTCTCTATGTTTGTATTATTCATATATAGACATAAAATTGATTTTTATGCATTGATCTTGAATCCTGCAACCTTGTTGAACCCATCTGCAAATTGGAACATTTTTTTTTATTTTTGCCTTTTCAATCTGCCTTTTCTTATTTATTTCTCTTTTCTTATTTTGTTGACTGGAATTCCCAGTAATATATTGAATAAAAGTTATATATTTATTCATTTTACTGTTTTAAAGTTTTGAGATCTTTTTTCTACATTGTAGATACCGGTCACTTGGTGAAAAAGTGGCTTGCAAATATTTACCCCAATTTTCATTTTTTTACCTCATTTTGATGAGGTATAATTTATCAATTTTTCTTTTCATGGATGAAGATTGTAGTGAGTCGTAGAACTGTTTGCATCCCTCCGTCTCCTCCATCTTCTGTCCTTTCATGTCCTCTTCCTTTGTAACTTACTCCTCCTGCGCCCTTGTCTCATCTCGTGTACTTTTATTTTACCATCACCGCCCACATTCCCTCCAAAACTTCTCCCGTCTTCCTCCTCTGTTTCCCTTGTTCTCCCACCCTTTCTTGCTTCCCCGTTGTAGTTTTTAAAAATTTACATTTTAAAATAGCTAGAAGAGAATCACTTGAATGTTCCTAGCATAAAGAAAAGATAAATATTGAAGTTGATGGATATCCAAATTACCCAGATTTGATCTTTACACATTATATGAAGGTATCAAAATATCACATGTATCCTGAAAGTGTGTACGTCTATTATGCAGCAATGAAAATAGTGATAAAGAAATTTTAAAATATTTGCTTATTTATTGTAAATAAAAACTGTATCCATTTAAGGCGTACAAGCTGATGTTTTGTTATAGGTATACACAGCAAAACAATTACTACAGGCTGGCCCGGGTGCGGTGGCTCACGCCTGTAATCCCAGCACTTTGGGAGGCCGAGACGGGTGGATCACGAGGTCAGGAGATTGACAACATTCTGGCTAACAAGGTGAAACCCCCGTCTCTACTAAAAAATACAAAAAATTAGCCGGGCTTGGTGGCGGGCACCTGTAGACCCAGCTACTCGGGAGGCTGAGGCAGGAGAATGGCGTGAACACGGGAGGCGGAGCTTGCAGTGAGCCGAGATTGCACCACTGCCCTCCAGCCTGGGCGACAGACAAAAATAAATAAATAAATAAAGTAAAAAAAAAAAAAAAACAAAAAAAAACAATTACTACAGGCAAGTTAATTGACATATTCATCTCCTCACAAAGCTACCATGTTTGTGCATGTTTGGGTGTGTTGAGAGCTCCTGAAATCTACACTTTCAGGGCGTTTCCAATATACAATATAGCACAGTCCTGTGCTGCATCATATTTTGGGCAATGATGGGCTGTGTATATGACTCTGGTCCCATAAGATTGTCATGGAGCTAAAAATTCCCATCAGCTAGTGACATCATAGCCATCTTAAGTTGTAGCATGACACATTACTCATATGTTTGTGGTGATGCTGGTATAACCAAACCTGGTGCAGCAGGTTTGTTTTATAAAAGTATAAAAGTCTTATAAAAGTATAGCCCATACAAGTGTGTACAGTACGTAATACTTGATAATGACAATAAACAACTATGTTGCTAGTTTGTGTGTTTATTATACTTGTCATTATTTTAGAGTATACTCTTTCTACTTCTTAAAGAGAAAAAGGTAACTGTAAAACAGCCACAGATGGGTCCTTCAGGAAGTATCCAGAGGAGGACATTGTTATCTAACAGATGACAGCTCCATGCATGCTATTGCCCCTGAGGAACTTCCAATGGGACAAGATGTGAAGGCGGAGAACAGTGATGTGGATGGTTCTGAGACTGTGGGCCTAGGTTAGTGTGTGTTTGTGTCTTAGTTTTTAACAAAAGAGTTTAAAAAGTAAAAAAAAAAAACAAAAAAAAAAAACTTGAAGAAATGAAAACGAAAGAAAGCATACAGAATGAGGAAATCAACAAAATATTTTTGTACAGCTGTACAATGTTTGCGTTGTCAGCTAAATGCTGCTACAAAAGAGTAAAAAAATTTAAAACAAATTTATAAAGAAAAAAATTACAGTAAGCTAAGGTTAATTTAGTATGCAAAATGAAAACTGTTTGTTAATACATTGAGTGTAGCCTAAGTGTACCATGTTTCTGAAGTCTGCGGTGGTGCACAGTAATGTCCTAGGCCTGCACAATCACTCACCACTCACTCAGTGACTCACCCAGAGCAACTTCCAGTCCTGCAAGCTCCATTCATGGTTAACACCTTGTACAGGTACATCATTTTAAATCTTTTCTACCACATTTTTACTGTATGTTTTCTATGTTTAGAGACATAAATGCATACTATTTTGGTATAATTGCCTACAGTATTCATTCAGTATAGTGACATGCTGTATAGGTTTGTTGCTTAGATATATGGTAGGTTATACCATCCAGGTTTGTGTAAATTTACTCTATGTTTGCACAATGACAGAACTGTCTAAGGATGCATTTCTCAGAACATATCCCTGTCATTATGTAACATGTGACTATTATTAACTATAGTCATCATGCTCTACAACTGTATCTCTAGAACTTTCCATTATATGTAACTGCAACTTTGTGCCCTTCAATCAATATCTCTTCATTTCTCCCACCACCCTGGTAACCACCGTTCTACTTATAAGATATCACCTCACACCTGTTACAGTGGCTATTACCAAAAAAGTGAAAAATGACATGTGTTAGCGAGGAAGTGGAGAAAAGGGAACCCTTGTATATTGTTGGTGGGAATGTAAATCAATAGATTCATTATAGAAAATATTATGGAGATTCTCCCCAAAAAGTTAGAAATGGAACTACCATAGGATCCAGCAATCCCACTTCTGGGTATATAACCAAAGGAAATAAAATCAGTGCCTCAAAGAGGTATCTGTGCTTTCATGCTCGCATTATGCACAATCTTAGTGTCTGCAGTAGGTGAATAGATAAAGAAAAATGTGAGGTACACACACACCTAATGGAATATCATTTAGCCTTAAAAAGCTCTACTTTTGAGACAACTAAAATCCAAATATCTTCTTCTTCTTTTCTTTTTTTCTTCCTCCTTCCTCCTTTCTGCTTCCTTTCCTTTCCCTTCTGCTTCTGCTTCTCCAATCCTTCCACCCTCCAGCCTCTGATGCTGTCAAAGGCTTATTCTGACTATGCCCACAGTCTGAGAGAGGACAGAACGGTCAACGGTCAGCATGGACTTATTTCCAGATGACTTATCTCACAGTGAAAATACCCTGGTAATCTAAAGTATTTCTTAAGAAAGGAGGCTGCCAGGTGCGGTGGCTCATGCCTGTAATCTCAGCACTTTGGGAGGCTGAGGTGGGCAGATCACAAAATCAGGAGATCAAGATGATCCTGGCCAACATGGTGAAACCCCATCTCTACTAAAAATACTAAAATTAGCTGGGCATGGTGGTGCGCACCTGTAGTCCCAGCTACTCAGGAGGCTGAGGCAGGAGAATTGATTGAACCCGGGAGGCAGAGGTTGCAGTGAGCCAAGATTGCACCATTGTACTCCAGCCTGGGCAACAGAGCGAGACTCCATTTAAAAAAAAAAATATATATATATATATATATATATATATATATCAAGGAATATATATATATATATCAAGGAATATATATATATATATCAAGGAATATATATATATATATATATCAAGGAATATATATATATATCAAGGAATATATATATATCAAGGAATATATATCAAGGAATATATATATATCAAGGAATATATATATCAAGGAATATATATATATCAAGGAATATATATATCAAGGAATATATATATCAAGGACTATATATATATATCAAGGAATATATATATCAAGGAATATATATATCAAGGAATATATATATACACATACATATCAAGGAATATATATATATCAAGGAATATATATATATATCAAGGAATATATATATATGTGTGTGTGTATATATATATGTGTGTATATATATATATATCAAGGAAAAGAACATGGCAGGCATAGGTTAAAGCAGATACAAAAGTCCATGGGGGTAGACGAGTAGTTGGCATACATGAGTGAGAGAAAAGAAGAATAGCTGAGGTGGGGATGAGGGGCAGGTGGAAAGAAAGTGGGAGAGGTAGCCAAGAGCCATGTGATATTATTCCTTGAAGCCGATGGTAAGGATTTGTAATTTTCTTCCAAATACAAAAAGAAGCCAGTGGAAGATTTTGATCAGATAAGAAAGGTTACAGTCTGACTTACACTTTTAAAAGATCCACTCTAAGTCGCATAATAGAGAACCTCTAGAATTGGATCAAGACTAGAAGCAGGGGGACTATTTAGAAGTTATAATAATGCGAGTTAGAAATCATGGTGATTTGGACCAGTTTAGTTGGGGTGAGCAGAGATTGCGGATTTATTTAGAATGCCTGAAAAGGCAGAATCTGAGGATTATTTCTGTTTATATTTCAAAACAAGGTGAATCGAGGGTAAAACAAAGATTTTGGCCTCCACAACTGGAAAATGTTTCCAGTTAGGAAGAAGTCAACAAGAGGATCAAGAATCTGAGAAAAAAGAACCAAAAAGCACGTTTGCACATGTTAGGCTCGAGCTGTTTATTAAATATTCCATAGAGATATCAAGTTAGAAATAGATTCAAATGTAGGGAAGATATCATATATTTGAACTTATATGTAGTTTATTCAAAGCTCTAAGAAATTGTGCAGCCAAAAAACTTCTTTAACATTATTTAGCCCATAGTTTCCCAAAGCAATTTGACCTGGAGGCTTGTATTTCTTATGATGTATGTATATGTATTGCAAATCTAGTACCTCACAGAATATATTTTGAGATATGCTGACAGATAAATCATATAATGAAGACCTAATAATTATATGTCTTGAAAATTTACTGTTGAATTATTTAAAAAAAAGAAGAAAAGAAACTGCCCCAGTACATGCATAGAGTCCTGTAGAATCAGTGCTTATGCAATGTTTCTCCTCGTTGTATTCATGTTAAAATTAGTGAAAAGTCATTGTTGGAGAAAAAAATATGCTTAAATAGAATAGAGGCTGGATAACATTGAGTGTTTCTCCGCTACCTTATAAATATGTCAAAACTCTGAATGGCTGAAGCAATTTATTCTGAAAGTGGGAGTGGGGTAGCGAGGGAGCACTTGGCAGGCTGTTTTCAATCTCTCCTGCTGATGGGTAGGTTCATAAAGCATATGGGCATTGAGTTCAGCCGGATGTTTCAAATTATGAGCAGAAAGACATCAGTGTCTAATATGTTTTAGTGAGTTTGAAAACACTGCTTTTAATGCAACAGACTAGGATGTCATGGCACCAAAAGGAGTGGATTAAAATGAGAATAAAAGATATCAAAGCACTCCCAGCTGGGAAGGTTAAATATTGTTACCTATACAGTCATACATCACTTAACAATGAGAATATGCTCAGCAAAACGTGTCCTTAAGTGATTTTGTTGTAAGAACATTATAGTGTCAGTATACTTATGCAAACCTAGAGAGTATAACCTACTACACACCTAGGCTATATGATGTAGCCTACAGGCATCTACCGTGTCTGGAGCTGGCAGGACTTGGAATTGCTCTGGGTGTGAAGCAAGTGAATGCAAAGGCCTAGGACATGCTTGTACACTACTGTAGACTCTAGAAACACTGTACACTTAGGCCACACTAAATTTATAGTTTTGTTTCTTCCTTCAATAGTACATTAACCTTAGTTTATTGTAACTTCTTTATAAACTTATTCTCACGAAATCCAGGGTGGCTGCAGCAACAGAGGGAAGGAGAGTAAGGAGAGCCTGGAGCTACTGGCCCTGCTTATATGGGTAAGAGCATAGAGCATTCTCTACTCAGAGGGTCAGTGGCTGCAGAAGGGGCTGGGTTATGGAGGGGGAAGGCATGGAGGTTGAAGGACAGGCTGGGAGGAGAGATAATAGTGGCTTTGAGTAGATGATGATGACACAGATATGGAGAATGAATTTGACAACTTCTTGCCACCTTCACTCGGTTATCCTAGTCCCAGCCCCCATTGTCTCTCACCGGGATGGCTGAGTTTTCCTCTTAACTGGTCTCATTCCTCTGCTGTCCCTTACCCACACAGGATCTACTGGAATATTTCCCTTGAAAATTTTTACTAGCATAAAGCATGCATGCAGAGAAGTGTGCATACAATAAGCATACGGCTTGATAAACTTTTACAACTTGAGCACCCCCAGTAACCAGCTCCAGATGAAGAATCAGACCCTGTCCCACCATCCTCAGGCTTCCTCCTACTCCCCGCCAGACACAGCCCCTCTTAACATCAACCATTGCCTGACCTCTCACAGCACAGGAGAGTTTTGCCCACTTTTCTACTTTGTATAAATGGAATGCAGTGTGAGATCTTTAGTAGCTGGTTTTCCCCCCACTTCACGGTATTTGTGACATTCCTGCCCATTGACCTATGTGAAATCCTTTAGAAAACATTCATCCTACCATGTCACTCCCCTGCCCCAAACCCTACCCTGGCTTTTTATGACATTCAGATTAAAACTCTTACCTTTCTGCACAGACGCCCACCTGTTTTGGCTCCCACTCCACTCTGGTCTCACTCTGCTTCTTCTTGTACCCCCCTCCCTTGATGCTGTGTGTGGGACACGCCAAAATAGTCCCTACATCAAAAAGTTGTCATCTGAGATTGGCGGCACAATGCCCAGTTCAAAAATGTGACTTGTCCTAGGGCCGGGCGCGGTGGCTCACGCCTGTAATCCCAGCACTTTGGGAGGCCGAGGCAGGTGATCACCTGAGGTCGGGAGTTAGAAACCAGCCCGGCCAACATGGTGAAACCCCATCTCTACTAAAAAAAAAAATACAAAAATTAGCTAGCGTGGTGGCACGCACCTGTAGTCCCAGCTACTGGGGAGGCTGAGGCAGGAGAATCACTTGAATCCAGGAGACAGAGGTTGCAGTGAGCCGAGATCATGCCACTGCACTCCAGCTTGGGTGAAAGGATGAGACTCCATCTCAAAAATAAACAAACAAACAAAAAACCTGTGACTTGTCTTAGGTCACAGAACTCAGTAAATGTAGAGCCACTCTTCCACCCCTCTCTCCAGTGTCCAGCATTCTTTCATTCCCTGTGTAGTTTGAGATTCACCCTTCTGCAAAACATGCCACCCACTCCCCTTTGCTTGTCTCTCCATGAGATCTGGAGGCACAACCACCCTTTTCCCGACAGTTCCCCTTTCTCTCAGTCGCCCTTTCTCCCACAGCTGTACTTAGCCCACATCACTTCCTTCCCTGGAAAACCCACCCATGCAGACACCAACTGCCCCGCTCATTCAAAGGCTGCTGCCTTAAAAATCCTGTTCATTGGACAAGGTTCTGTTGAGTGAAAGTTGTTTCCTTTATAGGAATCAGAGAATTTGTAGTTAAGGAATTTGGATTTTAGCCTGTCTCTGGCACTTTTAATCTTTAATTTGAAATGCAAACTATTATTCAGCTAGTAGTAACCAGCATTCGTAACAGAGTGAATTTGGGAGCAAGGCCACCTAGATTCGAAGGTCGGCTTTCCCTACATGCTCACAGTGTTTTTATGAGGATTATGAGAGTAAATGCACAAAAGCATCTAGAAGGCCAGCCCAGAGCAGTGCTCAATGCATAATGCCTGTTATTATCATGATCTGCCACCTCCTCCATGAGGCCTTCTTCCGGCCATGCCCTCCGCCTTGACTGGAAGCACTTTCCTGGAAGCTTGTCAGGCAGATACGCTAGGATTTTCCTTAGATTTCAGTTAGTTTTGGATGTGTACATTTCTCCAACGAGGCATTTTCTTCTTAAAGTCAGAAAGGAAGTTTGTGGTTTTTGTATCCTCTGTGCTGAGAGATAGTATTTAATATGTTGAACTTTCTAGTATGGAAAAGAAATTAGAAAGGAAGTCCAAGGATATCCATGAGATGGAGCTGTGAGTCCACAATCATGAGGAACAGGATTTTTTTTTTTTTTTTTCAGGAAAGGAAGTGAAGCCCCCAGTAAACCAGCCCTGGAAAACGTTGCAGGTGAGACAGAATGTTTGGAGCTGGCTAAGACCTTGTGCAAGCCTCCATCCAGCCCATCTCCTTGGAGTTGGGGCAACTGATCATTGCAATTTACACAGATCATATACAAACCATTTTTCATACAACAAGCTTTTTTTTTTTATTATCAAGCTTTCATTTCATATGTTAGGGAAAAATTTATAAAGAGCTGGGGAAAGGCGAGAAACATTTTTAAAAAATTGACCCCTGATTGTATGACATTCTGTGCATTTATCTAATATTATTTGATGATTTAATGAATGAATACATCCTTCTAATTGACCACTTTGCAAAGCATGCACTATTATCCCTGTATTGTAATGAGCAAACTCAGGGTCCAAGAGGCCAAGTTCCGGGCTATGACTCTCTTAATGTTCCCATGTCTAGATTGCAATGTTGCTTCTTCCAAATTTCAAGCCTTTGTTCTTTATAACATCCATATAATATCAACTGAATTTCAGTACCCTACTTTTCCAAGATATTATGTTGTGATTGTGTATGGGTTTGCTACTCATGTATGGTTATAGTTGTCCCCTCCCTACAAAAGGACCCTGTTCTTATGGGGAGTGGACAATGGGATGACACAGCATGGATTGCCCACCCATGAATGTGTCTAAAATGTTTGCAAGCCAACATCACATACAGTGTTTATTACATAGACTGTTGTGTTGAAATTACTAGCTTATGTTCTAAATATTTTCCAGGCTATAAAAGTTGGTCTACCTCTTTAATGGATTTGGCAGTTTTACTGCGGGTTGATACAATACAGGCAGCAGTGGTCAAGGGCTCAGGGGATTGTATTGTGACATTTGTTCCCCAGTTTGCTAGATGGCCCCAAGCAAATCTCCTAACTTCTCGAAGTTTCAATTCATTGACTTCTAAAATAAGTTAAACTAGTGCGAAGGACTTTTTTTTTTAATACTTTTCTTATTTTTTAAAAAACACAATTTTTGAATACATCACCCCAAAAAGATCAGTCCAAGAGTTTTATATTCCACTTATTACAGGTCAACTATAGTGTTCACATAGCTCTCATTCACTGAAGCATTTCTCTATGGCTACTGGCACTAAACTAGGTAGTAGAGACAGAGAGGTAAGGGGACTCCCTGTTCCATGATATTATACTTAATCAGATCCCCCCACACCCCCCACATTCAGCCTTTTGTCTGGAGATGAGCATCTTGACACACTATAGTGGTTCTTGGCCCAAGCTTGGTGATCAGGGGCTGAACAGAGGGCTTATCCCTGGCCTAACAGCCAAGGAGCTACACACTGAATCAGGCTGCCCTAACCTCCCTGCACCGACAAGAGCTCTGTTGGCTCTTTTCATTACTCTCTTGTTTTCTATTTACTGCTGTAACAAATTACCACGAACTTAATAGTTTAAAATGAAACAAGTATATTACCTAATAGTTCTTTAGGTATCTCCCACTCTGATATAAATCTCACTGGGCTAAAATCCCGGTGTCAGCAGGACTATATGCCTTTCTGGAGGCTTTCAGGGAAAATACATTGTTTTGCTTTTCCAGCTTCTGGAAGCCACCTACATTCCCTGGTTCATGACCTTTTCTCCATCTTTAAAGTCAGCAGCATTGCATTTCTCTGACCATTATCCTTAGTTACATCTTCCTCTGACCACATCCAGGAAAGGGTCTTAGCTTTTAAAGATTCATGTGATTGGATTATGCCGACCTGAAGAATCCAGTATATTCTCTCCATCTCAAATCTCTTAACGTTAATCACATGTACAAAACCCTTTTTGCCTTGTAAGGTAATATTATCCACAGATTCTAGGGATTAGGACATAGAAAGCTTTAGGGGTAATAATTCTACCTCCCATATCATCTCAGGGTAGGAATTGTCAGGTCATGAAAAATTCATGTTCAGTTATTTCTTTTTGCTTATTTATAAAACAAAGAGACATGTTTCTCCTGAAACAATATAGAAATATGTGTATCAAACAAATGAACTCACTAAAGAATTAGAGCGATATTCATTTTTCCTTAATTCAGATATGCAGATATTTTATGAGAAAGGGCACTATGAACTTACTCTGCTTAAGAATAGTGATCTTGATTTAATAATATCCTTTTTTCCCATAAAAAGGAGAAAAGAAAAATCATGTGGCAGGAGCCAGGGGCTTTGGGCACATTTGAAGAAAAGTTACCACAAAGGTTAGATAAGTTCTCAGATAACTTCTGATTTTCAAACAGTATCTCTGTGTTCCTAGGTCCTCAGGCAAACTGTAAATAGGTAATAATAGTGGAGGTCCTAGTTAAATATAAGATACTAACTGGTGAGATTTGGTCCTAGTTAAATATAAGGTTCTAGCTGGTGAGATTTGGTCCCAGTTAAATATAAGGTTCTAGCTGGTGAGATTTGGTCCTAGTTAAATATAAGGTTCTAGCTGGTGAGATTTGGTCCTAGTTAAATATAAGGTTCTAGCTGGTGAGATTTGCTCCTAGTTAAATATAAGGTTCTAGCTGGTGAGATTTGGTTCTAGTTAAATATAAGGTTCTAGCTGGTGAGATTTGGTCTTAGTTAAATATAAGGTTCTAACTGGTGAGATTTGGTCCTAGTTAAATATAAGGTTCTAGCTGGTGAGATTTGGTTCTAGTTAAATATAAGGTTCTAACTGGTGAGATTTGGTCCTAGTTAAATATAAGGTTCTAACTGGTGAGATTTGGACCGTCCTTAGGATGCACAGGCTGTCACACATTTTTCTAGGTAGGTATTTAAGTAGGATGTTTGAGTTCTCTATTAAAGAGAGGAAAAGTGAGAAAGAGTAAGAGTGAGAGAGAACAAAAAGCTTATATACCCTTCCTACCTTAATTCAACAAATAGTTATTGAGTATCTGCATGAAGCAGACAGTGTGTTAGGAGCTAGAAATAGAGAAAATAACACATATGGTTTCTATTCTTAGGAACTTGCAGTCTAGCGTAGAAGAAAGAGAATTGAAGGAGTAATAATACACTGCAAAAAAAGAAACTCAATTAGGTTTTTGATAAGGGGAGTGCAGAGAATCATGTGACTCATGGTTATCAGAAAGTCCTGGGTGGAAGGTGGCAAACTTTTCTTTTTCCCTGAGTAGGTAGCATGGTGCAGCAGGACAGGCACTGGAGGACATGGTGTGGTGAGTTCTGCTTCAGATTGCCTCACTCATCAGCTCCATAGGTTAATCGTACTCAATAACTTTAGTGTGGGCTGGGAGTGGTGGCTCGCACTTGTAATCCCAGCACTTTGGGAGTCCAAGGTTGACAGATCACCTGAGGTCAGGAGTTCGAGACCAGCCTGCCCAACGTGGTAAAACCCTGTCTCTACTAAAAATACAAAAATTAGCTGGGCGTGGTGTCTCATGCCTGTAATCCCAGCTACTCTGGAGCCTGAGATAGGAGAATCACTTGAATCCGGGAGGCAGAGGTTGCAGTGAGCCGAGATCACGCCACTGCACTCCAGCCTGGGTGACAGAGCAAGACTGTGTCTCAAAACAAAACAAAACAAAAACAAAAAAAACCCCTTTAGTTTGAATTGACTTTAGCGTCATCCTCTCTCCCTTCTGGAGCTGTTTGTGAGATGGTTAGAAAGTTGACTTTGATGTCTTCTTCTAGTCCTAAATGTGGGGGTTTTTAGGCTCTGAGATGTGGCAGAGTGGCTTGGCAAGTGTATCTCTCCCTGGAGGCACAGACATCCTTTCAGCCAGAGATAGCAAGCCCCAGCTCAGCGTCTACCTGCTGGAAGTGATGAAGTCAGTGCCCGCAGAAAACATGGTTCATTTTCTGTTCTGTACCTCATAGACTCATACCATAATTCATTCTGAGTTTTATGGCTAAAGCAAAAAAAAAAAAAATAAATAAAGAGTACCTGTGTTTCCTTCTTCTTACTCACCACCCTTAACCTATAAATGGAGCTTCTTATGCAATGGTCCAAACATAAGTTTTCAGGAAAATGGATATCAGAAAAATAGCCTTGGAGAAATGAGGGACTCTTAAGAGAATCATTGAAAATATGTTAAGTCTAGAAAAAATATCACTATTTCAATGAAAACCTATAAAAGGAACATAAAGCAGAACATAAGCGTTCAACAACATTCAACAACAAAAATGTATGGAGAATATGTAACAGAAATTGTTCCAAAAATTGGGGTTCTAGAAGTGGGTGAGACGTGGACTGCCCCTCATTAGAGAAGTAAGCAGACATATTAAAAAGGCAGCCCTGCAAACACTGTGATATGTGCAATATTATGGGAATGTGAAAATGCCATTTGAATCAAAAAGTCAGTGATTGCTTTGCTGAAGTGGTGAGGAGAGGTTTTGCTGATATTTAAAATGAGTTTTGAAGTACAAGCAGGAGGATTTTATGTGGAATAAGAGAGGTCAGTCTAGGCACACCGACCAGCACATGAAGATCAGAGAAACAGGAGAAAATGAGGCAGGTTGGGTTCTGGACAATGGTGAGGTCTGTTCCCCTGCATTGCTGACTTGGGTGCTGACTTTTGATACTGCATGAGATACTTGGTGGTACAAATAAGTGCAGGATATTCTCCTCAAAAGGCCTGAAATCTAGCTGGAGAGATAGGACTTGAGAGATGAGCCCATTTACTGATACAGAAAGGAGAGTGAGGGATTTTAAAGGTAGAAGGGCTGAAGTAATCAGAGATACATTTTCTCATTCCTTTACTCAAAAAACATTTTGTGTGGTACCATTAGTTTGCTATCCCTGTTCTAGGAGCTAGGGATACACAAGCAAATGGGAGAGACAAAGTCCCTGCTCTGAGGGAGCTTACATTTAATGTGGGAAAGAAAGATATTAAATAAGCTAAAATAAATAAAAAGGAAAAACGATATAAAATAATGAATGGTGTGCAGAGAATTACAATAAGGTGATGAGATAGGAAGTGATTGGCGGCGGTTTTGAATAAGTGATCAGGGAGGCTTCATGGAGAAGATAACTTTCCAGCTTAGTTCTGATTATAAAGTAGGAGCTGGGTGCACACACAGATTGGGGAAGAAGCATTCCTGGAAGGGGGCATGGCTAGCGCCAATAAATGACACATGCTGAGAAAGAATGTTAGCGCCCTAGCTTTCACAATAAAGGCAGTGGAGTGGAGGCATAGCAGAGGGCGAGTGGTTTGGGATGAGGTTTAAGGTATATACTAGCAGGAGGCATCTCAGTTCGGGCTGTGTGGTTCTGACTACAGTAGAAGGTCCCTGAAGGGTTTTCAGCAAAGGGATTGTATAAAAGCATGTCTGTGTTAAAATTGCTCTAGCTGCTGCATAGAGATTGGATGTTCAACAAGGGGAGGTGGAAACAAGGACATCAGTGAAGAGGCTGTCATGGCAGTCAGGAAAAGAGAATGATGACTTGGACTAGACTGTGCAAGTGACAACAAAGAGAAATCAATACATATTGGGATGAGCTTGGACAAGGAATGATTGTGATGGCTTGTGGGTAGAAATGATTTGAAGAAGATGAACAAAAACAAAGAATCAAGAATAACCCTGGAGCAGTTATCCAGATAGGTAGGGTAGATGGAATAATTTACCCATATGGGGAAGACTGCAGATGGAGCATGTCTTCCAGAAGAAAACATGAGTTTCATTTTATCTATATTTTTTTCTGAGAGGTATATTGGACATTTATTAGGACTTTTATGTAAAAGTTGATAATTCTAGATGGAGTTTAGAAATGTAGATCTAAAACTGGGTGTGTGTATCACTTAGAAATTGTCATGGGCTGATAGCAACAGAGATGAAAATAACAATCATTTAAACAAAAGGGAAGTTTACTGTTATCTCACATTAATACCCAAAGGTAGGGAGTCTTGAGCTGACTTAGGGGTTCAGTATTACCAAGGACTAAAGCTCATTTTATCTTTCTTCTCTATAAATCATATTAAGTGGTTTCGTCACTGAAGCTGGCTTCGTGGTCAAAGATGATTTCTGGAGCTCTAGCCCTCTTACCTGTGTTTCAGGTAGGAGTTACGCCCAGGAAGAAGTGTAAGAAATGATAAAAGGCTTCCCTAGAGACTCAATCCAACAACTTCTACTTTTTATTATTTTATGTCCTATAGGTTGTGCCTATCTGTAAGGGATGCTGTGAAACAGAAAAATCTGGATATATTGCCATCCTTAATAAAATCAGGATTCTGATATAAATAAAAGAGGGATTGGCTACTGAGTAGATAATCAGCAGTTTCTACCACACTGACTCTCACAAATAGATAACCCCTAAACCCAAGGGAGTGAATGAAGTAATCTCAAGAGAGTTAGTAATAAAAGGGGCTGGGGGACTGGACTGAACTCTGTGCCCACCGCCTTGTAGAAGCTGAAAGGAGGAGGCTACACTGCCAGTGGAGACTGAGAACCTTCAGCGAATGAAGTAAAGGAAAAAAGCAAGAGTGTCTATCATCAAGAAAAATGTTTCAAATAGGAAGAAATGGTCAGTCTTTCAAATGCTGCTTAAGGGTCAAGTAACATAACCATATAGGGATGGTCATCACTGGTAATTGTTGACCAGACCATCATTCTCCAAGTGTAGATACAGAGAAACAGAATCAAAGGATAGTAAATGTGAGAGTGACCAGATTGTTTGCAGACCAGATTGTTTGGAGAGCAGATTGTTTGCACATTGGGGGTTGAAAATGTTAAGATGGGGACAGACAGATCATGAAGGGTCTTGGGCAGGATGCTGAGACCAAACTTTTCCCAGAAGTCATCATCTCTTTTTTTTTTTTTCTAATTATACTTTAAGTTTTAGGGTACATGTGTACAATGTGCAGGTTTGTTACATATGTATACATGTGCCATGTTGGTGTGCTGCACCCATTAACTCGTTATTTAACATTAGGTATATCTCCTAATGCTATCCCTCCCCCCTCCCCCCACCCCACAACAGGCCCCAGTGTGTGATGTTCCCCTTCCTGTGTCCATGTGTTCTCACTGTTCAGTTCCCACCTATGAGTGAGAACATGCGGTGTTTGGTTTTTAGTCCTTGCGATAGTTTGCTGAGAATAATGGTTTCCAGCTTCATCCATGTCCCTACAAAGGACATGAACTCATCATTTTTATGGCTGCATAGTATTCCATGGTGTATATGTGCCACATTTTCTTAATCCAGTCTATCACTGTTGGACATTTGGGTTGGTTCCAAGTCTTTGCTATTGTGAATAGTGCTGCGATAAACATGTGTGCATGTGTCTTTATAGCAGCATGTTTTATAATCCTTTGGGTATAAACCCAGTAATGGGATGGTTGGGTCAAATGGTATTTCTAGTTCTAGATCCCTGAGGAATCGCCACACTGACTTACACAATGGTTGAACGAGTTTACCGTCCCACCAACAGTGTAAAAGTGTTCCTATTTCTCCACATCCTCTCCAGCACCTGTTGTTTCCTGATATTTTAATGATCGCCATTCTAACTGGTGTGAGATGGTATCTCTTTGTGGTTTTGATTTGCATTTCTCTGATGGTCAGTGATGATGAGCATTTTTTCATGTGTCTTGGCTGCATAAATGTCTTCTTTTGAGAAGTGTCTGTTCATATCCTTCGCCCACTTTTTGATGGGATTGTTTGATTTTTTCTTGTAAATTTGTTTGAGTTCATTGTAGATTCTGGGTATTAGCCCTTTGTCAGATGAGTAGATTGCAAAAATTTTCTCCCATTCTGTAGGTTGCCTGTTCACTCTGATGGTAGTTTCTTTTGCTGTGCAGAAGCTCTTTAGTTTAATTAGATCCCATTTGTCAATTTTGGCTTTTGTTGCCATTGCTTTTGGTGTTTTAGACATGAAGTCCTTGCCCATGCCTATGCATATAAACAGAACCAATGACAAAAACCACATGATTATCTCAATAGATGCAGAAAAGGCCTTTGACAAAATTCAACAATGCTTCATGTTAAAACTCTCAATAAATTAGGTATTGATGGGATGTATCTCAAAATAATAAGAGCTATCTATGACAGACCCACAGCCAATATCATACTGAATGGGCAAAAACTGGAAACATTCCCTTTGAAAACTGGCACAAGACAGGGATGCCCTCTCTCACCACTCCTATTCAACATAGTGTTGGAAGTTCTGGCCAGGGCAATCAGGCAGGAGAAGGAAATAAAGGGTATTCAATTAGGAAAAGAGGAAGTCAAATTGTCCCTGTTTGCAGATGACATGATTGTATATCTAGAAAACCCCATCATCTCAGCCCAAAATCTCCTTAAGCTGGTAGGCAACTTCAGCAGAATCTCAGGATACAAAATCAATGTACAAAAATCACAAGCATTCTTATACGCCAACAACAGACAAACAGAGAGCCAAATCATTGCTTCAAAGAGAATAAAATACCTAGGAATCCAACTTACAAGAGACGTGAAGGACCTCTTCAAGGAGAACTACAAACCACTGCTCAAGGAAATAAAATAGGATACAAACAAATGGAAGAACACTTCATGTTCATGGGTAGAAATAATCAATATCGTGAAAATGGCCATACTGCCCAAGGTAATTTATAGATTCAATGCCATCCCCATCAAGCTACCAATGACTTTCTTCACAGAGTTGGAAAAAACTACTTTCAAGTTCATATGGAACAAAAAAGAGCTCGCATCACCAAGTCAATCCTAAGCCAAAATAACAAAGTGGGAGGCATCATGCTACCTGACTTCAAACTATACTACAAGGCTACAGTAACCAAAACAGCATGGTACTGGTACCAAAAGAGAAATATAGACCAATGGAACAGAACAGAGCCCTCAGAAATGATGCTGCGTATCTACAACTATCTGATCTTTGACAAACCGGAAAAAACAAGCAATGGGGAAAGCATTTATTAAATAATAATATTTAATATTTAATAAATATTTAATAAATGGTGCTGGGAAAACTGGCTAGCCATATGTAGAAAGCTGAAACTGGATCCCTTCCTTACACCTTATACAAAAATTAATTCAAGATGGATTAAAGACTTAAATGTTAGACCTAAAACCATAACAACCCTATAAGAAAACCTAGGCATTACCGTTCAGGACATAGGCATCATCTTTTATAGAGACTAGTACCGTTGTGCTGGAGCTCATGTTTAAGCTCATGTGCTGTAGTGAAGCCAGTGAGAATGGAAGGGGCATTGTTTACCTTGATGAGACTGCATGAACAGTTTCCTCATGGACCTCAGTGGCTGTTTAGATACAGCTGCCATCAAAAGGAAGGAGTCAAAGATTACTATAAAGTTTCAAATATAAATGATAGGAGGCTGGGCGCAGTGGGTCATGCTTGTATTCCCAGAACTTTGGGAGGCCAAAGTGGACATATCACCTGAGGTCAGGAGTTCGAGACCAGCTTGGCCAACGTGATGGAACCCTGTCTCTACTAAAAAAAAAAATTACAAATTTAGCCAGGCATGGTGGTGGGCACCTGTAATCCAAGCTACTCGGGAGGCTGAGGCAGGAGAATTGCTTGAACCTGGGAGGTGGAGGCTGCAGTAAGCTGAGATCATGCCACAGCCACTGCACTCCAGCCTGGGCAATAGAGCAGGACTCCCATCTCAAAAAAAAAAAAAAAAGAAGAAACTCTAAATGATGGGGAAGAGGCCCTTTCATGAGTATAAACTGATAATTCACTTAGGAAACAAGCTTAGTGGAGAAAGCAAATAAAGCCAAGTTTGATAAATTTGAAATATCAAATAAAACACAAAACACTAGTTAATTTATAAGGTATAAAATTGAGGTATGAAATTAAGATGATAAAATGGGATGGGTTCAAGGAGAGAACAAGGTGGAGTGCTTTTGGTAATTATTTACAGGAAATTAAACTATTCATAGCTAATTATTCATTAATAAATGTTTACTGGATATCTACCACATCCCAGGCATTAGGAAAAGCGATGAAGATACAAGTTGAATACAATATAGTCTCTAGCCTCCAGGAGCTTATTGTCTAGACTTTGGGAAATAAACGTATAATGCAATGAATGCATTGACAGTTGACACCATGAGAGGGAAACGTATTCAAGGGAAGGCATGGGGATTCGGAGGAATTCCACCTCAGCTTTACTATAGTTTTTCTCTGCTGGAAAAACTTACACATAGATAAAGAAATAACCATGTCACATTATGGGAAATAGAAGCTGTTAATACGTCTAGGACCTACTTTATTGCTCATTTATGGGTTTTAAATATAAGGAAAAGAAATGAAGCATTTTATAAGCACCTATATGCATCTATAAATTTCTTGTTCATGATTTCATGTAGCATTTGCAGCAATGGTGTCATCATCATTTTCCCATATATAGAAACTGGGTCTCCAGGAAAACAAATCTCACTCTCCAGGTCACACCACAAGTAAGTGGTAGAGCTGAGATTCCAATCCAGGTCTGTCTTATCTCACAATTGGTGTTCTTTCATTTGTCTCATGTTAATGGTAGAACAAACTTTCTCACTCTCTGCACTGTTGACATTTGACACTGTAGAATTATTTGTTACGCATTCTTGGCTTCTACCCATGTCCTACTAGATACCAGTAGCACCCTCTCCAATGGAAACATCTCCACATATTCCCAAATGTCCCTAGAGGGGCAAAATGGCTTCTGGATAAGAACTGAGGACCAATGTTCTAGAGAAGGCTCCAATCTGTCTCTTTCTCTCTGCAAAAACACACCCCCCAACTCCCCGCCACACACACAAGTTTCCTACAGAACAAAATATTTCAATCTGATTGTTCCCCAGACATTCCTTATCTTCTCTTCTAAACTTTCTTCTCTTGTATAATAGATTCTGTACAACAACACTATTATCCATCCCTCACCCAAAACAGAGACTTGGGAATCATCCTGGACTCATCCTTCTGCTTTTCTCTCTGCAGTAGATCAGCCTTTTGCTTCTGAAACATCTCTTGGACTTACCCTCTTCTCTCGAGTTCTATCACCACCACCCCAATCCAGGCCTTCTTCTGATACACCAAAGAGAGAATATATACTGCACACCCAGCACACGTCTCACCCTGTAATCATCAAAGCTGATAGCCCTTTGAGCACTCATTTCCTTTCAAGTCAAAAGACCTCCATAGGCTGCCCTATTATTTTCATTATTTCCTCCATTGCATTCTATCCCTCTTTGTTTTTCTATTTCAATACTTCCTAAGCACAGTCCAAGGGACATATGCCCATCTGTGACAGAGTTCTTATTGTTCCACAGTGAGATGGGAAAGACAAGGGCAAAAACAGATAACTGTCCTCTTGAAAATTATTTTCTCCTCTACTAATAGTGTGTAATTTTCATCTTTTCCTTTTTTGTGCATTTTGGAAGGCTGAACAATTATATGTCCTTCAAAGAAATCCTTTTGTTTATTGATGATACTTTGCTGTTCTTTAAATGTCCTAACATGGTAAATGAGAGAAAAAAGAAATAAAAACAATCATATGTTGCTACTGCTTGAAAATTTGTCAGCCCATGAAATTGCATGTTTAGTGATTACCATTTCTTTACTCTTTATTAGGTTCCCTTAGAAGCATGTCCTAAGACACAGGTTTGCAGGTCAGTGGTGTATTTGGAAGGTGAGCCATGAAGTACTTTTGTAAGAGTGGTGGAGGGAGGAAAATGCAGGAAGGCAACCCATGGTGCATAATGGGACCAGAGACCACCACAAGAGGTGGGGCCCAATCCCATAGGCAAACCCTCAAAACTAATGGGGGCCTACACCGCAATCCCTGTCAGTGACTGGAAGGGGCTATTTCGTCTTCTGTATCTCATTTCGTGTAGCCATCCCCAGTGAGTCCTCCCAACTGGCCCCACCCAAGCTCTGATTTAATTGCTCATCCTTGTACCTCCAAATGTTAAAGCTCTTTGAGGACAGAGACATCTTCTTCATTTTCTTTATCAATGTCTACCCTAGAGCCTTGTACATGGGAAATCATCATCGAATGTTAACTGAGTGAATTCCTGTGTATAGTGACATAGGAGGAAAAGGGAAGAACTAGTTAGTTTTTAGTGCTCATTTAATGGAAAACATGATGGCATATTTGTTATTCTTTGTGAGAAGTCTTGAGGGTGAGTTCGTGCTCTGGTGTGGCAACTTGTCCCAGACAAATGAATCAGTTAGAGTTGATTTGAGTCAGTGTATGTCACTTTCACTCTGAATAAAAGGTGCCAAGATGACTTTCTAACATCCTGTTTCCGCAAAACCGCCTGGAGTTAGTGTGTGTTAGTACCCATCATGAATCAAGCAGTGTCTGAGATTTGGAAAGGAAATAGTCTAGAACTTCACTGTCCAGTGTGGTAGCCTACAGATGCGTGTGGCTCTTTATGTTTACACTTAACTAAAATAAATAAAATAAAAATTTCAGTTCTGAAGTCTCATCAGCTGCATTTTAAGAACACAGTAGCCACAAAGAGTTAGTGGTTACTGTGTTGGTCAGTGCAGATATAGAACATTTCTGTCACTACAGGAAGTTCTATCAGACAAAGCTGGTGTAGAGGACTGGGCATAAGGAGTGTCTGTGTGTGTGTGTGTGCGCCTGTGTATGTGTGTGTGCACAAGTGTGCCTCTTTGGCTTCCTAAGAAGTGGGAATCAGAACAGAAAAAAAGGAGAATGTTCTATTCGTTTCAGCTGTGTTTTATTTATCCTTCAGCCATCAGTTTCCTGAGGAAGCCTTTCCTGACCCTACACTAGGGTCAGGGATGACCCTTATTATAATTTCTGTAACACAAAGTTCCTCTTCTAAGAAAGATGGTATTTCTCTTACAATTGTGTGTGTGTGTGTGTGTGTGTGTGTGTGTGTGCAGCTGTAATAATGTAACTATTGTCTATCTCTTCCAGTTAGTTGTACACTCAATGAGGTCACAGGTTGGGTCTGATTTTTCTTAATATTTTGCATTGCTTGGCCTAAACTGAATATTTGTTAAATAACCTAATGGTATGTTGAGCGTTTACAATCACAAAACATTGTGGTATATACCCAGTAATGGGATGGCTGGGTCAAATGGTATTTCTAGATCTAGATCCCTGAGGAATCGCCACACTGACTTCCACAATGGTTGAACTAGTTTACAGTCCCACCAACTGTGTAAAAGTGTTCCTATTTTTCCACATCCTCTCCAGCACCTGTTGTTTCCTGACTTTTTAATGATCTCCATTCTAACTGGTGTGAGATGGTATCTCATTGTGGTTTGGATTTGCATTTCTCTGATGGCCAGTGATGATGAGCATTTTTTCATGTGTTTTTTGGCTGTATAAATGTCTTCTTTTGAGAAGTGTCTGTTCATATCCTTTGTCCACCATGCTGCTATAAAGACACATGCACACATATGTTTATCGTGGCACTATTCACAATAGCAAAGACTTGGAACCAACCCAAATGTCCAACAGTGATAGACTGGATTAAGAAAATGTGGCACATATACACCATGGAATACCATGCAGCCATAAAAAATGATGAGTTCCGAGGAGCCAAGATGGCCGAACAGGAACAGCTCCGGTCTACAGCTCCCAGTGTGAGTGACGCAGAAGACGGGTGATTTCTGCATTTCCATCTGAGGTACCAGGTTCATCTCACTAGGGAGCGCCAGACAGTGGGCACAGGTCAGTGGGTGCGCGCACCGTGTGCAAGCCAAAGCAGGGCGAGGCATTGCCTCACTCGGAAAGTGCAAGGGGTCAGGGAGGTCCCTTTCCTAGTCAAACAAAGGGGTGACAGACGGCACCTGGAAAATCGGGTCACTACCACCAGAATACTGCGCTTTTCCAACGGGCTTAAAAAACGGCGCACCAGGAGATTATATCCCGCACCTGGCTCGGAGGGTCCTACGCCCACGGAGTCTCACTGGTTGCTAGCGCAGCAGTCTGAGATCAAACTGCAAGGCGGCAGCGAGGCTGGGGGAAGGGCGCCTGCCATTGCCCAGGCTTGCTTAGGTAAACAAAGCAGCCGGGAAGCTCCAACTGGGTGGAGCCCACCACAGCTCAAGGAGGCCTTCCTGCCTCTGTAGGCTCCACCTCTGGGGGGCAGGGCACAGACAAACAAAAAGACAGCAGTAACCTCTGCAAACTTAAATGTCCCTGTCTGACAGCTTTGAAGAGACCAGTGGTTCTCCCAGCATGGAGCTGGAGATCTGAGAACGGGCAGACTGCCTCCTCAAGTGGGTCCCTGACTTCCGAGCAGCCTAACTGGGAGGCACCCCCTAGCAGGGGCAGACTGACACCTCACACAGCCGGGTACTCCAACAGACCTGCAGCTGAGGGTCCTGTCTGTTAGAGGGAAAACTAACAAAAAGAAAGGACATCCACACCAAAAACCCATCTGTACATCACCATCATCAAAGACCAAAAGTAGATAAAACCACAAAGATGGGGAAAAAACAGAGCAGAAAAACTGGAAACTCTAAAAAGCAGAGCGCCTCTCCTCCTCCAAAGGAACGCAGTTCCTCACCAGCAACAGAACAAAGCTGGATGGAGAATGACTTTGACGAGCTGAGAGAAGAAGGCTTCAGACAATCAAATTACTCCGAGCTACAGGAGGACATTCAAACCAAAGGCAAAGAAGTTGAAAAAAATTTAGAAGAATGTATAACTAGAATAACCAATACAGAGAAGTGCTTAAAGGAGCTGATGGAGCTGAAAACCAAGGCTCGAGAACTACGTGAAGAATGCAGAAGCCTCAGGAGCCGATGCGATCAACTGGAAGAAAGGGTATCAGCGATGGAAGATGAAATGAATGAAATGAAGCGAGAAGGGAAGTTTAGAGAAAAAAGAATACAAAGAAATGAGCAAAGCCTCCAAGAAATATGGGACTATGTGAAAAGACCAAATCTACCTCTGATTCGTGTACCTGAAAGTGACGAGCAGAATGGAACCAAGTTGGAAAACACTCTTCAGGATATTATCCAGGAGAACTGCCCTAATCTAACAAGGCAGGCCAACATTCAGATTCAGGAAATACAGAGAATGCCACAAAGATACTCCTCGAGAACAGCAACTCCAAGACACATAATTGTCAGATTCACCAAAGTTGAAATGAAGGAAAAAATGTTAAGGGCAGCCAGAGAGAAAGGTCGGGTTACCCTCAAAGGGAAGCCCATCAGACTAACAGTGGATCTCTCAGCAGAAACTCTACAAGCCAGAAGAAAGTGGGGGCCAATATTCAACATTCTTAAAGAAAAGAATTTTCAACCCAGAATTTCATATCCAGCCAAACTAAGCTTCATAAGTGAAGGAGAAATAAAATCCTTTACAGACAAGCAAATGCTGAGAGATTTTGTCACCACCAGGCCTGCCCTAAAAGAGCTCCTGAAGGAAGCGCTAAACATGGAAAGGAACAAGTGGTACCAGCTGCTGCAAAATCATGCCAAAATGTAAAGACCATCAAGACTAGGAAGAAACTGCATCAACTAATGAGCAAAATAAACAGCTAACATCATAATGACAGGATCAAATTCACACATAACAATATTAACTTTAAATGTAAATGGACTAAATGCTCCAATTAAAAGACACAGACTGGCAAATTGGATAAAGAGTCAAGACCCATCAGTGTGCTGTATTCAGGAAATCCATCTCATGTGCAGAGACACACATAGGCTCAAAATAAAAGGATGGAGGAAGATCTACCAAGCAAATGGAAAACAAGAAAAGGCAGGGGTTGCAATCCTAGTCTCTGATAAAACAGACTTTAAACCAACAAAGATCAAAAGAGACAAGGCCATTACATAATGGTAAAGGGATCAATTCAACAAGAAGAGCTAACTATCCTAAATAGATATGCATCCAATACAGGAGCACCCAGATTCATAAAGCAAGTCCTGAGTGACCTACAAAGAGACTTAGACTCCCACACATTAATAATGGGAGACTTTAACACCCCACTGTCAACATTAGACAGATCAACGAGACAGAAAGTCAACAAGGATACCCAGGAATTGAACTCAGCTCTGCACCAAGTGGACCTAATAGGCATCTACAGAACTCTCCACCCCAAATCAACAGAATATACATTTTTTTCAGCACCACACCACAGCTATTCCAAAATTGACCACATACTTGGAAGTAAAGCTCTCCTCAGCAAATGTAAAAGAACAGAAATTATAACAAACTATCTCTCAGACCACAGTGCAATCAAACTAGAACTCAGGATTAAGAAACTCACTCAAAACCGCTCAACTACATGGAAAATGAACAACCTGCTCCTGAATGACTACTGGGTACATAACGAAATGAAGGCAGAAATAAAGATGTTCTTTGAAACCAATGAGAACAAAGACACAACATACCAGAATCTCTGGGACGCATTCAAAGCAGTGTGTAGAGGGAAATTTATAGCACTAAATGCCCACAAGAGAAAGCAGGAAAGATCTAAAATTGACACCCTAACATCACAATTAAAAGAACTAGAAAAGCAAGAGCAAACACATTCAAAAGCTAGCAGAAGGCAAGAAATAACTAAAATCAGAGCAGAACTAAAGGAAATCGAGACACAAAAAACCCTTCAAAAAATTAATGAATCCAGGAGCTGGTTTTTTGAAAGGATCAACAAAATTGATAGACCGCTAGCAAGACTAATAAAGAAGAAAAAAAGAGAGAAGAATCCAATAGACGCAATAAAAAATGATAAAGGGGATATCACCACCGATCCCACAGAAATACAAACTACCATCAGAGAATACTACAAACACCTCTACGCAAATAAACTAGAAAATCTAGAAGAAATGGATAAATTCCTTGACACATACACTCTCCCAAGACTAAACCAGGAAGAAGTTGAATCTCTGAATAGACCAATAACAGGATCTGAAATTGTGGCAATAATCAATAGCTTACCAACCAAAAAGAGTCCAGGACCAGATGGATTCACAGCCGAATCCTACCAGAGGTACAAGGAGGAACTGGTACCATTCCTTCTGAAACTATCCCAATCAATAGAAAAAGAGGGAATCCTCCCTAACTCATTTTATGAGGCCAGCATCATCCTGATACCAAAGCCAGGCAGAGACACAACCAAAAAAGAGAATTTTAGACCAATATCCTTGATGAACATTGATGCAAAAATCCTCAATAAAATACTGGCAAACCAAATCCAGCAGCACATCAGAAAGCTTATCCACCATGATCAAGTGGGCTTCATCCCTGGGATGCAAGGCTGGTTCAATATATGCAAATCAATAAATGTAATCCAGCATAGAAACAGAGCCAAAGACAAAAACCACATGATTATCTCAATAGATGCAGAAAAGGCCTTTGATGAAATTCAACAATGCTTCATGCTAAAAACTCTCAATAAATTAGGTATTGATGGGACGTATTTCAAAATAATAAGAGCTATCTACAACAAACTCACAGCTAATATCATACTGAATGGGCAACAACTGGAAGCATTCCCTTTGAAAACTGGCACAAGACAGGGATGCCCTCTCTCACCACTCCTATTCAACATAGTGTTGGAAGTTCTGGCCAGGGCAATTAGGCAGGAGAAGGAAATAAAAGGTATTCAATTAGGAAAAGAGGAAGTCAAATTGTCCCTGTTTGCAGACGACATGATTGTATATCTAGAAAACCCCATTTGTCTCAGCCCAAAATCTCCTGAAGCTGATAAGCAACTTCAGCAAAGTCTCAGGATACAAAATCAATGTACAAAACTCACAAGCATTCTTATACACCAACAACAAACAGCCAAATCATGAGTGAACTCCCATTCACAATTGCTTCAAAGAGAATAAAATACCTAGGAATCCAACTTACAAGGGATGTGAAGGACCTCTTCAAGGAGAACTACAAACCACTGCTCAAGGAAATGAAAGAGGATACAAACAAATGGAAGAACATTCCATGCTCATGTGTAGGAAGAATCAATATCGTGAAAATGGCCATACTGCCCAAGGTAATTTACAGATTCAATGCCATCCCCATCAAGCTACCAATGCCTTTCTTCATATAATTGGAAAAAACTACTTTAAAGTTCATATGGAACCAAAAAAGAGCCCGCATCGCCAAGTCAATCCTAAGCCAAAAGAACAAAGCTGTAGGCATCACACTACCTGACTTCAAACTATACTACAAGGCTACAGTAACCAAAACAGCATGGTACTGGTACCAAAACAGAGATATAGATCAATGGAACAGAACAGAGCCCTCAGAAATAATGCTGCATATCTACAACTATCTGACCTTTGACAAACCTGAGAAAAACCAGCATTGGGGAAAGGATTCCCTATTTAATAAATGGTGCTGGGAAAACTGGCTAGCTATATGTAGAAAGCTGAAACTGGATCCCTTCCTTACACCTTATACAAAAATCAATTCAAGATGCATTAAAGACTTAAACGTTAGACCTAAAACCATAAAAACCCTAGAAGAAAACCTAGGCATTACCATTCAGGACATAGGCATGGGCAAGGACTTCATGTCTAAAACACCAAAAGCAATGGCAATAAAAGCCAAAATTGACAAATGGGATCTAATTAAACTAAAGAGCTTCTGCACAGCAAAAGAAACTACCATCAGAGTGAACAGGCAACCTACAAAATGGGAGAAAATTTTCTCAACCTACTCATCTGACAAAGGGCTAATATCCAGAATCTACAATGAACTCAAACAAATTTACAAGAAAAAAGCAAACAACCCCATCAAAAAATGGGCAAAGGACATGAACAGACACTTCTCAAAAGAAGACGTTTATGCAGCCAAAAAACACATGAAAAAATGCTCACCAGCACTGGCCATCAAAGAAATGCAAATCAAAACCACAATGAGATACCATCTCACACCAGTTAGAATGGCAATCATTAAAAAGTCAGGAAACAACAGGTGCTGGAGAGGATGTGGAGAAATAGGAACACTTTTACACTGTTGGTGGGACTGTAAACTAGTTCAACCATTGTGGAAGTCAGTGTGGCGATTCCTCAGGGATCTAGAACTAGAAATACCATTTGACCCAGCCATCCCACTACTGGGTATATACCCAAAGGACTATAAATCATGCTGCTATAAAGACACATGCACACGTATGTTTATTGCGGCACTATTCACAATAGCAAAGACTTGGAACCAACCTAAATGTCCAACAATGATAGACTGGATTAAGAAAATGTGGCACATATACACCATGGAATACTATGCAGCCATAAAAAATGATGAGTTCATGTCCTTTGTAGGGACACGGATGAAATTGGATATCATCATTCTCAGTAAACTATCGCAAGAACAAAAAACCAAACACCACATATTCTCACTCATAGGTGGGAATTGAACAATGAGATCACATGGACACAGGAAGGGGAACATCACACTCTGGGGACTGGTGTGGGGTGGGGGGAGGGGGGAGGGATAGCATTAGGAGATATACCTAATGCTAAATGATGAGTTGATGGGTGCAGCACACCAACATGGCACATGTATACATATGTAACTAACCTGCACATTGTGCACATGTACCCTAACACTTGAAGTATAATAATAATAAAAAAATTGTGGTAGACAACTTATTAAAGTTATTTTTTTCTATTTTCACTCTAATATTTTAAGTGATAATATTAAGTTCATTTTAGAAGTGAAGAAACCAGAATTCAAAGAGGTTCCATGACTCACCCTCCCTAATCAATAGATGACAGAGATCAATATTAGGAGAACATTGGCTGGTAAAGCATATATGATCTAAACAACAAGCAGCCACTGATAGAATTAAAGCTGAAGAGAAAATCTGGGGGCATCTAAGAAGATGACTTTAGAAAGCTTGCCGTTCCCTAAAATGGAAAAGAGAAGCAATAAATGCAATATCTGCTGAAGGTGTAAGGCCATGCTATAAGCATGCTGGCAGAGGAGTCTAGAGGGGAATCTGTGAACCGAGTGCCTCTTCTGCCTGGGAAGTATAGGACAGGGGCCCCCTTGAAGGTGATTTCTGTGTGGTTGTAAAGATAAGCAGGTGATTGGTGGATAATCAGGTGCAGGCATCCTATCCAGTGAATCAGCACAGGGAAATGTAGAGCAGTGTGAGGGACCTGCTGCATTACAGGAATGACCTGTAGCTGCATTTGACTTATATGTAGGCAAGAAAATGGAAATGAGACTGAGAAGGTAGATGATCCTTGATTATGGGAGGGGATCTACAAGTCATGACACTGACCATTTTGTTGACAATGGGAAGACCCTGAACTGTTGTCCCGTATTGAGATGTGAGCATGGAGGGAAACAGTAGGATGGACGAGGAGTGGGGACAGTCTAGAGTAAATATCAGTCAAGAGTGAGATAATGTGGGGCAAAGGAGAGTGGGTATGGATTTGGGGGCATAGATAATAGGTTAAGTCTTGTACGTGCTGAGGAAGATATGGCCATAGTCTCTATGCAAGGAGATGTCCTGGTCCCCAATAATCTCGAAGCCTTAATGGAATAAGGTTTGCAGTGACAATACCTTTGGAACCTGGTTGACCCAGAGATCAGCATTGGATGATTGCTGTCCTGTGTTTCACATCCCTTCACTTGCACTGAATGAGTAAAGCTATTCAGTAGCTTATCTCATTGGGAATAAAATTCACTATTCTCAAACCGAAGCTTGAGTCCCTAGAAATATGCCCCCAAGTTCACCATGTAAACACTGTGTTTTTAATTCTAAAATCTCACACGGAGAGAGGCTGTTCTTCAACTTAATTTGATTCAATCAATATTTAACAAAGGTCAGTCAGGTTAATGCAGTTAATATAGTAGGTTCCACAGAGAAGAAGACTGAAAATGAAAGGTTGGGCTTTCTGGACTTCAATAGTGTATAATCTAATTGGAGCCAAAAAGTAGAGAGAGTGCAAAGAAGATACCTTTTATTGGAATGCATTTTCTGTATGTGAAACATATTTAAAAGACTGTTATGTTTTTAGTTGACAGAATTAAAAGGTTCTAGCAAATTTCTATAAGTGAATAAGAGTTGATTGTGGGTTTTCATGATAAAATGACAGGTAGCATTGGAGGAGGACCATTCTTTCTGAATTGAGTCAATGGCTTTTAGGAATATGGGAATTAAGAGATGCTGGTGCTGAGTCCTGCTGGGGACAGTCATCTTCTCTAGCAGTTCATCCCATGCTTCCTCTGGGGACCTTTCCAGATGCTGACAGATTTCTTGGGTGCTCCAATGCAGGCTGCATAAACTTGGGATGTTGTCACTGAGAGCTGGGCATGAGGGCATGAGCAGAGCACTAAAGAATGAATGTCCCTCCCTTATAGACATGAAGTTGAATTAAGTATCCCCTTGTTTTAGACAGTCAGGGCTTTCAAATTGAAGCCAACTGATTTCCATGTCTAAGGTCCTATGAGAATTTGTTTATTGGTTCATGATTTCACTGGGAAGGGAAAGAACTCTGCCACCTTCTGAGGCACAATAAGTCCTCACTTAACATCATCAATAGGTTCTTAGAAACTGTGATATTAATTGAAAGAACATGTAACAAAACCAATTGTAGCTTATGCTAATTAATATAAATAAGAGTTAAATTTCTACAGTATATTTCTGACCACAAAACATCAATCATTTAACTTCTAAATAAAGACTCAAAACACTGAAATAAATGTAAGCTAATATACATTTTAAAAAATAATAAACATAAGTAACATAATTATTTACACGATTATTCATTTCAGGGTCACAGGCGGCTGGAGCCTGTCCCAGCAACTCAGGATGAAAGGCATGAACCAGCCTGGGACAGGAGGCCATCCCATTGCAAGGTACGCTCACACACAGCCACACTCACTCAGACTGGGACAGTGTAGCACACCAATTAACCTAAGGTGCACAGCTTTGGGGTGTGGGAGGAAACAAAAGTACCTGTAGAAACCCATGTAGACATGGGAAGAACATTCAAGCCCCACCTAGATGGGGAATCTATATTTTTTTCTCATCGACTTCATAATGAAGTGATGTTGAACAAAACAGTGTTATTAAAAGACCTGCTCTATGTACATTCTCATCTAGAACACCCGAAGTCCAGGTGTAAATGCTGTGCCCCAATGAGACAGTTATTCTCCAGATAAGGGGCTACCAGTGTTTGAATTAGGAATGAACAAACCTGAGATTTCAGGGACATTCTCAAGAAAGGTCTCATGTCCCATAAAGACAAATTGCCTCTCCACCACTGACGAAAGATAATCTTCCACAACAAGTGGATCGTGGGGGCAATTTTATTATTTCTGTCATAAGTCATTCCCTGCTGGGGCATAGTAGTGAGGTGGGAGGAATTTTGTCCACCCACTTCCAGAAAAAGAAGAGAGAAACGTCAGGGCAGCAAGCACAGCTTCCCAGCAGAGGTTAGAATGTCTCAGCATCTAAGGTCAGAATAACATGTTTCTGATAATGAACCATGACAATTAGAGACCATCTTCCCTTGAGGTGGTTCTATGAATTGTCCAGAACAGTGGGAAGAGGAGTGATGACAATGTTAAGTATAGATTCCTTCTTTGAGTGGAAAAAACACCCACTGATGCCTTGGACATATCGGAAGAGGAGAACTAAAGAGAAAAACTGTGTCTTCTGACAATCGGTGGGATTGAGACTTGGATCTTTTAAAATAAAGAAAGAAAGGAAATATTACGTGGTTTTGCACCAGAAGCTGGTGAAGATGCCCAAGCTATTTACCCCTACAATTTTGCTTGACTCAAACCATGTTAAATGTGTAACGGCCACCACTAATTCTTAACTTTTAAAAATTTTTATTTTTAAGTTCCAGGGTACATATGCAGGGTGTGCAGGTTTGTTGCATAGGTAAATGTGTGCTGTGGTGGTTTGCTGCACCTCTCAACCCATTACCTAGGTATTAAGGCCAGAATGCACTAGCTATTTTTCCTAATGCTCTCTCACTGCCCCCCACCCCCTGATAGGCCCCACTGTGTATTGTTCCCCTCTCTGTGACCACATGCTCTCATTGTTCAGCTCCCACTTATAAGTGAGAACATGTGGTGTTTGGTTTTCTGTTCCTGCGTTAGTTTGCTGAAGATAATGGCTTCCAGCTCCATCCATGTCCTTGCAAAGGACGTGATCTCATTCCTTTTTATGGCTGCATAGTATTCCATGGTGTATATGTACCACATTTTATCTAGTCTATCATTGATGGGCATTTTGGTTGATTCCATGTATTTGCTATTGTGAACAGTGCTACAAGAACATACATGTGCATGTATCTTTGTAATAGAATGATTTATATTCCTTTGGGTGTATACCCAGTAATGGGATTGCTGGGTCAAATGGTATTTCTGGTTCTAGGTCTTTGAGGAATCGTCACATTGTCTTCCACAATGGTTGAACTAATTTACACTCCCACCAACAGTGTAAAAGTGTTCCTAGTTCTCCACAACCTCACCAGCATCTCTTGTTTCTTGACTTTTTAATAATTGCCATTCTGACTGGTGTGAGATGTTATCTCACTGTGGTTTTGATTTGCATTTCTCTAATGATTTTAAGCACAAAATGGAGGTACGCCTCTCCTAGAGTCATCATAATATGATGATTGCATGTAGTCAGATAGGTGCCTTCCTACCAATATAGAGGGCCACTGTCAGGGATGAAGTCAGAGCTGTGTTACTCCCCTTACTTTCAGATTCTATTTTCATTCCTAGCTTTGTTTTTGTCAAATTGGTTGGTTTAGCACCTCCTGGACTCTATCTGGCATTATCTTTGAAGCAAAGATTACCTAAAGGAATGACAAGGTGTTTAGGAACAGCACCTATAAGGTGAACCCCACTTCATATTACAGACATTGTCTTAACATAATCACAGTCACCTGTACTTGAAAATTTCAGATTAACCATTCATTTAGATCAGATATTGGTGATCAGTAGAATGCTAAGCTAAGAAGGATATATCCACCACCACTTTATGTTTGGGAAAGAAAACCCTCAAGCTTCAGGTCTAGAAATGTAGATTTTTGTTTCCTTAGAGTGATCAGTTAGCAACCGGAAACTGAATTTTGCATGATACTATGTGAAATAATTTATAATTTGAAAATATGTTATTTTCTTTTAGTTGTAATTGATCCAGGCATTTGAAAACATTTTCAAACATTTTAATGAAAAAAGTGTTTTTTTTGGCAACACATTAATATATCTGATATTTGAAAATGCATTTATTTGGATTC
Source organism: Homo sapiens (assembly GCF_000001405.40). Classification (NCBI taxonomy): domain Eukaryota; kingdom Metazoa; phylum Chordata; class Mammalia; order Primates; family Hominidae; genus Homo; species Homo sapiens. The sequence continues at coordinate 138,037,936 of NC_000008.11, read as the reverse complement.
ACTTAGTCAAACAGGTTTAATTTCAGTAAAGGACATTCATGTGTTCATTTTTGAAGTCTCGGTTTCTACTTCTCAATTTGTCTGACTTATTCCAAATAATGTTAAGGTATTCTTTTTAATCAAGCACACAATGAATTAAAAAATACTTTTTGAAGACAGGTAATGATATGAAATGCACACACATAAAGCCATCAGAGAACAATTGTGTTAACTGTTTCCCATGCACCCTGTTGATAAGGAAGGATTTCCACCCAAGAGTCATGGAGATGGACAAACACACGACACCCAGCACTGGACAGAGAAGCTCACAGCAGTTTATTAGTCACATCTACCCATGGCCCCAGGGAGGAGGACCATGTGGAGGTTACAATTGAGAATGCACCCACTAACTCGTCATCTAGCATTAGGTATATCTCCCAATGCTATCCCTCCCCCCTCCCCCCACCCCACAACAGTCCCCAGAGTGTGATGTTCCCCTTCCTGTGTCCATGTGATCTCATTGTTCAATTCCCACTTATGAGTGAGAATATGTGGTGTTTGGTTTTTTGTTCTTGCGATAGTTTACTGAGAATGATGATTTCCAATTTCATCCATGTCCCTACAAAGGACATGAACTCATCATTTTTTATGGCTGCATAGTATTCCATGGTGTATATGTGCCACATTTTCTTAATCCAGTCTATCATTGTTGGACATTTGGGTTGGTTCCAAGTCTTTGCTATTGTGAATAGTGCCGCAATAAACATATGTGTGCATGTGTCTTTATAGCAGCATGATTTATAGTCCTTTGGGTATATACCCAGTAGTGGGATGGCTGGGTCAAATGGTATTTCTAGTTCTAGATCCCTGAGGAATCGCCACACTGACTTCCACAATGGTTGAACTAGTTTACAGTCCCACCAACAGTGTAAAAGTGTTCCTATTTCTCCACATCCTCTCCAGCACCTATTGGGAGATATACCTAATGCTAGATGACGAGTTAGTGGGTGCAGCGCACCAGCGTGGCACATGTATACATATGTAACTAACCTGCACAATGTGCACATGTACCCTAAAACTTAAAGTATAATAATAAAAGAAAAAAAAAGAGAATGCAGTGAGTAAGCAGGGGTTGTGAGAGACACATCTTGTAGTATCAAGAGAGTGGGGTGGCCCTTTTTTCTATGGGAGGATGTGATTGGCTTGTTTGAATCATTCTACAGGCTGGCAGGGAACAGAAACCAACTACTCGGTTATAAGCAGAAAGTGTGCCTAGTCCCTTTGAATGAGAAGGTTATTTGGTGGAGGAATCTTATTCTTGGGAACAAAGGGAGGAGAAAAACTTGTGGTAAGGTCATCTCATGAGATATCAAGGCAGCGTGTCATATTGAGTCTTGATTTTAGGTCTTATACCCCAACAATAGAGATTTTCAACATCTATGCCTTCTCTACTCTTGACATTTTTTTCCATGATAAATGACAGCTACTTTTTCAAAATATTCAAAACCTATTTATTTGTATCTATTCCTGACCAAAATTCCTTTCCTTGCAGGCACTTTTATGTTAGGAATTTTTATTAAGTAATTTTAAGAATCAGATACCTTATTTCTTAAAAAAATCAGAAAACCAAAACCTATGTATAATCTTGTGCCTGGTTCTATGTACATGCTGGTCAAATGATACGTGGACTGGCAACCCAGGTACCTCCTTAGAAAGCTCTTAAATTCCACCAGACAGTGTCATTATTATTGTTGCTATTTAACAATATCTATTATTTCTAACCTTATCATAAAAGGGATATATTATATTAATTTATCAGGTGATAAAATGGAATTCCAAAGAGATTAATTTGTCCAAGGCTGCAGTGCTGGTAAGAGTTGTAACTAGGACATTTCACATTATAATTCCAATTATTAGGATACACTGTATTGTTTACATCTTTGTTTCCTTCACTTATAGGATGTTTTCTGATGAAAGAGAACGTATCATATTCATCTTTATATCTATTGTGGTAGCTTCATGGTTGGAGCAAAATAAACAACTGATGAAAGAAAATTCTATTTCGCTGTAAAAAGGCTGAAAATGGGAGCCTTTTATGGAGGAGTAAAGAAAGAATGACTCACTGCATTATGGAATGGTTAAGCTAAGGCAATCTCTTTGGACTGATTAGTTGTCTTACCTAAACCCTATTTCTTATATACGTATGTTGGAGGTTTGATGGTATTCAATGGTTTTATCTCCATCCTTCCATCTCATGAGTCTTAACGGTTGTGGACTTGAGGGGTTAGATCAAAATAGAAAGAAAGTAACATATTTATGAATAATAAGTTTGTATTCAAGTTTATAACAAGACCTTCTATGGCCCTTAGTGAGCCTAGACTTTGGAACACATCTGTGGGGAGACTAGGGTCCATAGTCAGAGACTCAAGTCACTCCAGGACAGACTGTCACCTGCTTCACAACTTGGCCACCAGCAAACTAGGCATCAAGGGGCATAAACCAGGGCTGCCGTGTCTTTCTAATGCGATGAAGCTTGCAGTGGTGCAGGGAGGCTGCCAGGGTTTGATGAGAATTACCTCATGAAATTCTCACAACAGCCCTCTGGGAAAGGGACCATTCTTTTCTTCAGTTTACATGCCGGATGGCCACATATGGATTTGGTGGCTAAACCAAGGAAGACTTGAGCCCTTGCCTTACTGCAACACCCTCCATAAGGAGCTTGATGAGAACTCTATTGATATTTATTGTCTGTCTTCTGATATGGGATGAAGAATGAAGCATTAGCTGATAATGCATCTCTCCAGACTATAAAACCTGAGGGCAAGACAGCATCCTCTCTCACCTTGGCTTATCTCCACTTCCCAGAGCCGCAGCACATGAAGATGCCCAAAGCTAGGTTGCTGAAGTGAAGGCTCGTCCCCTAGAAAACATCTGCCAGGTATGCATCCCCATCTGAAATATTTTTTTTTTTTTTGAGACGGAGTCTTGCTATGTTGCCCAGACTGGCGAGCAGTGGCGCAATCTCAGCTCACTACAACCTCTGACTCCTGGGTTCAAGCGATTCTCCAGCCTCAGCCTCCCAAGTAGCTGGGAATACAGGTGCCTGCCACCACGCCTGGCTAATTTTTTTGTGCTTTTAGTGGAGATGGGGTTTCACTGTGTTAACCAGGATGCTCTCGATCTCCTGACCTCGTGATCCACCCACCTCGGCCTCCCAAAGTGCTGGGATTACAGGCGTGAGCCACCGCGCCCAGCCCTGAAAATTTAATCGGGACAAATTTTGGAACTTTCAGAAAGACTATTGAAGAGGTTTCAAATGCCTCACAGAAGAGCCTGTAATAGCCTTCCCATACGGCAGGGAAATGAACAACAGGGTGGTCTTCCCACATACGATAAATTCGGAGCCCCCCACCTTCCCTAACACTTTGCATTTTAACATAAATGACAGACTTCAGCTTCAAAATTAGACTTTAAAAAACACAGCCTGCTCTAGAGATGATGAGGTCCAGATTTTCTCACTAGCAGAAACTTTCCATTCTAAGTTTTCACTGCTTGTGCTATTTCATGTTTGAGGTCATAGTTTATTTCATTATTGAAAGGTGCATAATGCGCACAGTAACAGTCTGTTTGTATGGGTATGTCAAGAAAGGGAAATGACAAATTGAATTTCCTTTTCAGACCAGAGAGCAGAGGGGGAAATATCAATGAGCTGGAATTATGAAATATCTTTCTTCCTTTGGAACTTAAGCAAAGGGCAAATTCATCTCTACCTACCCCAGAAAAAAAATATGAGAGTGACTTTAAACTCTCCCCAAATTAACACTGTCATCTTTCCTGGCAGCTAGACCATGCTTTTATTTTTATTAGAATGAGATGAACATTTCAGAACTCCCAGGGACAAAAACTGGTCACAGTTTTTCATCTGGAAAATGCAATGCCCTTCAGTGGGTAGGCATCCTCTCCTCTCCTACCTTGACAACATCTACCCTAGCTTCCTGCCAAAACTTTGATTCTCCAGTCATGCAAACACCCCTGGGTTTCAGAGACACTACTTTCTCAGAGACTGCTGATTGAATGAGAGAACGTTATACCTGAAATTTGATGTCAGACTCCCCATGGGTCCCAGCTGGTGCCTGTTTCAACAGGCAAAGGGTGGTTCTGATTCTTTTCCATTGCTTTATTGGGTTAGGAATTGTGGCCTGTGCCTGACATCCACTTAGATTTCCTCTGCACCTTGTTTGTGATTTGTCTCTAATATATCTCTAATCTATCCATGGGACATATATCTCAAAAAAGGTAAACAGACAGAATTTAATTATTGAAGGCAAAAAAATGTGCACAGTTGTTATAGAGAGGTGACTGATAACTTTATCAGAGCATTTATTAATAGAAATAATACACACTCTACTTTTACAAAAGGGACATGAGGGCTATGGCCCACCTTACGTAAGCACACTGGTCTAGGCATTAAATCTCATCTATTCTGGTGAAAAAGAAAAAATATCATATGTTGGTTATACCCGGTTGCATTTGGGAATTTTCTAAGGGTGCTCGTAATAAGAGGGAATTGTTTTTAAAACAAATATTCCCACATAGTGACTTAAACAGTTTACCTCTCATCAGAGATAGAAATATTATCTACAAATTTCAGTAGACTCTTTCAGTGACTGTCCTCATTTGTTTCACGCTGGACTGGGGGCCAGTGCAAGATCAAGGGAGACTCAGTTCCTCCACTGAATGTAAAGCTTCTGTCAGTTGTTATCATCATTGATAAGTTTCTACTTTGAAATGTGCTCAGGAACCTCTGAGGACACCTATATATTAAAAAGCTATTTTTACAAAGTCCTCAGTTCTCATTCCCATTTTAAACACAAAACTGAAATTGATTTGTATAGCCAGGAGGCAGGTAGAGACAGAAAACAAAAATGTGGTGGTGGTGGTGGACTTACAAAGGAAATCAGAATGTTGCTGGGGAATATGAAATAGTCCACTACATGTAGCTGGCTGCCAGTTTGAGCATACCGTTCTCGATGAGTATTCTTCCATTGCAGAACATTAAGCTTTGTGAATTGGTGGGTTTCGGAGGGCAGCTAGAAGGAGAGCTAGATGAGTCACATGGGTCCCTGCAATTCAGGCACAGTTTCCGGCCACTACAGACCAGAGACTAAATAGAGAAGTCTTCATTTTTTAAGGGATTTATAAGTAAGATCCTTGATTGTTGGGACTGACTTCTCTTTCCTTGGTGATGTGGTTAGGCTTTGTGTCCACACCCAAATCTCATCTTGAATTATAATCCCCATAATCCCCATGTGTCAAGGGAGAGACCAGGTAGAGGAAACTGAATCATGGGGGCAGTTTGGCTCTTCCCCCTTTGTTCAGTACTTCTCGTTGTGCTGCCTTGTAAAGAAGATGCCTTACTTCCCCTTCCCCTTCCATCATAATTGTAAGTTTCCTGAGGCCTCCCCAGCAATGCTAAACTGGGAGTCAATTAAACCTCTTTCCTTGATAAATTACCCTGTCTTGGGCAGTTCTTTATAGCAGTGTGAAAACAGACTGATACACTCAGAATCTGTATTTTAAATTCTAAATATAGGGTTGAGGAAGAAGTCGTAACTAACACTATTGTCTTCCTTGCTGATTCTGTGAGGGAAGGGTTGGTGTTTATATTTATAGCCATTATATTCTTGGTGACAAGCACTATGACTTCTCAATAAATATTTGTCAAATAGATATCATGCTTTCCACTTTATTGATGAGGAAACTGAGACTCAGAAAAATTGAGCATCTTGACCAAAATCGTAAAGCCAGTAATTGAGTCAGAGTAGAAACCTTGTGATACCTGGGTCCAAATCCTGTGCCCTTTATACTACATCACACCATTGCAATCCTGATAAATTAACCTGGTCTTTTTTGACATGAATCAAATAGTTTAAAATGTGTCTATATGAATGGGGATAATGCATATGTGACCATTTAAACATAATCATACATGTAAAGCCAGCATGGCTTTCAGCAAGATGGATATCTCGTTATTACCCTGCCAAGAGCAAGGACGCATTTTCTCCAGCAGTGAGAGAGGCTCCTTCAAAGAGTTTACATGGACTGCCCACTGGGTTTTTCTTCAAAGAGGCACTAGAGAGTACTTTTAACTCTCAGTAGTGTGGCATTTTTATTTTTTGAATGTGACATGGCATTATGCCTGTTACAAAAGATAAAGAAGAAAATATACAAATGGCTTTGCTTCCCCCTGGAGCCTGTTTCAGCCATGGGGATTTGCAAATAGGGCACTTAGAGACCAAGTTTCTCTCTCAACTTGTATGACTTTTTGAGAAAGTCACTTAATCAGTCTTGCCTAGGGGATCGAATTTTCAATGATGGCCTTACTGCAAATGGTGGCTAACATTGCAGGTTTGTTGGCAATTTTACATATGTATATAATGTGTTTGTAGAAGAGTTGTGTGGTTACATTTAGAATTGAAGCCAATTGCACTGCTAGCTCCTCAGTAGAGCAATGTACATGACACTGGCAATATTGAACTGCCTCAAAAGAAATAAACATATATTCTAGGTGGGAAGAAAATTTACATTTTATTTTTAGTATTGAATTCAGATTTTTTTGTATATGTACTATTATCTATTATCTATTGTGTGTATGTGTGTGTGTGTATATATATATGTATATGTATACATACACAGTCATTTGTCCCATAACAATGTTTAAATTAATGACAGACCACATATAAGATGGTGGTCACCTAAGATTATGACACCATATTTCTACTGTACCTTTTCTATGTTTAGAAGTGTTGGCTGGGTGCGGCGGCTTATGCCTGTAATCCCAGCACTCTGGGAGTCCGAGGCGGGCGGATCACAAGGTCAGGAGATTGAGACCATCCTGGCTAACACGGTGCAACCCCGTATCTACTAAAAAATACAAAAAAAAATAGCCGGATGTGGTGGCGGGCACCTGTAGTTTCAGCTGCTTGGGAGGCTGAGGCAGGAGAATGGTGTGAACCTGGGAGGCAGAGCTTGCAGTGAGCTGAGATGGTGCCACTGCACTCCAGCCTGGGTGACAGAGCGAGATTCCATCTCAAAAAAAAAAGAAGTGTTTAGATACACAAAATGTGCCATTGTGTTACAATCGCCTACTATATTCAGCATATTAATGTTCTGTACAGGTTTGTAGTCTAGGAGCAATAGTCTATACCCTACATTCCAGGTTTGTAGTAGTCTACACCATCTAGGTCTGTGGAAGTATATGATGTTCACACAATGACTGTGTTTGGCCTTTCTTGCATTGCTATAAATAAATACCTGAGACTGGATAATTTATAAAGAGAAGAGGTTTAATTGGCTCATGGTCCTGCAGGCTGTACTAGCATAGCACCAACATGTGCCTGGCTTCTGGAGAGGGGTTCAGGAACCTTACAGTCGTGGTGGAAGGTGAAGGGGAAGCAGGTGCGTCACATGGTATGAGCAAGAGCGAGAGAAATGGGGAGGTGCCACACACTTTTAAACAATCAGATCTCACAAGAATTCACTTATGGTGAGGGCAGCACGAAGCCATGAGGGATTCGCCCACATGACCCACACACCTCCCACCAGGCCCCATCTCCAACACTGAGGATTATATCTCAACATGAGATTTGGGTGGGACAAATATCCAAACCATATCAGTGACAAAAATCACCTAAGGACACATCTGTCAGAATGTATGCCTGTTATTAAATGATGCATTGCTGTATATATACGTACTAAATTGATAAACATTATTGTGATGGAAAGTGGCTACTGTACATGAATGTGGCTACTACAGTGCAAGTATGTCAGTAACCTTCCTCAAGTGTGTCCCTTGGGTTTCCCATGTATGAGGTCTGCAAAAAGCCTCACTGCTGGTTTCAAATTATTTGGCATTTTACAGAGTACTCTAGCAATATTGGTGTACTTATTTGATTGGCAGCCACACTCTGATACATTCTCCTACACCTTAGTTGGCTGGTGGAGAACTTGTCTATACCTTCTGTCTATTGCCATAGTAATGCTGTATAACAAGCAACTTTAGAACCTCAGGGGCATACAACAATGGACATTGTTTTCTCAGTTTTCTGGGATCAGCTGAGTTTGGTCAGGAGGCTCTGTTGATTTGGACTGGGCTTACTTAGATGTTCAGGGTTGGCTGACTGTCCACAGAGCTAGGCTGCCCTTTGCTGAGGCATCTGGCCTGACTTTGCTTGTCATATTACTCATCCTTCATCAGGCGACTCCTAGCATGTCCTTATGCAATGAGAGTGATCCTGAAATGGTCAATCCCTGTAGTTCAAGCACCTTTGACTTGGCTATAATCACATCCACTAACATCCCATTGGCCAAAGCTAGTTACTTGCTCTAGTTCACGGGTCAGGAATTTTACCCTGCAAAGGTTCCCCCAGTTCAAATAGTTGAAAGAATTCACCAGAATCCACAGAGCACACTCATGTGAGGCCTTTATTTAAAGGCAAAGGATTTGATGCAGCTAGAGAAAGAGGGTTCAGGCAAGCATTAGAAGTCAGAGAGACAATTCAAATACATCCAATCGGTCATGGGTGGTACCCCTATTCTGCAAGCCCCCAAATTATACCAGTGCTGCTGGTCCAAAGAGTTTTAAGCTGCAGGGTAACCAATGTATCACTGCAATAGAAATGTCAGTTTCAGACCGGGTGCAGTGGCTCACACCTGTAATCCCAGCACTTTGGGAGGCCGAGGTGGGCAGATCATGAGGTCAGGAGATAGAGACCATCCTAGTTAACATGGTGAAACCCCATCTCTACTAAAAATACAAAAAATTAGCTGGGCATGGTGGCATGCACCTGTAGTCCCAGCTACTTGGGAGGCTGAGGCAGGAGAATCGCTTGAACCCAGGAGGCAAAGGTTGCAGTGAGCTGAGATCCAGCCATTGCACTCCAGCCTGGGCGACAGAGCAAGACTCCATCTCAAAAAAAAAAAAAAAAAAAAAAAAAAAAAAAAAAAAAAAAAAGAAAGAAAGAAAAAGAAAAGAAAGAAATGTCAGTTTCAAAGATACCTGAGCTATGTGATGAAAACCCAAATCAGGTACATAGGGGAACGTAGGAAAAATCAATACTGTCTGACAGTGTTTCTTCAATATTTGGGAACTTAGTCTCCTTCAAGAAATTTATGAAATCTCTGCAAACTTCTCTCCTCTATCAAAATGTGTGCATTCACACAAACACATAATTTTGAATACAATTAAAATATTTCTGATGTCTTAATGACAATCCATAGACTCCTTGTGGAATTCATGTATAGTTTTGCTAACTGCAATACGGAGGCATCATCAAGTAGGGCAGGAATTCTCGAAGTTAATTTTTGGCAGTTTTTAAGCTTCAATCAAGACACATGCCTTTCCTTTCCTCCTCATTCTTCAAATGCTGCAAGCCACACCATAAGACCTTGATAAAATTACTTATAACATCAAAGCGTGGGCTTTATTTGCTTTTTCTCACCCAAGCGTGAGAATCCCTCTTACTCATGCACACATTTATGCTGCTGTTCTCTCCTTCCGCATCTCTTACAGGACAAAGAATGGGTTTTCTTTTCACATTCCTTCTTATTTCTAAGGGGGAAAAATGTATTTCTTTCTCACCTCATAGTGTGAGCTCCAAATCAGTTATGATGATCGGCCCAACCCTTGAGCATCTGTGCTTAGTGACACAACGCCCATTGTACTAGCCTTGCACCCCTTCTGCCTTGCTTGCTGACATCCTAATAAAACCACTCAATTCTCTTTTGTTCATCCCATGCACTGTCCCACAGTGAACTCCATCCTTGGTGTTTTGCAACGGTCCACAGAAATGGAATAAAACTGTTGATATCTGGCTAAAAGACAAAAGATTTCTATTGTTCTTTGTCATGACGAACAAGACAGTGACAGCTTTCAGGAAAGAAGTGTAAGTTTCAGGAATTAGGCTGCTTCTAAAATGGACTTTGCCTTTATAATGTTGGGATAACGCCACTGGCTTGATTTGTCTTATACTTTCTAAATTATCCTTGGTGACAATGCTCTATCCTAATGTTCTCCTGTTTGGCTAGCCTGATACAGTTATCAGCCTTTTCTCTACTGAGGCAGTCAGCACCCCACTCTGTTTATGAGCATTTTCTAGAGCTCCCTATTTTAACTTCTCTTTTTCAATGACTTTTTTGGTTCCTAATTTTTGGCTTTTTGTCCCAGTCAAGAACGTGCTCTTGCTTTGAGAGTATTTCTCTTCACATGCATTCTATCTCCTCTGCTAGAACGCTGGTTTTCTTGTTGAGGAACTGGACAAAATTTATTTCAACTCAGATGAACACAATATACCCAGGACTTGCTGAATTTTGTTAACCTTCCAAAGGCATCTGATCCAAACAGATATAGGTAGTATATCAATTTGACCACCTGTTTACCACATGCATCTGAACTTAACCTCTTTGGGCTCAGTGTTCTCATCTGTGAAATGTCACTTATTAGCTCTGACTTGGAGCACGTTATTTAACTTCTGTGAGTCTCAGTTGCTTCATGTATAAAATGGGAGTACTGACAGTACCAATTGTGCCAATTTTGTAGATTTAGTGAGAGGATTGAATGAATTAGTACATGGAAAACACGTAGCATGCTGCCTTGGATGATAAATGCTCAACACATGTGCCACAGTTATTAAGGACAGACATGATGTTTATGCTTAATGTGCCTCAAAGCCAACCAGAGATCAGGTAACAGTGAATAAACACTCCTTTAAGAAATGGCTCAGATGTAAAGAAGGGGGAAATAAATACAGAATATTCCAAGGTCCTAGAAAATTTAGCCTATTGAGGATAACTTGGTCTGTGCTTAACTTTCCGATTCAGCACATGAGACTCTGGGATACAGAGGCTCCCTTCCCAGGGCTCATTCACATTTTATATCATCTTAATATCCCACCAGCAGGAAGACATTTATTCTTAAGTCTATAGATTTCCAGGATCTAGGTCTGACAAGGGAGGCCAAGCCTCTCTCGCTTTCCAGAATTGATTTGCAGTATTTGATAATAGATTGCATTTGGAGGGGTGCAGGGAAGGGGGTGACTTCAAGAGCATCTGTAAAATTCTGCTTTGAGCTACTTGGATACCTGGTGGCTTCATTTAGTGTGATGAGAACACTGGAGGAGTGGATTCAGGGAGAGGAGCAAGGACCCAGGCATGGGGAGGAACTGTTCATGAAAGGCAGTAGAAAAAACATCTTCATTCTCAAAAAAAGAAGCTAAGAAAACAGGTTAAATTCCAGTCAGTTTGAACAGCAGAAATTCAAGCTCAACAATTTGAGTTGTTGGATTCTTGGCACACATTGAAGGTAGTACCATATGAGACATACTATTGATCTCATGAACCTAACGGTGACATAATATGCCATAGTTAAGAGTATGTACATGGGTATTGAGTGGGGTGGAAGAAGATGATTAAAAAGTTTGAGAATACGAAATGTTTGTTCTAATTAGTGAGTTCAGAGGAAAGTTTAGATTGTGATCATGGGAGCCGCTGGCATAAGCAGAGTGGAGTCAATGGAAATCAAGACCTGAAAAGGCAGCCCTTCATCTGAGTGCAGAAACCACCTGAGATAATGGTGACAGTCACTGTCAGAAAGTCCACGCTGGGTACCTGCCTCCCGTGGATTAGATGGAGAGTACCCAGCTGCTAGGCCTTCTTCACTTGTAGGGTATATTATAACATCTTCAGGCAGCAGTATTCTGTGGTGAAAGCCTTCCAGGTGTAGCTGGCCCCTGCCTCATCCCTATTCCTAGTAGAAATATTCTCTTTGTCTCTTTGCTGAGAAGGCTGCCTGGTTCTGCAGTCTGTTTGATGTGTCAATAAAGCATGTTCCTTGTAGTCCGTCTTCTGACCTCTTTGCTTCAAGCTGCTCCTCTTAAATTGGTCCCTTCAAAAGAAGGCGGAGACATTACTTCAGATTAGTTGCTTTTGTGGTTCTTGGGTTCCAGAGATCAGAGAGGAGTTGGTAACCTGAGTGCTGCAAGGAGCCTGTGGGGGAGTTTAAGTTGAAAGTGGCAATGGTGGCTCTAAAGGAGGGTCTCATCCCCCACAGTGAGGGGAACACAGTGGCAGTGGCAGCAGCATTGGAGGTGGCATGAGAGGAGATGAGGACTCTGATCCTGACCTTGCTGCTCTTTGTATATGTGACCTCAGGGTGAAAACAAAACTATTACATACCTCTAATCGTCAGTTTCATCAGTGTAAGGCACATTGCTTCTAAGGACCTTTTGACTTTAAAGTTCCTCCTTTTGAGACATGCACTGTAGTTAAAAGAACATCAGGTATAGAATCTGCCTTCAAAAATCTGGGTTCACATTACATCATCACCGTTAATAACTCTGAGATTTTCTGCAAGTTGCTAAAGAACTCTGCACATCTTCTCATCTGTACAGTGGAGCTAATATGTATTTCATAGTTATTCTAACAACTGAATAAGTTAAAGTGGGGATCAAGTAACTTTTGAGAGCCACAGACAGTGCTTGATTATAGTTTGCTGACTTTCTGTGTGCTGCTCATGGCTTCATGCGAGGGACTAAGCAGTGTGATCAACACTTCATTTCATCGGTCTCCTTGTTTATGCATGGCCTTATCACATGTGGACCTAGAGGAGGTTATTAACAAGATGTAAATTAATGTAAGTACCATATAGCTGCAATCCCTCTATCTCAAAACATTTCCACCAATTTCTTGCATAGATGATTGAAATCCCCTCATCAGAGGCAGTTTCCTGAGGTCTGCAAGAATTATCTTAAAATACCCTAAAGTAGGGGGATATATTGAGCTAGACTTTCATTCAGTCAGGGGGATTTTGTAAAAGCAGCAGAAATGGCAAACCTAAGTCCATGTCTCAGGGGCAGACCTGGATGCTGAGTGGAAACAGCCCTTGGCAGAGGAGTTGCCATTAAGTTCTCAACTCTACAGCTGAGGAGTTGGGGCATAGGGTATTCTGCATTCTGTAAACCTTGCAGTTGGATTAAAGACCTGAAAAGAAGCTAATTTTGACATGCTGTGCCACAGTGCACTCTGGGTCTCTTCAGGAAAACTGAGCAGGTCAGCAATAGGAGATGGTGTCTCTTAGAAGGAGGTAGCCTGAAGGAGGGTGGGGACATGAACCAGTTAAGTCATAAACAACATCAGAGTGGCTCAGCATCACTCATGGCATGCAAGTTTACTCTATTAGGCAAGAGAGAAAGTCATACTGCTGTCATGGAATAAAGCAAAAGGGCTTTGAAATGGAAGAGGAAGGAAGGAAAAAAACACACAGGCACTCTGGGAACAGTGAGTTGGTTTTCTTTTCTCCAATGTGCTGATTTTCTGGAAATTAACCAGAGGCCAGCCTCTGCAGTCTGCACTGATACATGTTGAGGAAGTCATTAGAGAAAATAATTTTGGATGAGGGTGGATCCTCTGAGAGCCTTGGAGGTTTATTCACACAGCACCACACATAGCAGAGTTACTGTGTGCAGTGTCTCTCAGGGTTTGTCCCCTGGCCCTGACATTCAGTTGATCTAGGATTTCACCTGCATCACCTCACCAGTATTTCTCAACAGTAATGCGATCAAACAGAAAGAATGGAAGAAATGGAGGGGAGAAAGGGCCCTCATCCCCTCACCTGACAGTGACCTCTCTGCCTGTGGCCTTAGTCCTAAGTGTCCTTCATTCTTGCTGGACAAGAAGAAGGCTATGTTTGAGTTGGGTTAAACTTGATGCTGTGGATATCTAAGGAGTGGTGTATTTGCTGAGGAGACAGAATGGTACAAAATTCTAAATATCAGTGCCATGGCTCAAAGCCCTGAGCCCATTCCATGGCATCGGATGTGGGAAACATCATTGTTTAAGAATGTTTTATTTTTATATTTTTATTTTTTGAGATGGAGTCTTGCTTTGTTGCCCAGGCTGGAGTACAATGGTGCAATCTCAGCTCACTGAAACCTTCGCCTCCTGGGTTCAAGCGATCCTCCCTCCTCAGCCTCCCAAGTAGCTGGGATTATAAGAGTGCACCACCACGCCTAGATAATTTTTGTATTTTTGGTAGAGATGGGGTTTTGCCATGTTGGCCAGGCTGGTCTCGAACTCCTGGCCTCAAGTGATCTGCTAGCCTTGGCCTTCCAAAGTGCTGGAATTACAGTCATGAGCCACCATGCCCAGCATCTAAGAACTTTCCCTAAACAAACTAATTGTAGTCATTCCTCAGTATCCATGGGGATTGGACCCAGGACCCCCATAGATACCAAGATCCATGGATGCTCAAGTCATGGATATAAGACGGAATAATATTTGCATATGATCCAAGCACATCTTCTGCTACACTTTAATGCATCTCTAGATTGCTTTTAATACCTGATATAATGTAAATGCTATTTAAATAGTACCTATATTGTATTGTTTAAGGAATAATGACAATAAAAAAATCTGTACATGTTCAGTACAGATGTAACCATCCATTTTTTTTTCAAATATTTTTGATCTGTGGCTGGTTGAATTCACAACAAGGAACCCACCGACAGGGAAGGCCAGCTGTACAGCCCAAATGATCCTAAATTACTTAGACCTCTTATATGGTTTGGCTCTGTGTCCCCACCCAAATCTCATCTTGCACTGTACTCCCATAATTCCCATGTGTTGTGGGAGGGACTTGGTGGGAGATAACTGAATCATGGGGGTAGTTTCTCCCATATAGTTTTCGTGATAGTGGATAAGTCTCACAAGATCTGATGGTTTTATCAGAGGTTTCTGCTTTTGCATCTTCCTCATTTTCTTTTTGTCTGCTGTCATCCATGTAAGACAGGACTTGCTCCTCCTTGCCTTCTGCTGTGATTGTGAGGCTTTGCCAGCCGCATGGAACTGTAAGTCCCATTAAACCTCTTTCTTTTGTAAATTGCCCAGGCTCGGGTATGTCTTTATCAGCAGCACGAAAATGGACTACTAATATATTCATCAGTTTTCACACTGCTGGTAAAGACACACTTGTGACTGGGAAGAAAAAGAGGTTTAATTGGACTTACAGTTCTACATGGTTGGGGAGGCCTCAGAATCATGGTGGAGGTTGAAGGCACTTCTTACATGGCGGTGACAAGAGAAAATGAGGAAGCAAAAGCTGAAACCCCTGACAAACCCATTAGATCTTGTGAGACTTATTCACTATCACAAGAATAGCACAGGGAAAGATTGGCCTCCATTATTTAATTACCTCCCCTTGGGTTCCTCCCACAACGCATGGGGTTACTGGGAGATATAATTCAAGTTGAGATTTGAATGGGGACACAGCCAAACCTAATCATTCTGCCCTTGGCTCCTCCAAATCTCATGTCCTCACATTTCAAAACCAATCATGCCTTCCCAACAGTCCCCCAAAGTCTTAACTCATTTCAGCATTAACCCAAAAGTCCACAGTCCAAAGTCTTATCTGAGACAAGGCAAGTCCCTTCCACCTATGAGCCGGTAAAATCAAAAGCGAGCTAATTACTTCCTAGATACAATGGGGGTACAGGTATTGGGTAAATACAGCTATTCCCAATGGGAGAAATTAGCCAAAATGAAGGGGTTACAGGGCCCATACAAGTCTGAAATCCAGCAGGGCAGTCAAATTTTAAAGCTCCAAAATGATCTCCTTTGACTCCAGATCTCATATCCAGGTCATGCTAATGCAAAAGGTGGGTTCCCATGGTCTTGGGCAGCTCTACCCCTGTGGCGTTGCAGGGTTCAACCTCCCTCCTGGCTGCTTTCATGGGCTGGCATTGAGTGTCTGTGGCTTTTCCAGGCTCACGGTGCAAACTGTCGGTGGATCTACTACTCTGGGGTCTGGAGGATGATGGCCCTCTTGTCACAGCTCCACTAGGCAGTGCCCCAGTAGGGACTCTGTGTGGGGGCTCCAATCCCACATTCCCCTTCAGCACTGCCCTAGCAGATGTTCTCAATGAGGACCCAGCCCCTGCAGCAAACTTTTGCCTGGGCTTCCAGGCATTTCCATACATCTTCCGAAATCTAAGCAGAGGTTCCCAAATCTTAATTCTTGACTTCTGCACATCTACAGGCTCAACGCCTGATGGAAGCTGCCAAAGCTTGGGGATTCTACCCTCTGAAGCCACAGCCCAAAGTATATGTTGGCCCCTTTCAGCCAAGTCTGGAGTGGCTGGGACACATGGCACCAAGTCCCTGGCTGAACACAACACAGGGACCCTGGGCCCAGCCCACAAAACCACTTTTTCCTCCTGGGCCTCTGGGCCTATGATGGGAGGGGGCTGCCATAAAGGTCTCTGACATGGCCTGGATACATTTTCCCCAGGGTCTTGGGGATTAACATTAGGCTCCTTGCTGCTTAAGCAAAATTCTTCAGCCAGCTTGAATTTCTTTGCAGAAAATGGGTTTTTCTTTTCTACTGCATTGTCAAGCTGCAAATTTTCTGAACCTTTACACTTTGTTTCCCTTTTAAAATAAAACGCTTTTTAACAGCACCCAAGTCACATTTTGAATGCTTTCCTGCTAAGAAATTTCTTCCACCAGATACCCTAAATCATCTCTCTCAAGTTCAAATTTCCACAAATCTCTAGGGCAGGGGCAAAATTCCATCAGTCTCTTTGCTAAAACATAACAAGAGTCACCTTTGCTCTAGTTTCCAACAAGTTCCTCATCACCATCTGAGACCACCTCAGCCTGGAGCTTATTGTTCCTATCACTATCAGCATTTTTGTCAAAGCCACTCAACAAATCTCTAGGAGGTTCCAACCTTTCCCACATTTTCCTGTTTTCTTCTGATCCCTCCAAACTGTTCCAACTCTGCCTGTTACTGAGTTCCAAAGTCGCTTCCACATTTTCAGGTATCTTTTCAGCAATACCCCACTCTACTGGTACCAATCTACTGTATTAGTCCATTTTCATGCTGCTGATAAAGGCATAACCGAGACTGGGAAGAAAAGAGATTTAATTGGACTTACAGTTCCACATGGCTGGAGAGGTCTCAGAATCATGGCGGGAGGCAAAAGGCACTTCTTACATGGTGGTGGCAAGAAAAAATGAGGAGGAAGCAAAAGCAGAAACCTCTAATAACCCCATCAGATCTTGTGAGACTTATTCACTATCACGAGAGCAGTATGAGAAAGACTAGCCCCCATAATTTAATTAACTCCTCCTGGATCCCTCCCATAACACATGAGAATTCTGGGAGATACAGTTCAGGTTGAGATTTGAATGGGGAAACAGCCAAACTATATCATACAGCCTCCCATATCTGCAGCTGAAAAAGGACACGTAACCTGAAGAAACAATAGTACAAACAAACAGCTTACACTACAACTATTTATTTCAATTTCCTCCTAAGAATCAGAAAATCCAGTTCCAAACTCTTTTTCCCTTCTTGGTCATGACCACTTGGAAAAGATATTTAACTTTTTCCTTCTTCTCCTTCCAATCTATTATTCTTAGGAAATAGGAATAATATTAGCTCAGATGGATATTATAGTCAATAAGTAAAACAAGCTATTTGAACAATTGGTAACACCATTTGGTTTGGGGTCTTTTTGTTGTTGTTCTTTCTCTTTCTGGTAAATAATTGCAATGATGAATGTATAGATAATTATTGCCTATACTACTAATTAAGATTGTGGTGGTCAAGAGTTACTCACTATTCATTCAAAAATGCTGAGAGAAAAAAAAAACTTCCACACAAATTACCCAAGTCTATAGCTCCTGAGGGCCAATTACCTAGGGAGGTATGAGGAAAATAATACAGCCTTGGGATCAGTTGTTGAGCCAGAAAATCAACGGGCTCTGGCACCAGGGCTAAGATATTTGGAGCATTATCTCCAGAAATCCATCCACACACCAATACACAGATTCATATTGGGTCAGCTGACTTAAACAATGGATAGAAATGATTACAAAACCAAAATATAGGGGGGGGGGATGAACATAGAGAGATGATGAAGAAAGAGAGAGGAAAAAAAAAAGCTAAACAAAACCCCCCACAAAACCCCAAATTCCCATTCAAAACTAGTTTGCAGAATAATATTACAAAACACACAAAATCCAATGTTAAAGCAGGCTGACATAGTCAGTAATTTGATTACAAATATATTTTAGTCAGATAAAATATGTTTGAGGTGTTCAAAAATATAGGTTATAACTTCCATTTTTAAAAAGGACACAAAATCAGGCAAAAATTAAATACAAAAGCAAGGATAGGAAAACATAATTCAAGGGGAAAAAGCCAGTGAAATAAAATACACGATAGAGAGGAAAGCAGTAGACTTCCAAAACACAGTTGGAGAGAAAAGTGGTGAATTGATAGATGTCACTGATGAAGTCATTCAAAACCTAGCAGAGAGGCAAACAGAGAGAAATTTAAAATACCACTTAAATGATATGGAAAGATAGTTTCAGAGGCTGAAATGGGCATCAAATACTGTCAGCAGAGAATAGAAGAGAAACAAGAATTGAAGAGATCATGGCTAAAACATTTCCAGAATTTAACATAGAAGGGGAGTTGTACGTAAGAAATGGTGGCCACAGAAATTGATAAATGATCAGAAAAACAAATCCAGTTATGCCTTAGGTATACAGACACATAACATATACACACTATGACCAAATAAGGTATATTCCAGCAATGCAATAATAGTTTAACATTATAAAAATGCACTGACATAATTCACTATATCACATTTTAAATTATATATTCATTTTAACGGATGTATAAAAATAATTTGAGAAAATAAAATTCTCATCTATGGTTTAAGTAATAAGTGTTGAAAAGTTAGAAGAATTTTATTTGCAGTCCAAAATACCAAGGCTCCCTATTACCATTTCTAGTCAATACCATTGAGAAGCCCAAGCCAATGAAATAAGAAAAGTAAACTTAACAAAAAATGGAAAAGAAATAGATTAAAAACTCTTTTACTTAAGGATGACATTAATTGCCTCTGGAGAAAACAAAATAATCTAGAAACAATTACAATTAAAAACAACATTCAATAAGATTTCTAGATATAAAATTTATATATCAAATATTCAATAGGCCAGTAAAACCCAAATAGAAAACATAAAAATTGAAAATTTAAAAGGGAAAAAAAAGAACAAAAGAAAGGACAGCAAACTTCTACTTGTGATAGCAACAAGAATTATAATGCACACAGAAATCAACCTACCAAAATATACTAAAAACATCTATGAAAAAATGTTCCAAAGTTATTTGAAGGGCATTAAGTACTGGGATAGAGAAGGTAATTAAGTTGTCATATTAACTGCCACTAATTTAATGCCAGGAAAAGAGATGACACAACTCCTACAATTTTCAGGAGGATCCCTAACAAAAAGTTATCACCCCACTCAAACTGCAATATCTTGACTCTATTGAGAAACACTGATCTAAATAAATGCAAAAATAACTCACATCCATTAATGCAAATAATAAAGAAGACTCAATATCCTAAAGATGCAAATTTTCTCCAAGTTAATCTTATCTCAATTCAAAGAAGGGGAAAAGTTTTTATGCCATGTTTTGTCATAGAAGTGATTTACTAAGGCTTCTCGTTTCATTATTATTTCCTTATTTCTTATTTAACAGCTTGTATCAGTCCCTTCTTACATTACTGTGAGGACATAAGTGAGACTGGGTAACTTATAATGAAAAAAATTTAATTGACTCATAGTTCTGCATGGCTGGGAAGGCCTCATGAAGGGGTTTACAGTTGTGGCAGAAATGGAAACAAACACTTCTTTCTTCACATGGTAGCAGGAGAGAGAAGTGCCAAGGAAAGGAGGAAAAGCCCCTTATAAAACCAGGAGATCTTGTGAGAAGTCACACACGATCATGAAAACAGGAGCGTGGGGGTAAGCACCCCCATAATTCAATTACTTCCTACCAGATCCCTTGCTGGACAAGTAGGGATCATGGGAACTACGATTCAAGATGAGATTTGGGTGGGGATGCAGCCAAACCAGATCATTCCACGCTTTTCCCCTCCCAAATCTCGTGTACTCACCTTTCAAAACACAATAATGGCTTTCCAACAGTCCCCCAAAGTCTTAACTCATTCCAGCTTTAATCCAAAAGTCCAGTCCAAGGCCTCATCTGAGACAAGGCAAGTCTCTTTCACCTATGAGCCTGTAAAATCAAAAGAAAGTTAGTTACTTCCTAGATACCACGGGGGTACAGGCATTGGGTAAATTCACCCATTCCAAATGGGAGAAATTGGCCAAAACAAAGGGATTACAGGGCCCATGCAAGTCTGAAATTTAACAGGGCAGTCATTAAATTTTAAAGGTCCAAAATGTTCTCCTTTGACTCCATGTCTCACATCCAGGTAATGCTGATGTAAGAGGTGGGCTCCCAAGGCATTGGGAAGCTCTGTCTCTGTGGCTTTGCAGGGTACAGCCCCCCTCCTAGCTGCTTTCGTGGGCTGGCATTAAGTGCCTATGGCTTCTTTAGGTGCACAGTGCAAGTTGTCAGTGGATCTCCCATTCTGGGGTCTGAAGGATAGTGGCCCTCCATTTACAGGTCCACTAGGTAGTGCCCCAGTGGGAACTCTGTGTGTGGGCTCTGACCCCACATTTCCCTGCCACACTGCCTTAGCAGAGGCTCTCCATGAAGGCTTTGTCCCTGCCACAAACTTCTGCCTGAACACCCAGGCATTTCCATATCCTCTGAAATGTAGGCGGAGATTCTGAAACCTCAATTCTTGACTTCTCTGCAACCACAGGCTGAACACCACATGGAAGCTGCCAAGGCTTGGGGCTTGAACCCTCTGAAGCCACAGACTGAGCTGTACCTTGGCCCCTTTTAACCATGGCTGGAGTGGCTGGGATGCAGGGCACCAAGTCCCTAGGGTACATACAGAAGGGGGCCCTTGGGCCTGCCCAGGAAACCATTTTTCCCTCCTAGCCCTCTGGGCCTGTGGTGCGAGGGACTGCTCAGAAGGTCTCTGACATGCCCTGGAGACATTTTCCCCATTGTCTTGGTGATTAACATTAGGCTCTTTGTTACTTATGCAAATTTCTGCAGTAGGCTTCAATTTCTCCCCAGAAAATGGGTTTTTCTTTTCTATCACATTGCCAGGCTACAAACTTTTCAAACTTTTATGCTCTGTTTCCTCTTGAACACTTTGCCACTGAGAATTTATTCTACCAGTTATCCTAAATCATCTCTGTCAAGTTCAAAGTTCCACAGATCTCAGGGCAGGAG
Source organism: Homo sapiens (assembly GCF_000001405.40). Lineage (NCBI taxonomy): Eukaryota > Metazoa > Chordata > Mammalia > Primates > Hominidae > Homo > Homo sapiens. The sequence continues at coordinate 138,016,725 of NC_000008.11, read as the reverse complement.
CAAAATGCCACTAGTCTCTGAATAGCAAGAGTGACCTTTGCTCCAGTTCCCAAGAAGTTCCTCATCTCCATCTGAGACCACTTTAGCCTAGACTTTATTATCCATATCAATATCAGCACTTTGGTCAAAGTCATTCAATAAGTCCCTAGGAAGTTCCAAACTTTTCCACATTTTCTTGTTTTCTTCTGAGCCCTCCAAACTGTTCCAATTTCTGCTTGTTACCCAGTTCCAAAGTCACTTCCACATGTTTGAGTAACCTTACAGCAGTGCCCCACTCCCTTGGTACCAATTTACTGTATTAGTACATTCTCATGCTGCTATAAGGACATACCTGAGACTGGATAACTTCTAAAGAAAAGAGGTTTAATTGATTCATAATTCCACATGGCTGGGAAGGCCTTGGGAAACTTACAATCATGGTGGGAGGGGAAGCAATCATGCCCTTCTTTACATGGCAGAAGGAAAGAGAAGTGCCAAGCAAAGGGGGAAAAGCCCCTAATAAAACCATCAAATCTCGTGAGAACTCACTCACTATCACGAGAAAAGCAGCATGGGTGTAACTGCCTCCATGATTCAGTTACCTTCCACCAAGTCCCTCCCAAGACATCTGGGGATTATGGGAACTACAATTCAAGATGAGATTTGGGTGGGGACACAGCCAAACCATATTGCAGCTTTATCATAAAAGGGATTTTCTTTTGTAATTCAATGCTAAAATACCAAAGAATGGAGAAGGGTGGATATTTGTTCAAGATGTCTAAGTTGGTATCTGAATGCAGTCAACCTTGCAGATGTATATAATAATGCAAATGGCTTAAGGCTATCAGTTAGGTTTTGATAGTTGCATAGTCAGATTGCTTTCTGGTCCATCAATTACTTGTATGACTAGTTATTCTCACATAGGAGACTTTGGTTTGTTTTAATTTAATTACAAAAAGCTCTATACATATTTGCTATTTAAACACTAATGTAATAAGAAAACCGGGTACCTTATTTTTTCAAGCACATAGGAAAACATTAAAAAAACACACTAGAAAGTTTTAATTTGTTTCGTACGATTTAAGTAGGAGGAAAAGACAGCCGATTTATTTTAACAGATTATTATATTCCAATGGTCTAGCACAGTTTTGTATGCATATGGGCACAAAGAACACTGAATCTTGCAGATTTTAGTGTAAAATAATTGCTTTCAAAAAACTTAATAAATGGTAAGAAGTCACTGGAAATAAAATATTTGGGTAACAAGATGATTATTTGCAAGACATTATGCCCTTTTTGCTGCCTTTCCTCGTTTTCATCTATGCTGGCTTCATTTCTGTGCCCTCTCCAGCTGGGAAAATGAAGGGGTTAGATTTTACAGACAAATGAGGTACAGAGAACAAGAGTAGAGAAATTGATTGAAGATATAATGTGCCCAATACTCAACATATATTATATTATTTTGTTTTCTCAACTGCTTCAGGTAGGCATTATTATTCCTTTTAGTGGTTGAGGAAATTCTATCCACCAACTTCTAGCTAATGAAAGACTTAGCCACAATTTGAAACCATTCTTAGTATTGGTATTCAAATCCACACCCATTTATTCCACTTAGGCATATTAGAAGATCCATTGGTTCCTGAATGTGAGGATGTGGTTAGTTCCACTAGCCTGTCTCTTCCTGAATTATCTGAATTTGCAGATTTCAATTACCAGAGACTGCAAAATAAGATTGTATTTCCTTTTCTGTTTGAGTTTCAATTGCTTGAAGGCAGCAGTGCAGTTCTTTTATCAATATTTCCAAGTGTTACTGAGCCCTCACAGTGCTTGTATATTCCAAACAGCTATCCTGACTGCTCCTCATTGCCCTGGTCAGTAGTTCGACATAAAGTTACAGATCTTGGATCCAGCTGGGACAATTCGCTGCTTACAGAGCTTGCTCTGTAACTCCACTCAGGTTGCGCCTGTTCTCTGCTGCACACATCAGCATGGGCACAGGTACTTGACTTATTTTTCCAGTTTTATTTAAGAACAGGACACAAACTCACACTCTGAGTACTTACTTGGATATAACCAAAATGGATGTTAACCCAAAGTAGAGAGTGAACTAAATATAGCTGTTCTCAAGTCCACAAGCCCAAGCTCCTTCATGGACATCTTTGCCCTGATTGCTGCTGTTTTACTTTTGCCAAAGTCAGTCTCCCAATCTGGCCCCTGCTCCAAAGCAGACGAGCCAGCTCATATCCGCAAGGTAGGAATCCTCTTAAGTATGCTTCTGTCACCTAGAAGTCAATCCAAATATTCCTAAAGTCTGGAAAGATTAATCAGGCCCCCACTCACCTACTGCTATATCTAAAGGGCAACTGCACTCCATTTTCTTCCAGATCTGCATTTTTCTCCGAATAATTGAGAGTGACAATGCAGCTCTCTTCAGGGAATTCCATTTTCAGCCCTTAGAAGCCTGGGCGCTGGCCCTAGACCCTTAATAAGAAAGCTGTATCCCATTGCAGTGATCTGTCCACTGGTATCATGATTAGAGTTTAGGTTATTGAATATAGAATGAGATCACATTTAGTTCAGAAGCAATCTATTTCCTTTCTTTTCTTTCGACAATATAGCTTCCTTTTGTTTTTCACAGCCACTTTTCCATGTTGAGTAAAGATCAGGTCCACTTTTCTCTCTTGCTGTCTGCAGGGTTCCCACTGTCAATCACTTGTGAACAACTACTTAAGAAAAAGAAAAAAATAAGAGTGTAAAACCAAAGTACAATCTAAATGTAGACTAAGGAAAGTGTCATTTTAATTAAAATATCCTGTGAATATGCACCTCTGTTAAAGGCTGCAAAGTGAACATCTTTACTATTGAAGATAATAGTTTAGTTCCATGATTCCAGAGCAACTTAATCCTGTTCCTTCCTAAAGAGGTCCCTTGCTCTTTGGTCAGCTTAGTTGATTTTCTTAATCAGAAGGGATAGCTGAATTTAAAGGGGAAGTAAGAACTGTCACTCTTGTCAAGAAAATTGCTCTATGAACAATTTTAGAGAATTTCTTTTTTCCTTTTTGAGACAAGGTCTCATTCTGTCACCCAGATGGGAGTGTAGTGATGCAATCACAGCTCACTGCAACCTCGACCTCCCAGGCTCAAGTAATCCTCCCACCTCAGCCTCCTGAGTATCTGGGACTAAACGCATGTGCCACGGTGCCCGGCTATGTTTTTGTATTTTTTGTAGAGATGTGGTTTTGCCATGTTGCCTAGGCTGGTCTCGAACTCCTGGGCTCAAGCCGTCCTCCTGCCTTGACCTCCCAAAGTGCTGGGATTAAAGGCATAAGCAACCATGCCTGACCAACAATTTTTAAGTTAATTAATTCATTCTACAAATATTAATTGAGTCCATGCCTATTATGTGTGACAGATAGTGAAAGTAAAAGCCAAGTCCCCTATGCCTAGAAGCTTACATTCTAATAAGAAAAAAAAATTAAAAGAGCGCACTATGTCCAACAATTTCACTCTTCCAATATGTTCATGAAGAACGCAAAGCAGGTACTCAAACAAATACTTGTACATGAATATTCATGGCAACGCTGTTAACAATATCCAAAAGTGTAGACATTACCAAATGCCCATGAGATGAATGGGTAAATACAATGTGTTATATCCATATAATTAAATATCATCTGGACATAAGAAGAATGCAATATTGATAAATGCTACAGCATGAATGAATCTTGAAACATTATGCTCAGTGAAAGCAGGCAGAGGCAAAACTTTATATATTGTGTGATTAAATTTTTATGAAATATTGAGAACAGATCAATTTATAAAGGCAGAAAGCAGAGTTCTGGTTGCTAGGGGCTGGTACAGCAGAGAATGGGGAGTGACTGCTTAATTGGTAATGGAATTTTCTTTTGGAGCAGTGGAAATATTTTGGCACTTGATAGAGGTGGTGATTATAGAACATTGTGAATTTACTAAATACTGCTGAATTTTGTACCATAACATGGTTAATGTTATGGTATGTGAACTGTACCTCAATTAGTAGAAAAAATACACACGTGCTGTGATTGCTACAAAACAAATCACCGCTTGTTTGGTAGCAATCACGTGTGGTTTTTTTTTCCTAATGCTTGAGGTTAGGGAAGGCCTGTCTGAAGGGGTAGCATTTCAGCTAAGATGGGAATGATTAGAAGAATCAAATCATTGGAAGATTTGGGGAAAGACCTTTCTAAACATGGAATTTTCAGTGCAGAGTCATTAGGGAGGAAAGGGAGACACCCAGTGTGGCTAAGGCCAGGACAGCAAAAGGGAGGGTAGTGCGTGATGAGGCTAAGAGGAGAACCATTGGGTGCTTTCTGATCCCAAAGTTTGGCTTTTATTCTAAATAAATAGAAATTTAAGCCAAAAAGTTGTGTATATTTGATACTGACTGTAAGGTGCATTTTAGAGTTGTTACAACATTAAATAACGTGTTTACTGGAAAATTGAATACAATGTTTTTAAAAGACTATTCTGTTCTTTGTAGAGAAAAGAATGGGGGAGATTGTGCAAAAATAAAAGCAAGAAGAGTTAATATACACTCCTGGACTGACCCCATAATCACAGCAGTGTTGGTCTAGAATGTGGCTAATGGAGGAGGGTGGACCACAACCCTCTCCGTGGGAGGAACTGTCTCTGTCCATCTGCATTCACTGTGATCTGCACATTGACTGGTGGACTGACAGGGTAATAGCACAGCTGTCAATTTTATTATGATTTCGATCGAACAGAATAAACACAACAATAAACCTGTCCGAATAGACTCAGAACAACTATATGATGATCTTGAAATGAGGTAGGGCGGGAGTGAGCCTGCAGATAAAACCACAAATGCTTTCAATAATCTAAAGTACAGAGGGTTACCATTTAAGACCTTTATCATTTCTTTTTTATGTCCCACATCTTTGCCTTTCACTTTTAACTTTACTTAAGCCACGGGGCCCCCTTCTACTACCACCACCTATCCTGCTTATCTTTCCTTGTACTATTTGTAGATTTTCTTTCAAATCATTAATGAAAGGTTAACTTTAAGGCTATATGTCAGCTTTGGATTTAGAAGGGTAGTCATTTCAACTGCTCTTTGTTCTTTAAAATTAACAACTCAGTCTTGACCATGAGAATTTTAGTCAATTTCATGGCCATGGGAATGAACAAAAAATGATGTGACAAGAACACAGGAAAGAAGTCTATAATACTCCATCCAAGTTAATAGAAGTCATCTCTGCTATCTGCTACTTGGCAAAAATACCAGTGTTGTGCCATGAAGAACACAATTAACATCTTAGGTTGTAATGAACATAATTTTTTTGAGTACATACCCAAAGAGTAAAATTTTCTGCCCTTTGCTGATAGAACTTATCTTTTAAATGTAGTTTATGGCTCCAGACATGTGCTCAGACATCTTATTGTAATTAAGAAACTCAACTCCTCCTTATTCTACTTTGAGAATAAAATCAAGTACTGAAATGTGAAATATAATGCACATGACATAGAAATGGACATTTTAAAAGGTGATTATGCCCTATAAAATTGTGCTCCAGAAGATAATTTATAGTCATTGAGCACCTATTACTTGCAAAATAATTTGTGTGTGGCATATTATTAATTTTGACAACAAAATTCTAAAATAGTTCTCACAATGCCAGTTTTGCAATTGTGGAAACTGAGGTTCAGGGACACTAACTGATTTTTCAAGTCTCACTGAGAGTAAATAAGAACAGAGGAATTGAGATTTTGGTCTGTGCAAATCCCAAGTCTTAGAGTTTCTTGTGAGATACCTTTTCTCTCTCTCCTTTTGATACATATAGCTATGGACTGAATTGTGTGCCCCAAATTCCATATGCTGAAGCCCGAACTACCAATGTGACTATATTTAGAGATAGGGACTTTTTAAAGAGGTAATTAAAGTTGGATGAAGTAATAAGGGTGAGATTCCAGTTCAATAGGATTGGTGTCCTTACAAGAAGAGGAAGAACGCTAGAGCTCTAACTGCATACACACAGAAGAAAGGCTTTGTGGAGGACACAGCAAATACGTGGCTGTCTCTAAGACAGGAGGACAGCCCTCACCCTAACCCAATCTGCTGGACCTTGATCTTGGACTTCTAGCCTCTAGGACAGTGAGGAATAAATGTCTGTTGTTTAAGCCACGCAGTCTGTTTTATTTTGTTATGGCAACACTAACAGTCTCATACATATATAGAACTCTCTTTTCTGCCCCAGACGTCAAAAACCAAGGATTGCTCAAAAGTTCCATGAACAACTCCTTCAGATATCGGAAAATACTTGATTACTATTCATTGAGTTAGTTAATGTATTACTATTTAAGCTACAGAAATATAATTTTTAGCAGTCTTTTAAAAATTTTGTGTCCAAAGCAGGAAGAAAAAATGATTTTACTGAATAACTCTACAGTGCATTATACTTTTACTTTTGTCTTTTGATTTTCACCATTGCCTTGAAAATTAGCTAAAATTTATCTCCACTTTGCAAGTTTGGTAAGTGAGGTTTGGAGAGCTTCAGTTACAAGCTGGCGGCTCCTGACTCCAAGTCCTGATATTATTACGCCCCCAAGGCTTCCTGCATATACCTTCTCAGGGGAGCTGGGATACCACTCAATGTTTCTCATGTAGGCCCACAATAATGATGAGAAAAGGGAGATTAATTTCCAAAATGGTTTGATGACTTCCTGCCATGAGAGTCTTAAATCTGTTGTTCAGCTATGGGTGTCTGATGATGGCACCACTAATCTTTATTTCTAGCATTCCCTTTCCTGCTCTTGTTCTCTAAAAATGAGTGTTCTGAAGCTCATAAGAATTCTCAGATAATATTAAATTCTTAAGTGAACTTCTCAGACTTTTTTGTAGTTTCCCCAATTTAAATCTGATACTGAATAGATGTAGCTCTATTAAGGATAACTTCACTCTATTTTAGTAAAAGAATAATAAACAAACATAGAGCATATCCTATGTATAAAACCTTGCATAATCGTCTGTGATGCTTAGTTATTAATACATGAGTAGACATACATATTTATAAGTATGTGTAAGCTACTAGTATATTGTATGTTAAATAATAATTACCATCAGAGTATTCAGAGTTTATTCCTGAATCTGCTATGAAGTAAATTGATTTACATAAATGTATTGAATCATCTTGATATTCTCTGTGTCTTATATAGTTCCTGATATACAGTTCACAATTAATAATGTCTGTTGGGGATTTTGTTTTTAATCTGTAAAATGGGAATGGTAAGAGCTGCAAAGTTTTAAAAGAGTGAAATAAGACAATACATGAGAAATGTAAACTACTCCTACTCTAAGGCATATATTTATAATTGCTTTTCTTAAAATAGATTATGTGATTAAAATATAAAACATTAAAAAGAAAGAAGTGAAAATCTCATTAAAAACAAAAAGCAAGATTTTCCCTACCTAGTATTGGAATATGGGGCACCAGGGCTCAAAGTTATTACTACATAATGAACAAGATTTATTGTAAAGGAAACCTCGATTAACATTAGATTATTGGATGACTGGTTTGTAGGCACTAAAATTAGATATGATATTATAAATGATTCACATATAGAATACCTGATTCCTTTAAAAAAAAAATGTTTGTAGAGCCTTTGGGGACTAGTAGCAGTTGTTTTTGTGTAGATTGTTGGGACAGTAGGTTGATGAGGTTGGTTGTGGTCAGGCAGAGGGAGGTCTTAAGTGCCATGTTCAGGACCTTGGACTAACGCTGTATTTAAAGGGGGAATTAGTGGAAAATTTTAAGCAGAGCCCTGATTGCCTGCTTTTTTTTTTTTTTTTTTTTTTTTTTGTTGGTGTTGTTGTTGTTGTTGTTTTGACAGAGGCTTGCTCTATCCCCCAGGCTGGAGTGCAGTGGCAAGATGTCAGCTCACTGCAACCTCCACCTCCTGGGTTCAAGCAATTCTCATGCCTCAGCCTCCTGAGTAGCTGGGATTACAGGTGCCCACCACCATGCCTGGCTAATTTTTGTATTTTTGCTAGAGATAGGTTTTTGCCATGTTGAACAGGCTGGTCTCGAGCTCCTGACCTCAGGTGATCCACCCACCTTGGCCTCCCAAAATGCTGGGATTACAGACATGAGCCACCACTCCTGTTTTGCTATCTGAAGGAGAGGGGAAAGCTTCTCTTTTGCCATGTCAAACTCCATTTCAAAAAATGAAGATGATGTAAGAAATGGAGAGTAGAATTTACAGTGCTATGCTGGGGACCTGCAGCAGATTGAAAGCACTCAGGGCCTGAGGAGGAAGAATGGACTCCAGAGAATAGGGCACTGAAAAAAGACTGAACAGATACCAAAGATAGTGCCCCTGCTCTCTTCAGGAAGGTAGATTCCTAAGAAGAAATGCTGATACATTATGAGTTTCCTCAATGAAACATGTATTAGTCAGTTCTCATGCTACTATAAAAAACTGCTCAAGACTGGGTAATTTACAAAGTAAAGGAGTTTAACTGACTCACAATTCCATAGGGCTGGGGAGGCCTCAAGAAACTTACAATTATGGCAGAAGGGGAAGCAAACACATTCTTCTTCACATGGCGGCAGGAAGGAGAAGTGCTGAGCAAGGTGGAAAATGACCTTTATAAAACCATCAGATCTCATGAGAACTTAGTCACTATCACAAGAATAGCATGAGGGTAACTGCCCCCATGATTCAATTATCTCCCACTGGGTCCCTTCCACGACACTTGGGGATTATGGGAACTACAATTCAAGATGAGATTTGGGTGAGAACAGAGCTACTCCATATCATTCCACCTCAGGCACCTCCCAAATCTCATGTCCTCACATTTTAAAGCAAAATTATGCCTTTCCAACACTCCCCCAAAATCTTAACTCAAAATCTCAAGTCCAAAGTCTCATCTGAGACCAGGCAAGTTCCTTCCACCTATAAGCCTGCAAAAACAAAAGCCAGTTACTTACTTCCTAGATACAGTGGGAGTACAGACACTGGGTAAATACACCCATTCCAAATGGGAGAAATTGGCCAAAACCAAGCAGTTATAGGCCCCATGCAAGTTCAGAGTCCAACAGGGCAGTCATTAAACCTTAAAGTTCCAAAATGATCTCCTTTGACTCCATGTCTCACATCCAAATCACACTAATTCAAGAAGTGGGCTTCCACAGCCTTTGGCAGCTATGCCTCTGTGGCTTTGCAGGATACAGCCACATTCCCAGCTGCTTTCATGGGCTGGTGTTGAGTGTCTTTTCAGGTGCATGGTGCAAACTGTTGGTGGATCTTCCATTCTGGGGACTGGAGAATGCTGGCACTCTTCTCACAGCTCCACTAAGCAGTGCTCCAGTGGGGACTCTGTGTGGGGGCTTCAATTCCACACTTCCCAACCTCACTGCCCTAGTAGAGATTCTCCATGAGGACTTTGCCCCTGCAGCAAACTTCTTCCTGGACATCCAGGCATTTCTATGCATCCTCTGAAATCTAGGCAGAGGCTCCTAAACCTCAATTCTTGACTTCTGTGCACCTGCAGGCCCAGTACCACATGTAAGCCACCAAGGGTTGGGGCTTGCACACTCTAAAGCAATGAGCTGAGCTGTATATTGACCCCTTTTAGCCGCAGCTGGGATGCAGGGCATCAAGTCCTGAGAATACACAAAGCAGCAAGGCCCTGGGCCTGGCCCATGTAACCATTTTTTCCTCCTAGGACTCAGGTCTGTGATGGGAGGGGCTTCCACAAAGGTCTCTGATATGCCCTGGAGACATTTTCCCTTTTGTATTTGTGTTTAACATTGGGCTCCTTGTTACTTATGCAAATTTCTACAGCAAGCTTGAATTTTTCTACAGAAAATAGGATTTTCTTTTCTCTAGCATCATCAGGCTGCAAATTTTCCAAACTTTTATGCTCTGCTTTCTCTTGAACTTCTTGCTGCTTAGAAATGTCATCTGCCAGATACCCTAAATCATCGCTCTCAGGTTCAAAGTTCTACAGATCTTTGCCCCTGGCAGGGATAAAATGCTGCCAGTCTCTTTGCTAAAGAATAACAAGAGTGATATTTCCTCCATTTCCCCAAAGGTTCCTCATCTCCATCTGAGACTGCCTCAACTGGGACTTCATTGTCCATATCACTATCAGCATTTTGGTCAAAGTCATTCAACAAGTCTCTGGGAAGTTTCAAACTTTCCCACATTTTTCTGTCTTCTTCTGAGTCTTCCTAACTGTTCCCATCTCTGCCTGTTATCCACTTCCAAAGTTGCTTTCAGATTTTTGTGTATCTTTACAGCAGCACCCCACTGTCTGCAATATCAATGTACTGTATTAGTCCATTTTCCTGCTGATCTAAAGAACTGCCTGAAACTGGGTAATTTATAAAGCAAAAAGGTTCAACTGACTCACAGTTCCACAGGGCTGGGGAACCCTAAGGAAACTTACAATCATGGCAGAAGGGGAAGCAAACATGTCCTTCTTCACATGGTGGAAGTAAGGAGAAGTGCCGAGCAAATGGGGAAGAGCCCCTTATATAACCATCAGATCTTGTGAGAACTCACTATCAGGAGAACAGCATGGGGGTAATCGCCCCCATGACGCAATTGTATTCCACTGGGTCCCTCCCATGACACATGGGATTATGGGAGCTACAATTCAATATGAGATTTGGATGGGGACACAGCCAAACCATGTCAGAACTGTTACTTCAGGTCTCATGAAGACATTAGAAATATTTAAGTCATCTTTGGATCAGCACTTTTGGGGGTTACTTAAATTTAAATAAGAGATGACTACAGGATTATGGACATAGGACTGTGAACCTTCTTCCAACATGGAGAATAAAATTTCTTATTATCCTATCTGCACATAATTTCTGAAGCACCCTGGGATGTTACATGTTAGTCATCTGGAAATATTTTCTTTCAAGGTTACTTGCCAAATCCATCTGTCTTGCAGGATCCCAGGTGGTCCTGGCAGTGGGCTTTGTGTGCCCAGCAGTACAGAGCTATGTTTGATGGCAGGGTTAATGTGAAGTGACCATGCCGAGGGGAACCAATGGATACATCCAGGTGGAGAGCAGCACAGCTCCACCTCTGCTCCTGGGATTGATACATTGTTAAGCTGCAAATGGACCAGGTGCTCCCTGATCACTGAGAAAATCCCTCTCAATCATTAAGTACACCAACAACAAAGAAACTCTTTCCTCCTGTCCAAATGAACTCCAGTGCCCATATGTGGGCCTTAGGTGAGTATACTTCACAAATAATTGACTGGATTAAAAGAATATTTCACGACATGGCACAATGTTCATATACAGTATGGAAAAAAGGTAGCATTTATATCTGTTTGTTAATAAAGTATTTTGAAGCTCATTGCTTTGAAAATAAATGAACACTGTAAAAGGCATTACAGAATTGTTCAGTCTTCTAAACAGAAGAAAGTACTGCCTGTGTACCATGAGTTGTGATGTTTCTGAGAGTTTAGGACTATATTTTATTCATTTTTTGTGTCCCAGAATAATTAAGATTTCATTAATTGGCAATTTTTGATGTTGTTCTGTTTTGTTTTTCTGGTCAATTAGTCTTCTCCTCTTCAGAACAACTGTTTTAAACCTTCTTAGCTTACTTTGAACTTCTGAAATCCATCTACCTTTTCTCTACACTTTGAGAAAATAATCTTGTTTCCAATTTTGGAGGGAAAACATCTGTTAAGTATACCACTAAGTCTAGGCTCCTCTTCCCCATTACTGCTTTAAAAGTATTCTTCATTGAACAGCTTTGTTGAGGTATAATTGGAATATGATAAGCTGCACATATGTAAAGTGTAGAATTTGATACACTTTGGTATATGTATACAACTGTAAAATCATAACTAAAATGAAGAAAGTTAATATATCCACCACTCACAAAAGTTTACATATGCTCCTCTCTAATTCTTATCTCCAATTTCTCCTCTCAGCTTCTTTCAACATACGATTGATCTGCTTTATGTCACTATATATGTTTGATTTTCCTAAATTTTATATAAACGAAATAATGCAGAATCAGCTCTTTTTTGAGGAGTAGGAGGTACGGATTCTGATTTGGTTTGGCTGTGTCTCCACCCAAGTCTCATCTTGAATTCCCCTGTGTTATGGGAGGGACCCGATGAGAGGTAATTTAATAATGGAGGCAGGTCTTTCCTGTGCTGTTCCCATGATAGTGAATAAGTCTCACAGGATTATTATAAGGGGAAATTTCCTGCCCAATCTCTGTTTTTTTGCCTGCCACCATCATAGCATGTAAGATGTGACTTGCTTCTCCTTGTCTTCCACCATGATTGTGAGGCCTCCCCAGCCATGTGGAACTGTAAGTTATTAAACCTCTTTCTTTTGTAAATTGCCCAGTCTCAGGTATGTCTTTATCAGCAGCGTGAACACAGACTAAGACATCTTCTTTAACTAAGCATAAGTATTTTGAATGTCATACCTTTTGTAGCATGTACCAATAACCCATTTCTTTTTATTGATGAATAGCATTCATTCCATTGTATGCATATGCTACGGTTTGTTTAACTATTCAGCTGGTGAAGGAAATTTGGGTTGTTTCCCATTTTGACTAATACAAATAAAGCTACTATGAACATTCATGTATAAGTCTTTATAGGTAAGTATACTTTAATTTCTTTTGGGTAACCTCTAGGAGTTGAATGGTTGAATTATATAGTCGGTATATGTTTAAGTTTAAAACAAACAAACAAAATTGCCAAATTCTTTTCCAAAGCGACTGTATCACGTTAAATGTCTATTAGAAGTGTATGAAAGTTCCAGTTGCTCCTAACAGTTGAATGATTTTTCTTTTCAATTTTAGCTATTCTGATAGGTAAATGTATTTGTCTGTTCTCACAAATAAGGAAATACCTGAGACTGGGTAATTTATGGAGAAAAGAAGTTTAATTGACTCACAGTTCCACAGGCTGTACAGAGGGCATGGCTGGGGAGGCCTCAGGAAACTTACAATCATAGCAGAAGTTGAAGGGAAAAGAGTCACAATCTTCACGTGGTGGAGCAGCAGAAAGTGGAAGGGGAAATACATGCTTTTAAACAACAAGGTTTCCTGAGAACTCACTCACTGTAACGAGAACAGCAAAAGGGAAATCTACCCCCATGATCCAATCACCTCCCACCAGTTTCCATGATATCTGGGTGGGGACCCAGAGCCAGCTTAAGTTTACATTTCTCTGAGGTAGTTATTCAAATCTTTCACCCCTTGTGTGTGTGGGGAGAGGGTTCTTATTATTAAGTTTGAGTCCTTTTTATATTCCAGATAAAAGTATTTCATTAGACTTATGATTTACAAATATTTTCTTCCAGTCTCTGGCTTGTTGTTTTTTTTTTTTTTTTCATTTTCTTAAGAGTAAATTTCATAGAAATTTTTTAAAACATTATAAAGTCCAACTTTTTAAATAAACTTTGTTTTTGGTATCATATCCCAGAAATATTTGACTAATTCAAGGTCAAAAAGATTGTCTCCTGTGTTACTACAGTTTTATAGTGTTGCTTTGCAATTTTGTCTATGATCCATTTTAAGTTAGTTTTTGTGTGTGATTTGAGATATGTATTTGCTTTCTTGAACATGGATATCAATTTTTTCTCACACTGTATGTTGAAAAGACTGATCTTTGTCTACTAAATAGCCTGGAATTTTTCTTGAAAATTAGTTTTGCATAGATATCTGGGTCTTTTCCTGAATTATTATTTTTTTCTGCTCCAATGTTCCATATGTCAATCTTTATACTAATATCACACTCCCTTGATTAATAAAGTAAGTCTTGATATGCTAGCTCTTAAATATTGTTCTTCTTTTCAAAGTTGCTTTCAATATTCTATATCATTTAACTTTCCAAATAAATTTTTAAAAATATATTTTGATAGAGATTACATTTAATCTATAGATCAATTTGGAAATAATAGATATCTTAATAACATGGAACATTCAAATTCAAGTACACAGTATGACTTTTAATTTACTTAGGTCTTCTGTAATTTTTCCTCAGCAATGCTTTATTCCTGTCAGTGCAGAAGTTTTTCGCATCTTTATCAGTTTTATCCCCAAACATTTCATATTTTTAATGCAATTGTGAATATTATGGTATCAATTTTCAATTGTTTATTGGTAGCATATAGAAGTACAATTAATTTCCCTGTATTGTTATTGTATCTTGCAAACGTAATAGATATATTTGTTAGGTCAAATAGCTTTATTGTACATCCCACCAGATTTTATATGCATCATCATGTCCTCTATAAGATAAAGGAGTTTCATATTTTTCTTTTCTATCTGGATGCCTTCTATTTCTTTTTGTTTCCTTATTGTAGTACTAGAACATCTAATACAATGTTGAATAGAAGTGGTGAGAATGAACAACCTTTGCTGTATTCCCAATTTTAGAAGGAAAACATTCAATCTTTCACTATTAAGTATGATGTTAGCTGCAGGTTTTATTAGCAATCTTTATCATAAGGAAATTTTCTTCTACTAAGTGTTCTTATAAAAGTAGATTTTGTCAAATGTGTTTTCGCTATTTTTTGAGATGATTATTTATTTTCACTCTTTTAGTTTGCTAATTACACTGTTTGTTTTTCAAATGTTAAACCAGTCTTGCATTTTTTGGATAAACCCCATTTGGTCATGGTATTTCTTCAGTCTCACATATGTTGGACATGATTTGCTGACATTGTGGTTAGAACTTTTATATCTATGCTAATGAGATGTATTGGTCTATGAATTTCTTTTAATGTCTGTCTTATTTAGAATAAGAGTAATAATAGCTTCACAAAATTAGTTGAGAAATGTTCCTTTTTCTTTAAATTTCTGGAAGAGTTTATGTAGAATTGGTATTATGTCTTTCTTTTTTTCTAACTTTTATTTTAAGTTCAAGGGTATGGGTGCAGGTTGTGTAGGTTTGTTATGTACGTAAACGTGTCATGGGGGTTTATTGTACAGATTATTTAATCACCCAGTTCTTAAGCTTAGTATCCATTAGTTGTTTTTTCTGGTCCGCTCCCTTCTCCATCCCTACACCTTCTGGTAGGCCCCAGTGTGTGTTGTTTCCCTCTATGTGTCCATGTGTTCTCTTCATTTATCTCCCACTTATGAGTGTGAACATGCAGTCCTTGGTTTTCTGTTCCTGTATTAGTTTGTTAAGGGTAACGGCCTCCGGCTCTATCAATGTCCCTGCAAAAGACAGGATCTTGTTTTTTTTAATGGCTGGATAGTATTCCATGGTGTATATGTACCACATTTTCTTTATCCAGTCTGTCAATGGTGGGCATTTGGGTTAATTGCATGTCTTTGCTTTTGTAAATAGTGTGGCAATGAACATATGTGTGCATGTGTCTTTATAATAGAATTATTTATATTCCTTTGGGGATGTGGGATTGTTGGGTTGAATGGTATTTCTGTCATTAGGTCTTTGAGGAATCGACACACAATCTTCCGCAATGATTGAACTAATTTACACTCCCACCAACAGTATATAAGCATGCCTTTTTCTCCACAACTTCACCTGCATCTGTTATTTTTTGACATTTTAATAATAGCCATTCTGACTGGAGTGAGATGGTAGCTCATTGTGGTTTTGATTTGCATTTCTCTAATGATCAGCTAGCATTCTTATACACCAACAACAGTCAAGCCAAGAGCTAAATCATGATGAATGAACTCCCTTTCATAATTGCCACAAAAAGTATAAAATACCTAGATATACAACTAGCAAGGGAAGTGAAAATTCTCCACAAGGAGAACTGCAAACCACTGCTCAAATAAATCAGAGATGCCACAAACAAATGGAAAGCATTCCATGCTCATGGATGGGAAGAATCAATATTGTTAAAATGGTCATACTCCTCAAAGCAATTTAAAGATTCAGTGCTATTCCCATTAAACTACCATTGACATTTTTTCACAGAACTAGGAAAAAACTATTTTAAAATTCATATGGAACCAAAAAAAGAACCTGCATATCCAAGGTAATCCTAAGCAAAAAACAAAGCTGGAAGGATCAAGCTACCCAACTTCAAATTATGCTACAGGGCTACAGTAGCCCAAACAGCATGGTACTGGTACAAGAGCAGAGACATAGACCAATAGGACAGAAGAGAGAACCCAGAAGTAAGCCCACACACCTACAACCATCTGATTTTCAACAAAGCTGACAAAAACAAGCAATGGGGAAAGGATTCCATATTCAATACATGTTGCTGGGATAACTGGCTAGCCATATGCAGAATATTGAAACTGGACCCCTTCCTTACACCATATACAAAAATTAACTCAAGGTGAATTAAAGACTTAAATGTAAAATCCGAAACTATAAAAACCCTGGAAGACAACCTAGGCAATACCATTCAGGACATAGGCATGGGCAAATATTTCATGACAAAGATGCTGAAAGCAATTGCAGAAAAGCAAACGTTGACAAATGGGATCTAATTAAACTAAAGGGCTTCTGCACAGCAAAATAAACTATCAGTAGAGTAAACAGACAACCCAGAGAATGGAGAAAATTTTTGCAAACTATGCATCTGGCAAAGGTCTAATATCCAGCACCTGTGTGGAATTTAAATGAATTTACAAGAAGAAAACAACCCCACTAAAAAGTGGGCAAAGGACACGAATAGATGCTTCTCAAAAGAAGACATACATGCGGCCAACAAGAATATGTCAAAAAGCTGGGTATTATTTCTTTTGTAATTGTTTGGTAGATGTGAAACCAAATGAAGTCAATGGGGTCTAGAAGGTTCTTTGTGAGAAGGATTGTAACTACAAATTTAATTTTATTAATAGATACAGAACTCTTTTATTTTTGGTTTATGTTTCTTTTGCAGAAGGGTTGATTGTTTCTGTGGTTCAAGAGTGTGCTCATTTTATCTAAATTGTTAGATTTATTGGCTTACGTTTTCAACAATATTTCATTATTATTCTTTTAATATTTGTAGAATCTGTAGTTATATCTCCTTTTATTCCTGATATTGGTGTATTTTCTTTTTTTCTTATCAATCAAAATGACTAGAAGTTTATTGATTATATTGATATTTTCAAAAAATGAGCATTTGGTTTCAATAATTAAAAAAAAAATTCTGTTTTCTATTTTGTTAAAATCTTTACTCTTATCTTTAGTACTTCTTTTCTTCTACTAAAATTTGGGAAGCTTGTTTCCTCCTCCCCTTCATTTTTGAGAGAGAAGGTGTGGTCACTGATTTGACATAATTCATTTTTTTCTAATATAGGTGTTTTGATACCATAAATCATCCCCTTGCAAAATTGGTGCTTTAGCAGCACAAAATTTTATTATATACTGTCTTAATTTTACTTAGTAAAAAATACTTCCTAATTTTCGTTTTGATTTTTTCTTTGAGTTATTATTTAGATATGTATCATATGTTAAAAAATCTTTAGGGATTTTCCAGAGATCTCTCTGTTACTGATTTCTAATTTTACTATATTAGAGTCAAGAAATATACTTTCTATTTTTTTAAGTTCATTGAGGATTATTATTATTATTATTTGAGAAAGAGTCTCACTCTGTCACCAGGCTGGAGTGCAGTGGCGCGATCTGGGCTCACTGCAACCTCTGCCTCCCAGGTTCAAGCAATTCTCCTGCCTCAGCCTCCAGAGTAGCTGGGATAACAGGTGTGCGCCATTGTACCCAACTAATTTTTGTATTTTTAGTAGAGACAGGGTTTCACCATATTGGTCAGGCTGGTCTCGAACTCCTGACCTTGTGATCTGCCCTCCTGGGCCTCCCAAAGTGGCGGGATTACAGGTGTGAGCCACCTTGCCCGGCCCGAGGATTATTTTGTGTCCTCAAATATGCTCTATTTTGAATAATGTTCCATGTTTACTTGAAAGGAGTTTTTTTTTTCTTTTCTTTCTTTTTCTCTTTTTTTTTTTTTTTTTTTTTGCTGTTTTGGAGTATAGTTTTCCACAAATGTCAAATATATCAACTCTTTTATTTTGTATAATTTCATACACTTTCAATGTATTTGCTCTACCAATTTTTGAGAGGAGAGTACTGAAATCTCTTTGTATAATTCTGAATTTTTCTGTTTCTCCTTGCAGTGTCATCTGTTTTTACTTCATGTATTTTGAAGCTCTCTCATTAGTTACATAAATGTTTAAGACTTTCGTGTTCTCTTGATAAATTGATTCCTTTATTATTATAAAATGATTTTCTTTGTGGTCATTTTCTTTGTAAGTAAAGCTCATTGTTTTTAACTAACACAGATATTGTAGCTCTCTCTATATTAGTGTTATCAGTTGAATGTCTTTTCAATCATTTTACCTGTAACTTATTTGTGTCTGTATATTTAAAAAGAGCATATACTTATGCCTTATTTTTAAAATTCAATCTGACAATCTCTGTATCTTACTAAGGCATTTAGACTTTTAAATTTATTGTTATTATTAAAATCGTTCAGTTTAAATCTATAATTTTGCTACTTATTTTCTATTTGTCTGAATTGATCTTTTTATTTATTTGGTTTTTGCTACCTTTTGGGGAACATGGAATTTTTTAATGATTTCAGTTATCTCATTTGTTGGACTATTAGCTATCATTCTTTTTTTTGTTATTCAAGTGCTTGCTTTACAATACATGTCTTTAACTTATAGTCTGTATTTAGGTAATGTGCCACTTTGTGCAAAGTAAAATACTCTTTAAATATTATATTTTTATTTCTCTCCTACCAATCCTTTGGCTATTGTTGCTATTTTTGTTATACATTCCAACTTTACATATGCAATAAAACCCATACTATATTGTTATTATTTGTTTAAGCAGTAAAATATCTCTTAAAGGTATTTTGCATAATAGGAAGAGATTTTACATATTTAGCTAAATAGTTACTATTTTCAATGCTCTTCATTCCTTTCTGAAATGCCATATTTCTATCTGCTATTATTTTCCTTCCATCTGAAAGACTTCTAATAGGGAAAGTCTGGTGGTTTGGAGTTCTTTAATTTTTTATATCTATTCTTTTTATGCCTATGACTAAAAACTAATTTTAATGAGAATGTAATTCTAGGTGGACCTTTTCAAACAAGCAAATGAGAAGGGAATTTATTACCACAAGAACTGCCTTATAAGAGGTCCTTAAGAGAGCACAAAATATGGAAATGAAACCATAACCGGCAACTATAAAAGCACACTTAAGTACATAGACCATTGACACTATAAAGCAGTGGTACCCAACGTTTTTGGCACCAGGGACCGATTTCATGGAAGACAATTTTTCTATGGATTAGGGTTGGGGTGGTTGTCAGGATAATTCAAGATCATTATATTTATTGTGAACTTTATTTCTATTATTATTACATACTCACCATAATGTAGAATTAGTGGGACCCCTGAGCTTGCTATCCTGCAACTAGAGAGTCCCATCTGGGAGTGATGGGAGAAAGTGACAGATCATCAGGCATTAGGTTCTCATAAGGAGTGTGGAGCCTAGATCCCTTGCATGTGCATTTCACAGTAGGGTTCATTGTCTTTAAATATGAGAATTGAATGCCACATCTGATCTAACAGGAGTCAAACCTCAGCTTTGCTCACTCACCCAGTTCTCACCTCCTGCTGTGTGGCTTGATTCCTAACAGGCCATGGACCAGTACTGGTCTGTGGCCCAGGGGTTGTTGACCCCTGCTATAAAGCAATTACAAAATCAAGTCTGCATGATAACCAGCTAGCATCATGATGACAGGACAAAATCCACACATATCAATATTAACTTTGAATGTAAATGGGCTAACTGCCCCACTTAAATGCACAAAGTGGCAAGTTGTGTAAAGAAACAAGACTTTACAGTATGCTATCTTCAAGGGACTCATTTTACATCCAATGACATCCATAGGTTTGAAGTAAAAGGATGGAGAAAAATCTACTAAGCAAACAGAAAACAAAAAAAAGCAGGGATTGCTATTCTAATTTCAGCCAAAAGAGATTTTAAACCAACAATTATCAAAAAAGACGAAGAAGGGCATTACATAAAGGGAAAGAATTCAATACAACAAGAAGACTTAACTATCCTAAATATATATTCATCCAACACAGGAGCATCTAGATTCATAAAAAAATTATTAGAAGCTTATTAAGAGACTTAAATAACCACACAATAATATGGAGACTTAAATACCCCACTGAGAGTATTAGAGCATGAAGGCAGGAAACTCACAAAAATTTTTTGAGACCCGAACTTGACACTTGACCAAATGTACCTAACAGATAGCTACAGAACTCTTTATGCCAAAACAACAGTATATACATTCTTCTCTCTGCACATGGCACATATTCTAAAATCGACCACACAATAGGCCATAAAACAATTCTCAGCAAATTAAAAAAAAAATCATACCAACTGCACTCTGCAACCACAGCACAATAAAAATAGAAATGAATACAAAGAAAATCAGTCAAAAATGCACAAATTACATGGAAATTAAACAACCTGCTCCTAAATGACTTTTGGGTAAACCATAAAATTAAGGTAGAAATCAAGCAATTATTTGAAACTAATGAAAACGAAGATACACCATTTCAGAATCTCTGGGACACAGCTAAAGCAGTGTTAAGAGGGAAGTTCATACCATTAAATGTCCACATTAAAAAGTTAGAAATATCTCTTATTAACAGTCTGTTACTGCATCTAGAGGAACTAGAAAAACAAGAAAAAATGAGCCCCCAAATCAGAAGAAGACAAGAAATTACCAAAATCAGAGATGAACTGGATGAAACTGATACACCAAAAACCATACAAAAGATCAATGAAACCAGAAGTTGGCTCTTTGAAAGAGGAAATAAGACTGATAAAGACAATAAGAGAGAAGATACAAATGAACACCATAAGAAATGACAAAGCAGACATTACTACCAACCTCACAAAAATACAAAAATCCTTCAGAGACTATTATAAACAACACTATGCACACATACTTGAAAACCTATAAGAAATGGATATATTTCTGGAAACATATAACCTCTCAAGATTGAATCAGGAAGAGATTGAAACCCTTAACAGACCAATAACAGGTTCTGAAATTGAATCAGTAATAAAAGCCTACCAACGAGGAAAAACCCTGGACCAGATAGATTCACAGCCAAATTCTGCTGGACATATAAAGAAGAGCTGATACCATTCCTACTGAAACTATTCCAAACAATTGAGCAAGAGGTACTTCTCATTAATTCATTCTATGAGGCCAGCATCATTCTGATACCAAAACTTGGCAGAGACACAACTACAAATGAAAATTAAGGCTAATTTTCTTGATGAACATAGATGCAAAAATCCTCAAAAAAATACAAGCAAAATGAATACAGCGTGTATTAATCTTTTCTCACACTGATAATAAAGACATACCCAAGAGTGGGTAATTTATAAAGGAAAGAGGTTTAATGGATTCACAATTCCATATGACCAGGGAGGCCCCACAATCATGGCAGAAGGCAAAGAAGAAGCAAAGACACATTTTACATGGTGGCAGGCAAAGAGAGCTTGTGCATGGGAACTCCCATTTATATAATCACCAGATCTCATGAGACTTATTCAATACAATGAGAACAGTATGGGGGAAACTGCCCCCATGATTCAGTTATCTTCACCTGGCCCCACCCTTGGCATGTGGGAATTATTACAATTCAAGGTGAGATTTGGGTGGGGACACAGCCAAACCATATCACAGCAGCACATCAAAAACTAATCTACCATGACCAAGTAGGCTTTAACCCTGGGATGCAAAGTTTGTTCAACATATGCAAATCGATAAATGTGACTCATCACAAAACTAAAAATGAAAACCACATGATCATCTTAATAGATGAAGAGGCTTTGCATAAAATTCAGTATCCCTTAATGTTAAAAACCTTAAAAAATCAGATGTTGGAAGAAGATACCTCAAAATAATGAGTCATCTTTGACAAACCCAAAGGCAATATCATATTGAATGGGCAAAAACTGGAAGCATTCCCATTGAGAGGCAGAACAAGACAAGGATGCACTTTCTCACCACTCCAATTCAACATATTACTGGATGTCTGAATCAGAATAATCAAGCAAGAGAAAGAAATAAAAAGCATCCAATTAGAGAGAAAGTCAAACTATCTCTCTTTGCAGACAATATGATTTTGTACCTTGAAAACCCCATAATATCTGCCCCAAAGCCCCTAGATACGATAAACAACTTCAGCAAAGTTTAAGAATACAAAATCAATGTACAAATATCAGTAGCGTTTCTATACACCAACAATGCCCAACCTGAGAGCCAAATCAAGAACAACACAGTCCTGTTCACAATAACCACACACACACCACATACAAACTTAGAAGTACAGCTAACCAAGGAGGTGAAAGACCCCTCAAATGAGAATTACAAAATACTTCTGAATAAAATCAGACATGACGCAAACAAATGGAAAAACATTTCATGCTCATAAATAAGAAGAATCAATACTGTTAAAATGGCCATATTGCCCTAAGCAATGTACAAATTAAATGCTATTCTTATCAAACTATCAATGACATTGTTCACTGAATTAGAGAAAAAGTTCTAAAATTCATATGGAAGCAAACAAGAGTCCAAATAGCTAAAGTGATCCTAAGTAAAAAGAGCAAAGCTGGGGGTACCAAATTACTCAACTTCAAACTGCACTAGAAGGCTACCATAACCCAAACAGCATGGTACTAGTACATAAACGGACACATAGATTAACGGTCCAGAATAGAGAACCTGGAAATAAAGCTGCACACATACAGCCATCTGATCTTCAACAATGTCAACAAAAATAATCAATGAAGAAAAGACTCCCTGTTCAATAAATGATGCTGCAACAGCTAGCTAGCTATATGCAGAAGAATAAAACTTGACCTCTATATGTCATCATATATAAAAATTAATGCCACATTTAAATGTAAGTCCTCAAAGTATAAGAATTATAAAAGAAAATCTAGAAAACATCATTCTGGTAATCAACTTTGAGAAAGAATTTATGACTAAGTAAAAGCATAGGCAAATGCAAGAAAAACAAAAATTGACAAGTGGGAGCTAATTAAGGAGCTCCAGCACAGCAAAATAAACTAACAACAGAGTAAACAGACAATCCACAGAATGGGACAAGATATTTGCAAACTATGCATCCAACAAAATTCTAATATCAAAAATCTATAAGGAGCTTAAACAACTTAATAAGCAAAAAACAAACAATGCCATTAAAAAGTGGGCAAAGGACATGAAAAGACACTTTTCAAAAGAAGACATACACATGGCCAACAAGTATATGACAAAATGCTACACATCACTAATCATCAGAGAAGGGCAAATTAAAACCATATTGAGATACCATCTTACACCAGTCAGAATAGTTATTAATGAGAGTAACAAAATAACAGATGCTGGTGAGGCTGTGGAGAAAAGGGAATGCTTATACACTGCTGGTGGGAATGTAAA
Source organism: Homo sapiens (assembly GCF_000001405.40). Classification (NCBI taxonomy): domain Eukaryota; kingdom Metazoa; phylum Chordata; class Mammalia; order Primates; family Hominidae; genus Homo; species Homo sapiens. Next base: position 137,993,262 of record NC_000008.11, on the reverse strand, counting down.
TTAGTTCAACCATTGTGGAAAGGAGTATGACAATTTCTCAAAATACTTAAAGAAGAACTACCATTTGACCTGGTAATCCCATTATTGGGTATATACTCAAAGGAATATAAATCATTCTACCATAAAGATACACGCACACTGATGTTCATCACAGCACTATTCACAATGGCAAAGATGTGAAATCCATCTAAATGCCCATTAACAGTAGACTGGATAAAGAAAATAGGGTACGTATATATCATGGAATAGTACACAGCCATAAAAAATAATAAGAACCTGCCCTTTGCAGCAACATGGATGGTAGGCCATTATACTAGGAAAACTAACACAGGAAAAGAAAACAAATACCCATGCTCTCACTTATAAGTGAGAGCTAAACTTTGAGTACACATGGACATAAAGAAGGGAACCACAAGCCACCGGGCCCACTTGAGCATGGAGGGTGGAATGGGAGTGAGGATTGAAAAACTACCTGTTGGGTACTATGCTTATCACTGAGGTAATGAAATAATGTATACTCCTAACCCCCACAAAACACAATTAACCTATATAAAAAACCTGGACATGGACCCCTGAATTAAAATTTAAAAAAACGAAGACACTGTGCAGAAAAGGAATTGTACACATTAAGTGGATTTAAAACAAGAAGTTTAGGCCGGGTGTGGTGGCTCACGCCTGTAATCCCAGCACTTTGGGAGGCCGAGGTGGGCAGATCACGAGGTCAGGAGATCAAGATTATCCTGGCCAACACAGTGAAACCCCATCTCTACTAAAAATACAAAAAATTAGCCGGGCGTGCCTGGTGGTGGGTGCCTGTAGTCCCAGCTACTTGGGAGGCTGAGGCAGGAGAATGGTGTGAACCCGGGAGGTGGAGTTTGCAGTGAGCCAAGATCATGCCACTGTACTCCAGCCTGGGCGACAGAGCAAGACTCTGTCTCAAAAAAAAAAAAAAAGAAAAGAAAAAAAAAAAGAAGAAGTTTAACATGTAGGTGCTTATGAAGACTTAATGACAACTTTAATTTTCACCATAATAGTTTAGCAATCAAAACTTTCACTTGTCTTTTGGAGTTTTCTCCTAATGTCAGCCGCTGATTGGGTGATAAATTTATCTTTTAAAATAAGTTGACCTTCTGTGAAATTTTGAGTTAGGGAGGTGTGCTTTTTTAGGGCCTCCCTTAGCCTTTCTAGAAAAGCGGAGGGGTTTTCCTCTTTTCTCTGCATAATTGTGGATAGCATTGAGTAGTTCATAGGCTTTTTCCTAGTCTTCCTCAACCCTCTTAAAATGCAAGTTAGCAAATGCCTGCAGCTCTAATTTCCATGATCTGAGTCAGTATCCTAATGAGGGTCTACAGTGGGGGTTGCCTGTTGCCCTGTGGGGAAGTTTTCCCTCTCCTCCAGGGCCATTTGACTGTTTACCTGGCTAAGGTACTAGAGATCCCTAAATTACCAGGCTGCTGCTAAAGCTGCTTCCTTTTCAGTAGGACTTAAGGTTTGATCAAGAAGTAACATGATATCTCTCCATGTTAGGTCAAAGGACTGCCCTAATCTTTGCAGGACATCTATATCGTTATCAGGATCATCTGAGAATTTCCCTAAATCTGCCTTTAGTTGTTTTATATCTGAGAGTGTGAAAGTGACATGTACACAGGTGGGCATAAATTCCCCTCCTACTGCTTGTAAGGGACATAGTTTGGGTGCTTGGCTTACGGAGTTTATGTTCTCTTTGCAGTGTGCCTTTAACACTTCAGTGGGGCCAGATGGAGGAGAGTCAGTGGGGAAGGAGAGTGGGGCTGAGGGAGGAGGCCCTGAGTATGGAGGCAACTGTGGGTCTATGTCATTTGGGCAAAGCTTGCAGGCTTGGCACAGGGCAGTATTGTCACAAAGGGCAAAGAAAGCCTGTACATAAGGGACTTTACTCCATTTACCTTCCTGTTTACAGAAAAGATCTAGTTGTAGAATGGTGTTATAATTAATACTTCCCTCAGGGGGCCAAGTTTCTTCATTTTATAAGGAGTACTGTGACCAGGCGTTGGTACAGAAAAAAATCAGCTGTTTCTTTTTTAAGTTCTCAGGGTCGAATCTGTCTTAGTTATTCAGGATGCATCTTAAGGGAGTGTCCAGTTTTGAAGGTGTGGTGCCCATCTGGAATTTTAAACACAGGGATGCCCGCACCCCTGGTTAGTCCTGTGACTCATCTTCCCCTAGGCATCCCCTAAGGGTCAGGTCCAATTGTGCTCAAAGCTCATGGCCGCTTTTCCGGAGCTCTCCATCTACTGGATTTAACCATGCTTACCAGCAGGATGGAAACTTCCCTTGCCCCTGCCGTGTGCCCATTGACCACTAAATGGGGCATAAGGACTGCTGGATTTATTGTGGTCCTTCTGCCAATGCATCCTACCTATTCCAGGGTGGCAAGGCCTGGGTTGGGGGCACCACTGATGCTTGCATGCTAAGGCCCAGTTTACGTGGGCCTGGCCATAAAACTGTCCTTCAAGGAGAAATCTCTGAATTAGCAACAGGAGGCTTAGTAAGCTCAAAGGGGGTTGTGGATGTCCTCTAGGCCAGGGCTGAGAGAACAGCTGCTGTACTTTAGCCTTCTGTCCCCACTTGCCATCAAGGGAGTAAGCCCCTCTCTCAAGGTGGTACCGGCATCCCGTGTCCCAACTGACTATATTTTCTTCCATCCAATACCAATTATTGAATGGTTGAAACAATGATTCAATGGCTCTAAGAATGTGCCTATGCACCACAGATTGTACTTGAGAGGGCCCAAGGAAGGGGAAAGTCTATCTGGGGAGCAGTGGAGGAAATGCCCTGAGACTTCTACTATCCACATGAAAATTACAGACCTGTCTTTAAATTGTCCTGATGTGGGGGACAATACACTATGGTGGGGAACTGGCCCTTTGAAATAGCCATCAAATGGCGACACCTGCCTAAACACTGGAGGACACCATGAACAGGGATCTTCTGGGCACCACCCCAAGAATTTAAGACTTCTAAATAGGGAATCTTGATCCTGCCTAGTGGGAATAACCATGCTTACGGGATGAGGAAAGAAGTCTAAACAGTGGACATTAGCACCCAGGAGGCAGGAGTCAGAAAATGTGGCTGTCTCATGCTTAGTGCTCAGTAACCCATGCAGGGGGAGCCTCTGACGGGTCCATGGTCTCAACCAGGATATCTGGGAGACCAAGACATCTGCTGAGCACTCCCAGGTGTACTTTGGTACCACCACGGAAAGTGAAAGAGTTAGAACTGGTTCCAGGCAAACCAATGCTCCCAACTCCGAAGGGCTGGGGGTTGTTAGAGAGCCCCTTCCCAGACAGCCTGGCACCCGCTAATCACTTTTAACTGGCCAACAGGTGCCTGGTGTTTAGCCTCCGAATTCTAAGGAAGGACAGGACAGAATAGCAAGCGAAAGAGGTCTGATCGTACTCACCACTTGATGATCTAGATGCCTTTCCTGGAGACTCCTGATTGGCTCACCAAGATATAACACCTAAGTTTCTTAGCCTAGCCACACCAAAGAATTGGTGTGGCGGCTGACTGCAGTGAGTGATATAGACTCAGACCGAGAGAGAGTGAGTAGAAGGTTTTATTGAGCAGAGCAAGAGTACAAAGCTTCCACAGTGTGGAAGGGGTTCCAAACGGGTTGCCAGAGTTAGATTATATGATTCCCTTTTAAACTTTTTAAGGTCGAAAATACATGTGGTGGGAAGATGTCACCAGAGTGAGAAACAAAGGCAATAAATTATTTTGTGACATGTCTTAGATTTTGAGGAAAACTGGAATTGCAACTTAGATTTTATCTACTTTATGACCTTGCAGCGGTATGGCAAAGGAAACAGGATCTTACAGGACTTTACAAAGTATGTTTTCGAGGAATTGGTTTTGGGAGTATAGATAAGGTCTTCTGGTCACAGAAAAAGGGGCAGTTAACATTCCTTTTACTTTAGTTTTGGGAGAGGGGGAAGGGAGAAAGGGAGAGAGGACAGAGGGAAACTTACAGCAAAATTTTTGCTGTTTATAGCTTTCTTGGGGAAGAAAACGTATGCACAAATCCTGGTGTTAGGAATATTTTAAGCATAATCTTCAATATTATTCATCCAGGACTGAAGTAAGTCCTGATGCAGGAAGTGAGTGAGTTTCACAGCTTTCTGAGCCCCTTCTCGACCCAGGAAGCCTAGCTGGCCCCTCGTCTCAATAGCTATAGGTAATTTGATGAAATCAGATTGGTTAAATACAAGTGAGCCAAAAGCAGATGGTTCAAGACAACAATTTAATCAAAATAAAAAATTATCCTCTATTCCCAAGCACTGTTTACAAATATTTGATTCTATTGTACCGTAGAGTAGGTTTGAAACCGTTAATGGATGTTTACATGTCTGCTAATGATTTAGATTCCCACTCCTACTCCGCCCACACTTCCAGGGTTAAATCCACCATATTTTCTTTTAATTTAATTTTTCAAATTTTGATATTCTAGTTCAGATTATTATCATTGTCTTCCAGAAACCACATACTCATTTTAGCCCTTCCCCTACGCCTCCATAACCCTTCTCCCACACAGTGGCCATAGTTATCTTTGGAAGATACAAATTTGAGCACCTAAAGCTTTAAGGAAGGGATGAGAGAGGGATCTATGTTTGCCTGGAGTTCCTTGTTTATAGCACCTGAAAATCCCCAGTCCAGGCAACCCTCAATGTCCCAAGGAATCTGGGACAGTTGGTCATGCTGGCACCTAGGTTCTTCTCCTTTAATCTGCACACATCCCTTTAAGGCAGCTACTGGCATAAAGATTGCAATGACGGAGCCACTGAAGCTCCCCAGGGACTGAAATATCAAGCCAATGTTCCGACACAGTTTCTGTATTCCTTTATGCACCATACTACATTTTTAAGTCTGAAAAACTGGGACCTTCCTATGGGGAGTCACTACCAAGTTCTTCCACTCCACAGTGGAGTCTGACATAGGTCGTATACTCACCTGGGTGACGGCTCACAGTAAAGACTTCCATCCGCAGCTGTCCCCTCGCTCAGGGACAGCTGCTGAGGTACTGCGCCAACTCAGCTTCCTATGCAGCCCTAAAATGCCTTCCTGGAGTCTGGTTCCCAAAACCAGAGGTGTTGCCATCTTCTTTCAAGTCTAAAGGAGGTGCCCAGAGAGGGCTTTACAGCTGCAGTGCTGGCCCCTAAGGAGCATGCACAGTGTTAACTCTCCAGCTAGGGAAAACAAAACAAAGCAACTCGCTCAGGTGCTCCACACATCTCAGGAGGATGGCACACGCTCCATCCACCTGGCAGTGCCTCATTGGCTGGAGCCCAGATTGCTCTGTCTGGGGTGGGTCACAACTTTATTGTGGTGTATAGTTTACATGTGATAAAATTCCCCCATTTTAAGTGTACTCTTAGATAATTAATACTACCATTAGATGAGTTTTAGTAAATGCAATCACCCTACTATCAAGTTTTAGAACACTCCCATCCCCTCAAAAAGTTCTTTCATGTAACCTTTGCATTCAATTATCGTTCTGTGTTCTACCCCAGGCAATATGAACCTGTTCACTTTCATTCTAATTTTAACTCTGGGCTCTTGTTTAACCCATGTTTCTAAAATCTTCCGGATTCTAGAAAAAAAAAAATCTTAGCTATTTTCTCCCCTCAACTCTTTCTCTTCCTTCTCCTTCCCTTTTAGTTTTTTTCCCCCTTTTCTCCAAGCTGAGAATAAGTCTGACTGGTTCTAGCCCTAGTCTTGTTGAAGGACGCCAGCAATTCTCTCACATACCATTGCAATTCCTACTGTATTGGACGTTGTGGTTGCTGTCGGATTAAAGCAGACATCTATTTGTATTTTTGATGGGGAATTTTTGGAGGGTAAGATATTGATGTCAATACCAAGGCCAGCCTCTCGTGGGGCCACTGGCAGTTAGATCTGAGACTAGAAGTGGGTGGGCCCCAGGATCCATGTGCACCCTTGGGCTGTGCTTTAAAATCTGTCAAGGCTTTCAGATCTTTGAAGTCTGTCATTAGAATTATCGCTTGGGTTATAGAGAGCAGGAAGCAGGCTGGGAAGCTGGTTGTAGCATCCCTTTAGAACTGGAGTGTTAATTTCCTAAGGATATGGAACACACAAATAATACCCCTTCCACCCCCACATAGCCAAAGCTGCCCGTATTGGGTTAGGTCCAGTGCCAAAAGTTGTCACTAATGTGTACTCAATCATTGTAGTACCATTTTGCAGTGCTAGCCATTTACGGCTCTATGTATTTATGAAGAACTCCATTCTCATGGACAAATAGACCTGCCCAAGTTCACAATACTGTCAGGTCTTGGGACCAAGATTTGAACAACACATTTCTGAGCTCAGTTCACAACCTCATTCTGCTGCATTCTCCTGTCTGTGAGCTCAGTTTTCAGGCAGGACTTGAAACCTCTAATCCATAACAAGAACTGGAGCTTTCTGTGATTTCTGCCTGTGTGTCCTTTGCTTATTTCCCTTTAGGTTTTCATATATTTATTACTTTTTAAAGTCTCTTTTAGCTATACCAAGAAGAACCAAAGAAAGAAAATTTCTTATGAGCCAACGTACTGAGAACATTCTCTATCAAAGAAAAATAAAACCCAGCAACTCTATTTTGTGTATGAAGCAGAGGCTAACAAATATTGAACAGAGGTAGGAAAATCTATCCTCTGCCCCAGAGTAATAAACAATCTTTCTTATCTTTGTTTTGTTTTTTTTTTTTTTTGAGACGGAGTCTTGCTCTGTTGCCCAGGCTGGAGTGCAGTGGCACAATCTCGGCTCACTGCAAGCTCCACCTCCCGGGTTCAAGTGATTCTCCTGCCTCAGCCTCCCAAGTAGCTGGAACTACAGGTGCCCACCACCACACCCAGCTAATTTCTTTTGTATTTTTAGTAGAGACGGGGTTTCACAGTGTTAGCCAGGGTGGTCTCGATCTCCTGACCTCGTGATCCGCCCACCTTGGCCTCCCAAAATGCTGGGATTACGGGCTTGAGCCACTGCATTTTTTTGTTGTTTCTTTTGGGATGGAGTTTCCCTCTTGTCGCCCAGACTGGAGTGCAATGGCGTGATCTCGACTCACCGCAACCTCCACCCCCCAGTTCAAGCGATTCTCCTGCCTCAGCCTCCTGAGTAGCTGGGATTACAGGTGCCTGCCACCACATCCAGCTAATTTTTGTATTTTTAGTAGAGATGGGGTTTCGTCATGTTGGTCAGGCTGGTCTTGAACTCCTAACCTCAGGTGATCCACCTGCCTTGGCCTCCCAAAGTGCTGGGATTACAGGCGTGAACAATAGGGCACAGCCCTTTCATATGGTTTATATTGGAAGTACCAGAGAGCTAGAGTTCCTGCACAGCCATTTTAACTTAGACACCATGCAAGTTAAGAAAAGCTGTACTGACAAAAGCTCATAACAAAGGAATTAAATGCTTGGTGGAGGCAGAGAAAATGCACAAAATCAAGCCAATTTTAGTGCTGGATCTTAATGTATGACTAGGATTTTTAAGAATAGGAATAGAAATATTTTGCCAGCTAGAGAAAACAGTGAGTACAAGATTGTAAGATAGAAATGGGCTGTCACAACAGTGAGTAGAAGAGTGTAAGACAGCAATGGGCTCAGGGTGTTGCAGAATGTTGGGAGCTTGTAGTGGATCCTCTAAGTCAGGAGTCCCCAACCTTTTTGGCACTGAGGACTGGTTTTGTGGAAGGCAATTTTTCCACGGACTGGAGGTTGGGGGTGCTTTCGGGATGATTCAAGTGCAGTACATTTATTATGGGCTTTATTTCTATTATTATTACATTGTAATATATAATGAAATAATTATACAACTCATCATAATGTAGAATCAGTGGGAGCCCTGGGCTGCTTTTCCTGCAACTAGATGGTCCCATCTCGGGGTGACGGGAGACAGTGACAGATCATTAGGTATTAGATTCTCATAAGGAGTGGGCAACCTAGATCCCTCGCATGTGCAGTTCCCAATAGAGTTCGTGCTCCTATGAGAATCTGATGTCACCACTGATCTGACAGGAGGTGTAGCTCAGGCAGTAATGCAAGTGATAGGGAGTGACTGTAAACAGATGAAGCTTTGCTCACTTACCCGCTGCTCACCTCGTGCTGTGTGGCCCGGTTCCTAACAGGCCACGGACCATTACCAGTCTGTGGCCTGGGGTTTCGGGACCCCTGCTGTAAGTCACAGGAAGTCAGTAAAAGCTTTGATACAAGACTTTAGAGTCAATAATAATTGTTAATGCTCATTCTGCACCAGGGACTATTTTTAAGCAATCTGCATAAATTAACCCAATTAATCTTCATAACAATTCTAAGGGATAGATGCCATTATTATCTTTATTTCTTTATAAAGAAACTTATGTACAAAGTAATTAAATCATCTACCATGTCTGAAGTTTAACAACATGAAGTGGAGAAACAGGGTTGGAACTCTCAGATTTTGGCTCGAGTGCTCACATACCTTTAATGATTTGTCCTTTTTGCTTTCTGATGTCCAGTTTCCTCTTAATTTACCTGATCTGGGAATAGTGGTGTGGGCAGAGAGAAAAGGGGGAGATGAAGAGTGATATTATAGTAGCCTCTGTAAAATTGCAGTGAAGGAGAATGTGATTTTTATAAGCATAATTTCCAAAGCAAGTCATTCAGGAAGCAGGAGGGGTGCAATTTGGCAGAAGCTAATTTCTTCCAGACAGTTCACTTTTCTTTTCCATCTCCTCTCTAAGTCCTGCTGGTGTTCCTTGGAAAATCATTCATGCAAAGGTAAGTTATATTTAGTCTGTGATAGGCTGGGCATTTCCTTTCTGTCATCTCAGATTTCTGTAATGTCCAGTGTTACTTCGATCCTTTAAGACAGATCAGATTAGAAAATGTTTATTCTAAGAAAATAATAATTTCCAACCTGCTGCTTTTGCTGATTTATGGAAAGTAGCCAAACAGAGCAAGCAGGACTAATACTGGGCTCTGTAAGGGCCACAAGGAGTAAAGTGAGGGTCTACCCAAACACGCACATCTGCTCTGCCTGCCCTGCAAATTGAGAGCTAGTGATTCATCCATGTCTAGGTCAGCAGTTTCTAAGGCATTACAATTTCTTGTATTCTACTTCTTCCACAGTTTTCCTTGATTCCTGAACTTGCATGGGAATTTTAATATATCCCTCCAAAATCTTATTGATATTTTCTACCTTTAACCATATATTTCTGTGCCTATGTCTTGCTATCTGTGAGTTTTCATGCTCTTTGATGGCAGAGCCTCAGTTGAAACACAGGATTGGCAAGCTACACCCTATAACAGCAAATGTGTTTTTCTGGCCCATGAGCTAAGAATGATATTTACATTTTTTTAATGGTTAAAAAAAATCAAAAGAAGAGTGATATTTTATGACATTTAAACATTATATCAAATTCAAATTTCATTGTCAAGAAATAGAGTTTTATTAAAACAGACACATTTCTTCCTTTGCACAACGTCCAGAGCTGCTTTCCAGCAGAAGTGGAGTGGAGTAGTTGTGACTGAGACCACGTGCCTCACATGCCTAAAACATGGACGAGCTGATGCTTTACAGAAAAAAAAAATGCCAACCCTTGGTTGAAAGGCCAATTATAATTCTGCCTTTCAAGGTACCCAAACGATATGGTTCACAAAGGTTTAGTGCTCAGTAAATTTTGTTTGAAACTTTCTTTCTTGTTGCCGTAGATGATTCTTCCCTACTGTCAACCCCCACCATGGCTCTCCCTTATTTCTTAAAGAATAGTGCCTGTCTCACCGTCTCTACCATATTCTCTTGGTGTATTTCATACCCAGGTGGGTGGCTCCTCTGGTATCCTGTTCTCTTAGTCACTTACTGGTCTCTTACAAAGACCTAGTGCTTTACCTCACCCAGTCAACCAGTCACATCATTGAGCTCAACAGACTGGAAGTCTTCAGGAGAAAAAAAAAAAAAAAAAAGACACTGTCCATCCTACTTACTTCCTGTTTCTGCTTTTGCTTGTCATTGCTGACAACATAATCCCAGCAGGCAGCACCTCCTTCTCTTAGCAGCGTTTGATTGCAAAAGTTAAACTCATACAAGCAGAGAATAAAGTGGTGATTACCAAGGACTGCTGTTGGGGTTGGTGATTGTGGAGAGGTTGGTCAAAGGATACAAAATTTCTGTAAGACGGGAGGAATAAGTTCAGGAGATCTATTGTACAATATGGCAATTATAACTAACAAAAATGTATACTTGAATTTGGCTAAGAAATTAGATTTTAAATGTTCTCACCACACACACACAAAATAAGTATATGAAGTAATGAATATGTTCATTAGACTGACACTATTCTACAATGGATACGTGTATCAAAACATCATGTTGTCTACAATAAATATATACAATTTTATCCATGAAAAATTGCAATTGTTTCCAACACATGCTGGTCCAGCTACCAGCTTTATCATGTCTCCTTAGAGACACCAGCACCAGATGGTCTCACTTTTTTGAATGTCTGGGGCCCCTTTTCTGAGCTTAGATACACACACCAACTCAGCAATACCCTCTCCTGGAATGCCTGTTTCAGCTCCTTTTCTCCAAACTTCTCAATTTATAAATTCCAATCACTTTGTTTTGCTTCCCCAGGCCCTTGGTGATAGCAGCTTCCTCTGACCTCTGATATCTTATTATTTTTTGTTTTCAGTTCTTAAACACCTAGTTAATGATGATATGCATCACATTTTCTCTGTTTAAATATCTGGTGGGCTTTCTATCTTATCACTTGAACCTGAATGATATAAGCACTGGCCAAGATGATCCGTTCCTCTGCCTGGAAGTCTTTGCAAGCTGGCTGTCCTGGGGCACCGCAGGTCTGCTCTGTTATCCATTTTGTCTTATTCTTTTCTTTCTTTTTTTCTTTTTTTTTTTTTGCTGGATCTTTCTTTCCTCCCATCCACTAACCCTCAGTATGGCTCAGGACTCACATCTCAGTTTCTTCCTTTCTTCTATCCATACTCACTCCTTTGATGATTTCATAGGATGTCGTGACTTTAAATACTAACTAGAATCTGATAAATTCAAAATCACTATCTCCAAGAAGGACCTCACACCTGAATTCCAGACTTGCGTCTTCAGCTGCCTAGTTCAACATGTAGATATCTAATAGAAATAACAGACATATCCAACTGATGTCCTGAGATTTCCTTCCAGATCTGTCCCTCTTGTGTTCTCACATCAGCAAATGGCTACAGTGCTCTCCTTCTGATGACCTAGAGCGGAAGGTCAACCAAGTAGAAAGTGTGTACATCACGTGAAGACTTCCTTTTGTGCTGATTACATGGGTTTTGCTGTACACATGAGGCAATATTATTTTTACTGTCCTTTCCTCACCCTCTTTATTCTATGCCCCTTTCCTCTAATTGGAGTAGTTAGAGCTAGAGGGTTGTTATTAGACTGAAAGTAATGGGGTCAGAGGCCAAGGAGTTTACCCTACCTTAAGCCAGAGACACTAAGGGGTCATGCATAGTGTTTAGTTTTAAAAGCTTACGGCAGTAACCTGCGTGATTTCCATTTTTTCCCAGTCCTGGAGAGGATAGCTAATTTTTATAGTAATTGCCACTGTTATTTCAGTATTCATCTTTGCTTATCCAGTCTTTTAACAATTATCTAACAAATTCCTTTTATAAAATAATTTCTGTGAAAATTGTTAATGCTTTTTCTTGTTTGTTTGCCTGACCGCTGGTTGTTTTAGCTGGGAACAGGACGCAGATATCCTGAATCTCATTTTGATACTTTCTTACTAATTGTTGGGAAATAGTCTTCATGGATATATCTTCTTCACCTGCTGCAATGTAGTTTCCTTTAAGGCAAATGCAAAATTTCCATTTCCATTTTATATCTCACAGTGTTGCTCAAATGTTATTCGATTGATTTAACAAAAGGAAAATGTAGCATGGCTCAAAAAATGTGTTACGTTAGTGAACTACCTGACCCAATGCCTTGCTCTCCTGGTGTGCACGCCTGTGCCTATGTGTGTGTATGTGTGCATGTAAGTGTTGTGTGTATGTGGTATGTGTGTGTGCCTGGTGTACGGGGTGTGTCTGTCATGTGTGTGACTTTATTTACATTGAGGTGTGCATCAAAGAGCAGGGGATAGAAGCTACTTTGATTTTGTGTTCCAAAATTTCTGTTTCATAATTCGCTCTCACTATACTTCATTCATGGCAAAGTAGGGGCCAAAATGGGTGGTAATAGTAGAGAATGCTATTTCTAAATTTATAATTGAAGTGAAGTATATTGCTTACTGAAACTAATGGGATACTGAAGTTACTCAGAACAGGCTATGATTGCTGTGTGTGCAGGGGGAGGGTAAGCTTGCAAGTAGAAAATGAAGGAGAGTGGGGTTGGTGACAGGTGCAGCTGGTGTAGGGTGAATAATGAAACAATAGACCATATAATTGGATGATGCACTGTTCTTGCTGCTGTGGATTATTGCTGCAGGCCCAGCAATGCACCATGCTGAACCTGCCTGCTGTGGAAGGAGAATAGGCAGCTGGCAATATAATGAAAATTTAGGGATACTGAAAAGTCCTTTCCCTTCTCCCAAAAGATGTCCATCACCAGCTTACTGATGTTGCTTGAAATGCATTTTTTTCTTATAATCTTTCAATTTTACATTTAAAAATAAAAACATTATGAATGGGAGAGGTACTCCTGATTCTCAGTAACTCTAAGGAGTAAATGAGTATATTTTTCAACTGTTTTTTATGTTTCTTTTTTTAGCATGAGACAGATACAATACAACAAAAATACACAGAAGCCAAAAGGAGAATCATTTGAAAAGTATTCATAGTTTTCAAAGGACCCAAGAATGGGAACCAGCTGAAATAAAAGAGTTGAACTTTTTCCAACACTTTCTTTTACTTCCACTAGTCTCTCTTTCTTTCTCTCTCTCTTTTTTTTTTTTTTTTTTTTGAGATGGAGTCTTCCTCTGTCACCAGGCTGGAATGCAGTGGCACGATCTTGGCTGACTGCAACCTCCGCCTCCCTGGTTCAAGTGATTCTCCTGCCTCAGCCTCCTGAGCAGTTGGGATTACAGGCACGCGCCACCATGCCTGGCTATTTTTTGTGTTTTTAGTAGAGGTGAGTTTCACCATGTTGGTCAGGATTGTCTCGATCTCCTGACCTCGTGATCTGCCCGCCTCAGCCTCCCAAAGTGCTGGGATTACAGGCGTGAGCCACCACGCCCGGCCTCTTTTTCTCTTTTTTCATATTCTTTGTTGTCTCTCTTCTGAACAGCTCCCTCCAAGTTTCAAATCTGTTTCAGATAGTCATGGCCACAAACTACCCACATTAAATACATTACAACTTCAGGTACCCAATTAATGAAGCCTACTCAGTTTTCATTTCAAAATTATGAAGAACACAAAAACAGAGGATCTTGTTATGCCATACACACATTCTTGGATATCAAGAGTGGCCAGGGTTGGGTCACACTGCAATAATCTAGAAGCCTCTACAGTAACCATGTGGTTGATGGTGCGGGGGTAATTCCAAGATCCCGGAACGATGAGACAGTGGCTGTTCACTAGAGTGACTACTGTATGTCAGAACGCTGTGCATACTATGCTGTGAATGGCAGTGCCGGTAGTGAGTCAGTGGGTTACTGTGCCCTGATGACCGGTAGCAGATTGTTCTTTCAGCAGTCACTGGTGGAGTAGCTTCCTCATGCTGAGCATTGTTGGCTACCGAGGATAAGAAGACTTGTACTCTCGTGTGAAAAGTGTTTTAGTGGGAGAATCACTAGAACCCAGGAGGCAGAGGTTGCAGTGAGCCGAGATTGTACCACTGCAGTCCAGCCTGGGTGACAGAGTGAGACTGTCTAAAAAAAAAAAAAAAAAAAAGAAAAAGAAAAAAAAAATCTAGTCTTTGATTGCACAACAGGGTGACTACAGTCAACACTAATTTATTGTACATTTGAAAATAACCAGGGCCGGGCGCGGTGGCTCACGCCTGTAATCCCAGCACTTTGGGAGGCCGAGGCGGGCAGATCACGAGGTCAGGAGATCAAGACCATCCTGGCTAACACGGTGAAACCCCGACTCTACTAAAAATAGAAAAAGTTAGCCAGGCATGGTGGCGGGCACCTGTAGTCCCAGCTACTCAGGAGGCTGAGGCAGGAGAATGGCGTGAACCCGGGAGGCGGAGCTTGCAGTGAGCCGAGATAGCGCCATTGCACTCCAGCCTGGGTGACAGAGTGAGACTCTGCCTCAAAAAAAAAAAAAAAAAAAAAATTACCAGAAGAGTATAATTGTATTGTTTGTCACACAAAGAAAGTATAAATGCTTTAGGTGATGGATACCCCATTTTCCCGATGTGATTATTACACATTGTATACCTGTATCAAAGGATCTCATGTACCCCATAAATCTATACACCTACTATGTGCCCACAAAAATTAAAAATAAATTAAAAATTAAAATTAATTAAACAAATAAAACAGCAGGAAAAAAAGTGTTTTAAGCCAAACATTCTTCAACAAGGCTCACCTTTCAAAATCTCGTTTTTCTTTTATTTGTTGAGACAGTCTTGCTCTGTCCCCAGGCTAGAATGCAGTAGCGCCATCTCGGCTCACTGCAATCTCCACCTCCCGGGTTCAAGCGATTCCCCTGCCTCAGCCTCCTGAGCCTCCCGAGGAGCTCGGACTACAGGCACACACCACCACGCCTGGCTAATTTTGCGTATTTTAGTAGAGATGGGGTTTCATCATGTTGGCTAGGATGGTCTCGATCTCCTGACCTCGTGATCTGCCAGCCTCGGCCCCCAAAAGTGCTGGGATTACAGGCATGAGCCACCTGTTACATTGATATGGCAATAATAGCATCTCCTGCCTGTCTCACAGAGCTTTTATTTTTAATTTCTCTTAATGCTTCTGATTTTAGAATATGTTTTATCTGATAGTAACATGCTACTTCAGACTTCTTATGCTTACCATTTCAGTGGTATATATTTTCCATCCATTGACTTAGAACCTGTATGTTTATATATGAAGTACATCAATGGTGACATTGTATAATTAGGCTTAGACTTTTGATTTATTCTGATAGTATCTGCCTTTAGTTGAAGAGTTTAGTTTATTTACATGGAACATAATTATGGATATGGTTGAATTAAGTCTATCATTTTACTATTTATTTCATTTTTGTCATTCCCCCATTTTTGCTCCTCTGTTCCATTTTCCTTCTTATTTTAGGTAATTTTACCATGTTTTTTAGAATTTTATTTTAATTTATCTGTTGGCTTTTTAATATGTATTTTTGCATCATTTTAAGTGGTTGCTTTAGGGATGACAATATGTATTTTAAAAAAAAAATCTTCATTTCTTCTTAACATTAACATCACTTCACATAACACGTAGAAGCTTTGCAAGGGCACATATCCGTTTGCCTTTTTCTCCATTTTTAAAATAAACCCATTTTTAGAGCAATTTTAGGTTACAGCAATATTGAGCAGAAGGTATAGAGATGTTCCATAGACTCTCTTCCCCACCCCACATGCATGCTTCCCCCATAATCAACATCCTCCACCAGAGTGGTGCATTTGTAATAACTGATAAACCTACACTGGCACATCGTTATCACCCAGCATCCATCACTTACATTAGGGGTCACTCTTGGTGTACATTCAATGGATCTGGACAAATGTATAATAAATGTACCCATCATTATAGCATCATACAGACTATTTCACTGCCCTGAAAATCCCCTGTGTTCTGCCTATTCCCCTTCATTCTTTATACTAGACTTCTCATTTATCTTACTTCCAGATTATTATATATCACCAAGACAAGAGTATAATTTTTGCTTTCAGTAGCACCATGTATTACAAAGAAATTAAGAGAAAAAAAATTTTCCTCTTGTTTAAAAATAATTGTTTGTATTTTTTCCCTGGATATTCAGCCTTTCTGAAGCTTTGTGTTTCATCCTGAAGCTCTGAGTTTTCATGTGGTATCAATTTTTCTATAGACTGAAACATCTTCTTCAGCATTCCCTCTGCTGTAAGTATGCTACAGATGAATGATCTCAGCTTCCTTTGGTCTGAAAATGCCTTTACTTCATCTTTATTCCTGAGTGTTATTTTTTTTCTAAATCAGCTATTCTGGTTTGACAGGGCTTTTGAAAAAATTCAACACTTTAGGCCAAGCGCAGTGGCTCACATCTGTAATCCCAGGACTTTAGGAGGCCAAGGCAGGTAGATCACGAGGTCAAGAGATTGAGACCATCCTGACCAACATGGTGAAATCCCATCTCTACTAAAAATACAAAAATTAGTTGGGCATGGTGGCATGTGCCTGTAGTCCCAGCTACTCAGGAGGCTGAGGCAGGAGATTTGCTTGAACCCAGGAGGTGGAGGTTGCAGTGAGCCGAGATCATGCCACTGCACTCCAGCCTGGTGACAGAGCGAGACTCCATCTCAAAAACAAAAAACAAACAAAAAACTTCATCACTTTGAAGATATTATTTTGTCTCCTGACCTCTATAGTTTCTCATAGAGATGTCAGTGCTAATTGAAACCATTACTTTCCTCTAAAAATGTGTTATTTTTCTCTGATGACTTCCAAGATTTTCTCTTTCTCTTTGGTTTTAGCAGTTTACTCTAATATGCCTAAGATTTTTTTTGTTTTTTTTGTATTTATTTTGCTTGGGGTTCATTTAACTTCAGGATTCTACAAACTTTAAGTCTTTCAACATATTTGGGGAGTTTTCAGTCATTGTGTCTTCAAACATATACTGTATCTGCCTCATTTCTCTCTGATGAGACTGTAAGCATGCATATCTTAGAATTTTTATTATTATCTTGTAGGCTTCTATGTCTCCCTTCCTCTTCTTCTTCCATCTTCTTTTTAATTTATTCTCTTTTTCACTTTGGAGAATTTCTATTAATATAACTGTTAGGTCACTGACTATTACTCTAGCATTTCTATTCTACCTAATAATCTTCCTTCCTTCCTTCCTTCCTTCCTTTCTCTCTTTCTGTTTTTTCTGATACTGTGTTTTTGAGTTCTTAGAATTTCCACTTGATCCTTTTATTATAGTTTCCATGTCACTGCTGAGATTTTCTATCTTTTCATTAATTAAGATAATTTTTTATGTCATTGAACATAGATATACAGCTGCTTTAAAGTCCATATGTGATATGAATTTCCACATGTGCTGAGATTGTTCTCGGTTGATTATCATTTCTTTTGCATTTTGGTCATGTTTTCTTGGTTATTTATAAGCCATGCACTTTGGGATTGCAGCCTCATCATTGTGTATGTTACGTTGTGAAGTCTCTGAATTCAATTGTATTCCTGAGAACCGGGTTGTTGTTTTTTTGTTTTTGTAAAAAATTAATTTTGTTGGTGTCAAACTGCACATCATGGCTCTTGGGCCACCTCAAATCCCAGTTCTGATCTTTTATTTTTAGCAAAGTTGCTAGCAGCCTTCCCAACACATGCACAATTCAGAGAACAGCCAGCAATTTGGGTAGAGTTTATACACAAAATTGGGTGCATCTTCTCTCTGACTATTCCTTTCAGGATAATTCTCCTTTACTTCCCAGTAACTTTAGTAACCACAAAATCTGTTCTCTGCTTACACAGCTAAAAAAAGAAATGCAGCAACCATAGTTGTCCTGCTTGGCCCTAACTTTGGCTTGCCCTCAGGCTAAAAGCCACAAAAATGGGTAACTCATGCTTGCCATTCCCTTCTTCAGAGTTTCAACTCTTGTATAAAAACTGCCTGATATTGTTTACTCTGAAGTCTCCTAAGATCATTGCATGTGTGTGTATTAATCAGTTTATAGTTATTGTCTTCAGGGCAGTTTCAGAAGGATCTGAGCCATGCTTCAGGCAAAATCTTACACATAAAAGCTCACAATGTACAAATAAAAATCTTCTCTACTTTCTTCATCTTTCTTCCTTCTCAGAGCTTTCTGTGGTGTCACCTTACAGGGCTGAAGGGAAGGTTTTTAGCATTGTGTTTTTATGCTGCAAGAGACCAGAGAGATTATGTTCCACATTTTCTTATTTTTCCACCAACATTGATCTACTTTATTATCTTCCTCCCTCATTGGAAACCATTTTCTGAAAGCATTTTTATTTTTCTTTCTATAAACTCTACTCAGTTTGAAGGAAACTCCTCCTCCTCCTCCTCCTCTTCCTCCTTCATATTCTATTGATGAAGCGTCTAAGTTTCTTATCAGCAAAAGATTGCCAATCTTACCATGTCAGGTTGGCAAAATGTCAAACTAAAGACAATGACTGGCTATTCTAATTTGTCCGTGAAGGTTTATTACAGGTACTGTTGGCATTTCTTTTTGATAGGCATAATAAACTTTGATCTCACTTCAAAAATCCCAGTTTGAGAACCAGTTATGCATTACATTTCCTTAATTTTGGAGGAGGAATCTGTGATGCACAAAGGTAAAAGACTTTCTTAAATCACATAGTATTTCAGAAAATGTTGGTATGGTCTAGTAAGTATGTAGATGCACAAAATTTGATGTTCAACAACACATTGTTCTGGTACTTTAGAAAAGACTCAGAAATTTTTTTAACTACAAAAAAGTTAAGTTCATAAAATTGTAAAACAGTTTAATAAATATATCTACTTCATAGGGATAGTAATAAAACATTATTTAATTAAAAATTAAATAATAGCAATAAATGTAAAGAAAAGACCACATGTCAGTGGATATTATGCATTATTACCTTTATTGTTCCTATTATTCCTCCATTTATTCAACAAACATTTTGTTAGAAGATAGGTACTATATAAGATGAATTAAACATAATTAAACAGAGTTCTTGCCCTCAGAGAGCTCACAAGTTAAAGGATAATCTATGCACACATGCAGTTTACTTTATTATAATTTTATAATAGCACAGGTGGAAAAATGCACAAGGCATGAAGGAAACATAAAAAACCTAATGCAGCCTGGGAAGATTAGGTAAGATTTGCGTAGAAATTAAGATGCAAAGAAAGAGCTTGGGTTATTCAGGTAAAGAGGCAGGGGATTCCCAGAAGAAGGGAGAAGTATGGGCAAAGGCATTCAGGCAAGTAAGGGTCTTGAGTGCAGTGATTGGCAATCTGAGCAGGGCTGTTGGAGGGTGCATTGCAAAGCAGCAAGTGAGGAACAATGAGAGGGCTGGGAGCTGCCTCATGAAGTCCTTATGTGATGTGGAGTTTCTATCTTTTCATTTATTAAAGGAAATATATTTTTTACTTCATTGAACATAGTAACACAGCCACTTTCAAGTCCATATATGATGTTAATTTCAGCATGTCATACTGAGATTTTTCTCAGCTGGTTTTCATTTCTTTTGTGTCTTGGTCACGTTTTCTTGGTTATTTATATGCCAATCTCATGCACTTTGGGTTTGTAGCCTCATCATTGTGTATGTTATGTTGTAAAGTCTCTGAATTCAATGATATTTCTTGCAACTGTGGCATTGTTTTTGTTTTAGTAGAAAATTAATTTTGTTGGTGTCAAACTGCACATCATGGCTCTTGAGCCACCTCACATCCCAGTTCTGATCTTTTATTCTTAGCAGAGTTACTAGAAACCTCCCCCAAAAGTGCTTGCACTTTTCCTATATGTAACATTGACCTATGCATGACCTTCCAGCTTGCATTTGTTTATATGTTAAGTGGAGATATTTAAACATTTTTTTCACAGTGTCTTAGACTGCTTTTATTTATTTCCTAGTTGATTATACAATTTCAGTCCTAATTTTGTGATGGAAGTGGGACCCAAATGTTAGCATGTCTAATAAAATCAAGGTTCCTCAGTCCTTACAGGCAGAAGCTGAGGATTCACTCATGCTGGAGGTGTAGGGAAAGAGCTCTGTGTAACTTACTCCATATAAATGATGTCCTGTGGAGTTAGTTAGACTTCAGGCTGCAACGTTCACACAGAACCTGGTAACCCTCAAGGTGTTGGGCAAAGCATAGTTAATACAAGAGTGCATCAAGAAAAGATGGTAGAGAACATTCAGCATGAAACAGCTTCTTTTCCAGTTTTTCCTGCTAAGGTTCTCTTCAGCCCTTTCATTCATCTTGTAACTTAATCAGTAGAATTGAGTAATTATGTTAAAGGCGAAGGAAAAGACTAATATGAGATTACTGCACAATACTTTGTGGGACAGAGGCATCTGATCATCAAAAAAAGTTTCACAAATGATTCTGAAGACCAAGTCATAAGCCACTGTGGCTTTATAAGCCAAGGCAAACCATCACTTGTAATAAGAAGTCATCAGGAGATTGTGATATGTGTTGGGTTATATTTTTACAAGATTATGCTGGCTGTTTTGGTGAGAATATGATTTAAGGCAGCTGGAAAAGACTCAGAGAATATAGTTGAGAGGCTCTCATACACTTGGTGAGACATAATGGAAATTTGCACTAGGGGAATAGTAATGTCATTGAGAGAAGTTCATCAGAACAGAATATGTTTTGTTGGCAAGATTGGCTAGACTTGGTGATGGATTGGATGTAGGTATGAGAGAAGCAGTAAGGAAGGATAATGCCTTAAATAGGGATGTGAACAATTTATTGGAGAGAAGAAAAAATTAGGGAATAATAATTGTGAAGGGTTATTCAAGAATTCTGCTTTAGAAAATTGAAGTTTGAGATATCAACTAGACTTATAAGAGGGGATTCAAATAGGCATTACAGAGTTCAGGAAAGATCTAGAGATAAAGATTTGTGCCATAGACGCTCATAGGTGGAGTTTACTATTATGAAATGGAATGAACTTACCCATTGAGTACATAGCATATGTTAAGCCCTTGCTAAACACTATGAATATATTGTTAAACAGGTGTTAAGGGAGAGTCAACCTCTGTAAAATATTTGAAGAGATTTAGTCTGAGCCAAATATGAGTGACCAATGGCCCAAGTCACAGCCTCAAGAGATCCTAAGAACATGTGTCTAAGGTGGTTGGGCTACAGCTTGAATTAATACAATTTAGGGATAATACATCAATCAATACATGTAAGATGTACATTGGTTTGGTCCATAAAGGAGGGACAACTCAAAATATGTAGACCAAGGAGAGAAGAGGACTTAAGATAGAGACCTAAGATTTGCTGGTAATTAAAGGTCAAGCAGGAGAGGAAGGGGAAAAACCAATCAAAGGAACGCTGGGGAAATTGTTAGGGAGGTCACATGAGAATCAGGAGAACTTGGCATCACACAAAAAAAGAGAAGGAATCATGTAAGTGATTGGATAAAAGTGGTCAAGTTCATTAAGAAAAATCAGATTCAATTAGAGAAGAGGTATAGAAGTTTACAGATAGAAAAGACCTTTGGAGAAGAGAGGTTATCCAAGTCTAGTGAGTAATGAAAAGTTTAGAGAAGAACTCAAGACCTCTTCGAAGACATATCAACAAAGAGACTAGAATAATGCAAAAGGAAGACACTATAAAGGCATTTCCTCAAGGAGAGAGTGTTGTGTGTCAAATCCAACAGAAGGGTCCAGTCTGAGACCAGGAAAACAGTCATCTGATTTGATATTTGGACCTTGGATAGCTACTGTGATATGGCTATTTAAAAAACCACAGGAGATGCAGATAGTATTAGGTTGGCATATATCATAGGACTGAAGTGGGAACAGGATGGCAGAGGAGGAGACAGCTCGGAAAGCAGAATATGAGCCATCCTACTACTCACATGGGGGGACAAGAGGCACCATAGTTAGTTTCTCTAGTTCACACTGTCTCCTCAGTGTCCACCAGACAAATATATTGACGCAGCTGCATACATTCACATGAAATGAAATGAACTGGTATATTTACTCTGGGGTAAATCTGAACAGTTGCTGCTATGATGCCTAGCATACAATAGTAATTAACTACACAGACTCTGAAACCAGGTTGACTGATCCAAATCCCAAGTCTGCCACTAACCACTTATATGAAATCTTCTCTGTGCCTCTGTCTTATCTGCGTAATAGACACAATAGTGCCTAACTCTTATTTTTATTATTATACTTTAAGTTCTGGGATACATGTGCAGAACGTGCAGGTTTGTTACATAGGTATACATGTGCCATGGTGGTTTGCTGCACCCATTAACCCATCATCTACATTAGGTATTTCCACTAATGCTATCCCTCTCCTTGCCCCCAACCCCTTGACAGGCCCTGGTGTGTGATGTTCCCCTCCCTGTGTCCATGTGTTCTCATTGTTAAACTCCCACTTATGGGTGAGAACATGTGGTGTTTGGTTTTCTGTTTCTGTGTTAGTTTGCTGAGAATGATGCCTAACTCTTAATTGTCAGAATTCACTGTTTTTAATAATGTACAGAAATGTCTATAGTTGAGGGGTTACTGTTGTTGACCAGATGAAAGACCATAAGCATTATTTGAATACTTGTTAAATACATTCTAAAACCTCATTATTCACAGAATTATTTCATTAGACTAAATATAACATATAGACTATCATCCCCATAATAATGCATATAAAAGCATAATTAACAAGCAAGATGTGCTCAGGGAAAATATACATATATATATATATATATATATAGTTGATGGTGATATATATATATATATATAGTTGATGGTGATATATACATATATAGTTATATATAGTATATAGTTTGGAGGTAGATAGGTAAATAGTTGAGCGACAGAGAGAGAGATCATTTTCAGTTCATTTCTGGCTCAGGACAATACAGATGTCAAACTGTTGACCTTTGAAATTCTCCTATATGTATGAAATTCTTTCTTGTATGCCATTTATCTATGCTGCAGTAATATCCTTCACTAAGTACAATCAAAGCTTTTCTTGTTCACCCAAAGACCTATGGTGTTTAGACAGCTCTGCAGAGCTGTGCTTGGCCTCGCAATAACTTAGGAATTTAGGCTCTTTCACCCTGCAACTATACCATCTCAAAATACATTCTCCAAGGTCACTGCTGAAGATTAGGAAAGGAATGGACAGGGTGCGCCTTGGCTCTAGAAATAGAGATGACATACAAATAATACACATCCCTTTTCAGGATAAAATTATGTGGACCCAATATAACTGCATGGAAGACAGGGAAATGTAGAGGAATGCACCAGTATTTTGTGAGCTTAACCTCCCTCTACCATCTGTTTTTACTCATTTTTCTTCTAACGATTCATTATTGTTTGTGGAATAATGGGTGAATGAAGAAGGAGGAAATGAAAGAAGAAAGGAAATGATAATCTGCATTCTTTTGCAAACATCAGGAAAGTTTGAAATTGATGTATATCTATGAAGTATATTAACTCTGTAAGTTTGAAATTGATGTCTATATATGTAGCATGTTAACCGTATTCCTTCCTTGTCTGAAAGAGCTTTGGATCAAAGGACACTGATAAGAACAGAAACCTAAATAGTTAGTGTTCACATCTTTCCCCTTTCAAAATGTTTTCTTTAGTCTTTGAAGGCGATGAGATTCTAGATGAGCCATCAGATTTGGAACTACAAGACCTATCCAGGTTGAATCAGGCCACTCCTAGGAGGCTGGCAGTAGAGCAGACACAGTTATTCCTGACCCAAGTAACTGCTCACCTATGGGCACTTCTGGAAGTCAAAATGAAGTACAAATTGACTAAGATTAGAGAATTGGGGTTTTAGGGCTATACAAGGTAGTTGGTCCAAGAGAATCAAGACAAGAAAGGATGAACCAGGGCTCAGGGAAAACTCATAAATGTGTACAAGATAGGCAGAATGGAATCAAAGCTGGAGCGTATAAGGCATGGAAGAAGAGAGGGTGCAAATCCAAGGACCTAGAAGAAACTTTGCAGGAGAGTTGAGAGTTCTCTTTCAGTTATCTTTTATTTCTGGCTATTTCATACTTTGAATAACTTCAGTCTTTCTGGCCTGAGGCAAAAGCCCCTGTTATGGGACTTGTCCATGCAGCGGTGCTTTAAAGAAGAGGCCCTTAGAAAGAAAGAATTGAGTTACTGGCATAGGATGTAGCAGTTGGCATCTTATTCACCCCAAGCCAATACTTAAAGAATATGAAAGGAAATATTTCTTCAAGAAGGGTAAGTTTCACATTTGTATGACTCGTACCAAGGATTGAGCACACTTTCATACTCTTTCATTGATTAATAACTCATTCATTTGACACATTTGACTCATTCATTTGACACACCTGTTTAACAATATATTCATAGTGCTTAGCAAGGGCTTAACATAGGCTACGTACTCAAACAGGTGTCAATGAAGAGTCAACCTTTGTAAAATATTTGAAGAGATTTAGTCTGAGCCAATTATGAGTGACTAATGACCCGAGTCACAGTCTCAAGAGATCCTAAGAACATGTGTATAAGGTGGTTGGGCTACAGCTTGAATTCATACAATTTAGGGAGGCATAATACATCAATCAATACATGTAAGATGTACATTGGTTTGGTCCATAAAGGTGGGACAACTCAAAGTGGGGGCTTCCAGGTTGTAGAAGGATTCAAGGATTTTCTAATTGGCAATTGGTTGAAAGAGTAAAGTTATCGTCTGAAGACCTAGAATCAATAGAAGAGAGTGTCTGAATTAGGATAAGGGG
Source organism: Homo sapiens (assembly GCF_000001405.40). NCBI lineage: Eukaryota > Metazoa > Chordata > Mammalia > Primates > Hominidae > Homo > Homo sapiens. The sequence continues at coordinate 137,968,674 of NC_000008.11, read as the reverse complement.
TTGTGGAGCTCAAGGTTTCCATTTTGCAGATGAAGCCTGCAGATGAAGATGTAGCAGGCTTCAGAGAGTATAGATTATGATTGTTTTTTTTTAAAGTGCCTAATTATCCCCTAAATCATACCAAAGATTGAGCACTCTCTCATGCTCTCTTCATTACTTCAATACATCATTTATTTGACACCTAGTATTGAGTACCTAGCATATGCTAAGCCCTTGCTAAGGTTTTTTATTGAGGAAAAAGCCCCGGAAAGGGAAGGGGATTCTCTACAGAATGTAGTTTTTCCCTGCAAGTGACAGCTTTGCAGAGCTATTTCAAGATATGGCAAAGAAACATATTTGGGGTTAAAATATTTTGATTTCCTTCATGACCTTTCATGTGAGGCTATGCCAGAGTTACATTGCAAAGTGAGCCACATTATCCTGGGTTGAATAAAACCCCTCTGATGAGACTTTATGTTTGTAGGGCATGCCAACCAAAAGAGACAAAGTCTGTAAAATATTTGAAGAAATTTATTCTGAGCCAAATATGAGGGACCATGCCTGGGACACAGCCCTCAGTAGACCCTGAGAACATGTGCGCAAGGTGGTTGGGGCACAGCTTGCTTTTATCCATTTTAGGAAGACCTGAGACATCAATCAAATGCATTTAAGACATACATTGGTTCTGTTTGGTAAGCTGAGACAACTCGAAGCAGCGAGGCTTCCAGATTATAGACAGATTTCAAAACTTGATGACTGGCAATTGTTAAAACAGTTATTGTCCATAGAAAGGAATGTTTGGGTTACAATAAGGGGTTGTGGAGACCAGCGTTTTATCATGCAGATGAAGCCTGCAGGTAGCAGGCTTCAGAGAGAATAGATTGTCAATGTTCCTTATCAGACTTAAGGTCTGTGTTGATGTTAAATGCTGATCAGCTTTTCCTGAATTCCAAAAGCAAGGAGGGCATAATGAGGCATGCCCACCCTCACCCTCTCATGTCATGGCCTGAACCAGCCTTTCAGGTTAAATTTGGAGTGCCCTGGCCAAGGAGGGAGTTCATTTAGATGGTTGGGTGGGGGCCTTTGGATTTTATTTTTGGTTTACAGGCGTGACTACCCAGGCCTTTTAGATAGGAATTTGGAGAAGGGAAGAAAAAGGTCAGAGTTTAGTCCTAACAGGATACACACGAACTCTGCCCTGTAAGAACCTGTGCATTCCGAGGCAGATAGTAAGCAAAGGACATTGAATACCTAAAAGACATGGCATGAAGCAACACTAGGTTTAATCATGCTATGATTAGAAAAAAACAAAGCAGTTCATTTGGATTAGAGATTTGTTAAACACATTCTGTGATGGACAGACAATAAAGGGGGCCTGTGTGATCCCACTTCCTGCTATTCATGCCTTTGTATACTCCCTTTCCATGAAGGGAGACTTGTGGTTCTCTTCTCATCAACAGAATGTGCAAAGATGAGGCAAGGCTCTTGTGATCATCCCATAGAAAACTCTGCCTTGTTAGTGGACTGTCTCTGCTATCTTGTTCTTGCTAGCTGTGAAGAGGAAAGCTGACATGAGTCCTACAGCTACAAGAATTGAATTCTGTCAATAACCTTAGTGAGCCTGAAGCAGATTCTTCCCCAGAGTTGAGGCTCTCGTGAGAACTCAGTCCTGTATGATACCTTGATTATCATATTGTGAGAGCCAAAGTGGGGCACTCAACCAGCCCTGCCTGGGCCTTTGACCTATTAAAGCTCTAAGATAATATGTGTTACTTTAAGGTGCAAAGTTTATGGTACCTTGTTATGCATCAGTGGAAAACTAATACACAAATATATGTTGAATGCCTAACTCTGTGGTAGGCACTGTATAAGTAACCAGAAAATAGTGATAAAGAATGAAGTAATCCACACTCCCGACCCCCAGCCCTAGTTGTTGCTCTTAGCCTGGTTGGGGCCATATGCCTATAAATGCAATGACAGGACATGTGAGAAGTGTTGGTATGGTTTTATGATAACTTGAAGCAGGGAGCTTCCATCTCTCCCTTGTGGGGTCTAGACAGTCTCATACTAAAGAAAACATGTGAACTGAATCTTGGAGAGTGAGGGAGTGTTTACTGGAAACTGAGGACAAGGAGGGCACCCAGCAGATGGCACGCATTTGCAAAGGCTCAGAGGTGTCAAAGACTGCTCATACTTCTCCACCATTCTAGAGTGAGAAGAAGCCATAGAGATCTCTAAGAAGGAAGATAAAACCCAACAGCCTTTATTTATTGAATGGCTGTGTGTATTAAAAACAAATAAAACTATCTGATTATATTCCATTTCAGTCTCTCACCTTTTCCTGAGTTACACAACTTTTGCCAGTGTGTGGCAGTGTCAACAGAGTTATTATCTAGCAAAAATTACCACCCACAATGGGAATTTCTGCTGTTATAAAACAAAAGCAAACTTCAAAGGCGTGGGGGTGGTGAGAGTGTGTGTGAGAGAAAGCATTTTGCAATTTTTTTTTTTCTGGCAATGTTCTTTTTATGCTAATATCCCATAGTTTCCTACCTTAATGGCCCCATTAAATGCCATGAGAGTATTTGCAAAAGAAAAGTGGTACCTGGAGATGAAGATGTAAAGTTACTAAGTGCATTTTGAGGAACAGAGAAGATTTCTCAGGAAAGGAGTTAATGTTCCAGAGAAAGCTTTGTTTATCCGACAGACTTTATAACTGCACTGTTTTCTTCACTCAGCACCTTAATTCTCAACCACCATAAGGCTGTCCAGATGTTTAAAATAAAAAGCCCATTTGGGTATTATCGGAGATTACTGGGAAGAGATAGACAGACATGATGTTTAGCTATGCAACATAAATTCCCTGAGTATGTGCCATCCAGCAAACTCTATATTCTCACCCTGCTGAAAAACTGAAATAATAAATCATAAAAACGAGACACAGGGCTCTGAACACAATTTACCTCTAGCCAGCTGCCATCACGGGAGGAAGGAGTGAAGGTAGAGATGAAGCATGTGAATGGTGCCTTTTCCTTTGCGCAAGGCCTGTTGGACAGGTCTTTTCCCTAATCTGCCTTGGAGAATCTCTGTGTTGTCCCTGACTTTCCTATTTAGTCTTAACATCAGCCTCAACTAGATACGTATTCTGTTCCAATAAGCTTGGCCAATTAATTAATATTTGCCAGTTACCTTTTTTTTTCATTCCTATACCATCATTTATTTTATTCCTTTTACTCACTGTGCCCATCTTCCCCACGTTTGTCAAATTATACTTATCCTTCAAGGTCTTGCTTGAGACTACAGTCTTTTTGAAGTCCTCTAGAAAGGCACAAACCAAAAAAAATCTCTCCATGTTCCCACACTATTTTGTCTCAGTCACAAGAAGGCTCTTGTCAACTACTCCTTGTATGAGTGATCATCACTACTTAACTCCTTAAGACAAAATTTCTTGAGAACAAGAATCTTGCCTTTTATTCTGTATAGTTCCGATAATGATATCAGCCTTCCTTTATCCATTTGCCCATCATGGTGACTTCTTTTGAGTCTTCATTCAGATATTTGCCATGTCAGTGAATTTACAGATCATTTTGGATGTTGTACTTATCATTGTGATGCTAAGAGGTAAGTGTTATTGTTGTTGTTGTTTTCCAGATAAGAAAATTTGCAGATATTAAAGTTTTTACCCAAGGTCACACAGCTAGTGAAGAGCAGGGCAAGGATTTGAGCCTAAGGTACAACACAACATTGCACCGTAGACCGTTTCAAACCCAGCACAGTGGCTTGCACGTGGTGGATGTTGATGAAACTGTTATGAAATGAATGATAGTTGATGTAAGCGTAAATGAGGATGTGCATGAAATCTTTATTCATTTCTGGCGTGGTATAGCTCATCATTAATTATCTTGTCATTTAATGTTTTTATCACTGCCTAGATATTTGTTCTTGTTGACGAGTGAGTGATCCGGATGGCCGTATCTCTGGGTTGGGTTTCAACTCTGTATTAACTTGGGCAAGTCACTTGAGTCCTTTATGTCTCCATTTTGCTAATTATTAAGATGGGCATTACCCCTAAGCTTAACTAAGAGATGCTGGATGCCAATGATAATGCTATGCCAGTGACATAAAAACTGCTAGAAAAATATTAAGAGAGGAAAATGAGAGAGAGAAATCAGTTATTAATGTTCTTTGAAGAGGAGTGTCATTTATTCTCAGAGCAGAAGGACTGTTGATCAATTCTAATCAAGCTGCTCTCTGAAAAGTCTTTGTGATGAGGCTGATCTCCTTAATCCTTGGTTGACTTGCTTGTGAATCTGACAGCTCACTCAACTTTCAACCATTTATTGAATGGGCCCAGTGGACATAGGTCTTTTGGGCATTTGGGAGGAAAGTGTTTTAGAAAGAAAAATAAATTTCAAGCCAGGTGGCTGATAAAATGGGGTTCTAGCCCAGGTGTACTGCTAAGTAGCTCCATGACTTCTTAGCCTCTATGCCACCATCTCTTCATCTTCACCGAAACAATCAATGTACCATCATTTCAGTACTGATTTTCTTTTCTTTCTTTCTTTTTTTTTTTGAGATGGAGTCTTGCCCTGTCACCAGGCTGGAGTGCAGTGGCATGATCTCAGCTCACTGCAACCTCCCCCTCCCAGGTTCAAGTGATTACCCTACCTCAGCCTCCTGAGTAGCTGGGACTACAGGTGTGTGCCACCACGCCCAGCTAATTTTTTGTGGGTTTTTTTGTATTTTAGTAGAGATGGGGTTTCACCAAGTTGGCCAGGATGGTCTCGATCTCCTGACCTCATGATCTGCCCTCCTCAGCCTCCCAAAGTGCTGGATTACAGGCATGAGCCACCAGTACTGATTTTCTTTGTGTGTACGTTCACTATTGAATTCCTAGTAATTCTGTTATTGCCACTTCTTTACAAACAGATGGCTACTAATAAGAATGTTCCTGTCCCTTACCTGTAATTCCTAATTACACAGCATAAATACAAATTTAGCTTTAATTCAATTAAGTGGTAATGAGGTGAGGAAGTAATACTTGAACATATTACTGTAGTTCAGGCTTGTAAGCAATGGATAATATTTATATTCCATTAGATTCTATGAGGCATTTTCAAAATCTTTTAAAATGCCCTCAAAATACTCTGGCTGTAATAGCATATTAAAAGCAAGTGCTCAGAGAAAAGCATATATATACATCTTAGAGGTATCTAAATTTAAGTCACTTTTGAGCTCCAAGGCATTGAAAAATTAAAATATACACATGTGTATATATGTGTATATATACAAAATAAGCATTATAATATATTAATAACATACATAATTATATGTTATATTATTATAATATATACTATATTATAAAAATCATTTAAATATATGTATTTATATAAATCTGTAGTGATCTTGAATAACTTATTCCATTTTTCTGAGGCTCATTTTCCTTATGTATAAAATAGGTAAAATAAAATATACATTTTAGGACACCTTTTCCTTTCACACCATGTCGTGCCTGCCATGTGGACAACTCCAATTATCTGTGATAACCTTTGGACCCCACATGAAATCCCCAATAAATCTTTAATTGACCCAGTTTGGGGTGGGTGTTGTATCCACCTTTAGTCCAGTGAGCATAGCTGGATTCGAGCTTCGTGGCATCAAGGGCTGCCCCCTCTAGAGCATGTGTGTTTCCAACCAAGTTAAAATGAAAGTTGGATCTGTTTGGAAAGTCTACCTGGCATACCTATTACAACATCTATTATATTTTCATTCTCTACATGAAGAGTGAGATTACACTTTACTCACCTTTTAGTGCATGCCTGGATGACCATGCTCAGGGTTTTGTACAAATTAAGTGCTTAATTAATCATTTCTTTCTTGGATTAAATGAGTAACAAGCAAGGCAAAGAATTTCTGATAAGATCATTATCTTGGGAGTTATGGACTGAATTGTGTCCCTCCAAAATTCAATGGTTGAAGCCCTAAACTGCCATGTGATTGTATTTGAAGAAAATAAATGTGTCTTATTGAAGCCATCCAATCTGTGCTCCTTTGTTATAGCAGCTGTATTAGTCCATTTTCATGCTGCTATAAAGAAATACCGGAGACTGTGTAATTTATAAAGGAAAGAGGTTGAATTGACTCACAGTTCAGCATAGTTGGGGAGGCCTCAGGAAACTTACAATCATGGCGGAAAGGAAGGCAAACATGCCCTTCTTTACATGGCAGCAGAAGAGAGAAGAATGAGAACCCAGAACCCCTATAAAACCATCAGCTCTCACGAAAACTTACTATCATGAGAATAGCATGGAAGAAACCACCCCCATGATTCAATTACTTCCCACTTGGTCCCTCCCATGACACCTGGGGATTATGGGAACTACAATTCAAGATGAGATTTGGGTGGGGACATAGCTAAACCATATCAGCAACCTTTAAAAACTAACATACTGGACAAAGGGTTCAGCTAAATATGGTTTATTAACAGAATCCAACCAGGTTAAAAGAGAGGAGAAGAAAGAGTAATCAGGGTTACTGCCAAAGTCCTACTTAGTAAGTCATAATTTACATATAGAAGCAAAAATAGGTGTTTGTAAGATGATAAATTTATACATTCATTTACTCAGTAAGTAGTCACTAAGCCCCTATTTGTAAACTGCTAGGGGAATGAGCCCCCCATTTTTTATAGCATACTATACTGGTATACTGCCAGACATTATGACTGTGTTGCTTCCCCTGGCTTTCCAGAAACCTCATCCACTGACTGAAGATGCTCCTGCAAGTCTTCATCGCAGGAGACAGCAGTGCCCAAGTGCATCCTGAAGCTCTCATTCTGGCCTTTTGCTTCCTCCACTTCCTCAGCCCCAACCAACTGCACTTCCATTTGTATTTTCATTACATTCTCCCCACCACATCTTAAAATCTCTTATCTAGAACTGCTAACAACTAAAATGTCAAGCAAATGTCTCCCTCTCTGAGCGTAATCTGCCTTTCCAGTCATCTCCCTCCTTTATATGTACCATGGGCAATGAGACATTAGTCCCATTATTTCTCATGTTTCTCCCTCTGGGTAATGCTTCGTACTCTTTTTCCTTCCTCCCTAATCCGAAGCCTTGGCCAGTTCATCTGAGCTGTGTCCTTTCTCATTAATTCTCTCTTCACTTCCTTAGCATCAATCTCTTTCTGTCTTTACTGGCCCACAAAATTCCAAACATAGGTCAGTAGCAAAACATATTTATTGTGTTTACACTTCAATGGCTGCTGAACAAAATAATGCAATTCTGGATATTGAGGCCAAGCAAAGGAATATCTTAAATCTTATCTGAGTCTTCAGTGATATGTGTTTGTATAGGCTCCTGTTTTCCGTAAAGATTCTTAACAATTACTTGGGACACTTCTCTGGAAATGAGCAGCGATCGCCTGGTCACAGTGAATAAAGTGAACTATTCTTGGTATTACTTTCTCTCCTGCCTCCTCATCCAATCAATCAGTAAGTTCTTGAATCCTTCCATTTATCTTTATCTGCAATGGCCACTTTTTCTAAACCACCCTTCTTCTCCTACTGGAATACTGTAACATCCTCCTAATCTCCCTGTTTCCATTTTAGCCAACATAGGATCCATTACACTCAGCAGCAGTAACCAAGGCTCCAAAATGCAAGCTATTCATGGCCACTCCTTCAACACTCTTATGTCTTCCTGTTGTGCTATTTTTTTAAAGTGTTTTTTCCCTCTGGCCTAAGAAACTATACATTTCTACATGATTGTCCCCAGTCTATTTGTTAATCATCATTTGTTCCATTACCTCCCCTGCCTATGTTGCTTTGAAACTGTTTATTTTAATTTAACTCAGCATTTTATCTTTCTCACTTTAGGAAAATAATCGTTGCCATCTTTTTAAAATCTCACCTCACATGTTACTTCCAGACAGAGATCTTCCTAGACTACTCAATTTGAAGTGACTTTCACTCTGATTTCTCTATCTGAATCTCCTTTTGTGTTTTCTTATTATAATCCTTCTATATTATGTATTTGCTTATGCGATTTAATTTCTTACCCTACTAGAAAGTGAAAGTCTGAAGTAATAGGAAAAACATTGTTTTTTATTCACTTGTATATTTTTTGTGCCTAGCACAAGTAGAATTTTATGTTCATTTTCTGAATGAATAAGAGAGCATGAGAAGTGGAAGAGAGAGAGAAAGGAAGAAAAAAAGAAGCAGAAGAAGAAACAGAGGGAGGAGGAGGAGGATAAAGAACAGGAGGAGAAAGAGGAAGAAGAGAAGGAAGAGGGAGTGGGAGAGAGGAAAGAGGGAAGAAAACCTCCATCTTGTAGATGAAGATGCTTGGAGAAGGGAAAATTGAATGACTTATTTCCAGACCAGATAAAAGATGAATGATTTTTACTCCGTTCGTGGTTCGGGTAGAATGAGTTGTATGTTTGAGACAGGGAGTCTTTAGATAACCTATTTGCCTACTTAGCTCTCGCAACAGCATGGGAGTATCTCAGTTTGAAGCTTGGTTAATCTCACCACTTCTCCCCCTGCCCATAATCTCCGTGATCTGCAACACACAACAAGGTGAGAGGAGTCAAGCCTGGCTCCAAGTGTGTATGCTTTCTTATGGCACCCATCATTCTCACATCATTGGCCGATGAGGTTAATGCTAAGCTCTGCATATACTTTGTCTTAGCACCCTTCTCCCTCCTAAGGTTGTACTTGTAAAACATCTTGTGAATTTTCTCCCATCTGCATATGCTCCCAAGAATTATCTACATGCTGTTTTTTATTCCTATTTTAGTCAACATGAGGCAAAGCCATGACTAAAATCTTAGCTTTACGTGTTCATGCAGTTAGCACATAAGCCCTACAGTGTTCTTGATGCTGAGATACAAGATGGCCAAGTGCATTACAGGAGGGGCGGGGGGAGAGACAGAGAGAAAGAGAGATATGGGAATTGGCTCACACAATTATGAAAGTTGAGAAGGCTCACCATCTGCTTTCTGCAAGCTGGCAAATCATGAAAGCTTCTGCGATAGTTCAGTCCAAATTCAAAAGCCTGTGAACCAGGGGAGCTGGGGGTGTAACTCTGAGCCTAAGTCCGAAATCCTGAGAACTAGGAGCTCCAATGTCCAAGAACAGGAGAAGATGGATGTTTCAGCTCAGACAGAGAGAGCAAGTTCACCCCTCCTCAGTCATTTTGTTCTACCTGGGCCCTCAATGGATTGGGTAAAGCCCATGCATGTTGGTGAAGACTAATCTTTTTTACTCAGTCTACCAATTCAAATGCTAATTTATGCCTGAAACTCCCTGACAGACACACTCAGAATTAGTATTTTACCAGCTATCTGGGTTTCCCTTAGCCCAGTTAAGTTGACACATAAAATTAGCCATAACTACCAAGGCAGCAGGATCTCACCTTGTTCTCACTTTTTGTCCTCATCGTTCAGGTGGAGGGCCTTGGGAACATCTTTTTTTTTTTGTATATAATATCAGATTTTACTTTTAAAAATGAATCCAAGTAGTCAACTCACTGCCTTATGCAATTAGCTTCATTGGCTATTAGTCTCGCCATATGTCAAGACAGAAAAATTGTTTGTAAAGAATTGCCATTGAGATGGTTGGCAGTGGAATAAATCACTATTGACCTTTCCACTTTTAAGAATTTAATGAACTTAGGAATGAAAATTACCCTGAGCTCTAACAACTGTAACCTTGGCTTTTGTAACTAAAACCCATTGCCATTAATGTTCACTCTTTGAGATGCCAGGGGTCACTGCTGTTAATAATGAATGAGACCAAGGTGGAAAAATTGGTGACAGAAAATCCAACTGGCCCCAATTCAAAGTCAAACAAGAAGTTCTCAATGAAAATTCTATGTAGATAGAAAGTTGCATAGAGGCAGATGGTGTGGAATCTTAGTGGACTGACATACAGTGAACTAACCTCTATTACATAACCATTGTTTTTTATTTAGGTACTATATAGAATACTGTGTATAAACTACTTTAGTTATTATATATCTGTTAGTTAGCAGTCATTATCTCTACACTAAAGTTGAGGATACTAACATTCAGAAGGAAAAACAAAAGTGATGTGCCTAAAATAAAGCTTTTGTCTAATAGTATTTCTTTATTTACTGAAGGCTTACAATACCCTTGAAGCCAGCAATATAGCAATACCTAAGACAGACTCCCCATCTGCTAAATTCTAGAGGAAGCACACATGACTTGTCAGCGGTAAAGCTTGGACTTTTCCCAACTTGCATTTGGCTAACAGTCTTTCTTGTTGGAAAAAAAAAGAAAAAGAGACAAAACTGTAGTTTCACTTTCTGCTACTTAGTAGTGGTGACCTTGAAATGGACCTTAGATCTCCTTTACTCTAAGGCCCTTAAATCTTCTTCAGTATGAGAAAACTTGACTTATAATTTTGTAGGATTCTTCTAGTGAGTCAGAAACCACCCAACAAGGTGGAGAGGTTCTCATGAATGGAGTATTAGTGTGCAACACAGTGGGCTCTTTTGATTTCAAATGACTCCTAGCTGGCTTAAGGCAGGCCAGGAAATTATTAAAAGTTTGAGTGACTTATGACAATGAGCTGAAACAATCAAAGTGATACATATGTTGTATGTTTTCTATGTAGGAAATGTTTTCTATTTCCTGTTGGAAAAGACTGAGGAAGCGCATATTCCTGAGAGCTACCACCTTAAGACTGGGTTCCTTTATGTACCTATATGGCTGCATAAGTCCCAACATCAACTCTTATTAGATAAACTTGGTCGCCATGAGTCAATGTGTCCAATGTGACTAGAAACACTGATTGGCCAACCTCTGTGACAGGCTGTATTCCAGGAGCCTGAGATAAAGTCAATTTCCTCAAAACTATATGAATCCCAAAATGGAAATCAGTGGCCTTTGAGAAATGGGGAAGTTAGAATTCGTTCCAGAGAGACAAACAACTCATGTCTACATAAATATGACTGGTCTTTGTAATCTACAAATATTAGCAATATTGCCCATTGCCAGTTTTATTTTTCTTATTATCTGTGATTCTTGGAACTTTTTCGTCTTACAGATTACTAAATAGAAACCCAGGGAAGTTCAATGACTTGTCTCTGCTTACATAACCAGTTTGTATTGTTTTCATTTTGTCAAATATATTACAACAAATATTTGTTATGCCTCTACCACATTCCAGAAATCTGCTAGACATTGATGATGCTCAGTTAATTTGACTTCTTTATCCTTTTTGAACAAAAATTCACCAATGATATTATCAACTTTTTAATTGCAAAGAAAGGGTGGGGTCTCACTTCACGAGACTCCCTACTCTACCTACAAGAGTGATTATTAGATACTATCTAGTTTTTAATAACAGACTAAACAAAAGGAAAACACAAAAACATTTAATTTGTGGAATTGTACAAGATTATATATTTTTAAATGGTTTAATCATCTTGCCTGTTCTTCTGAATCGTTGCCTTGCCTCTCAAAAGTGGGAGTTTCTGTATCTACCACTTAGCATCTGCTCTGGCCAGTGGAATGAGATGGGAGTGATGCTGTGTCAGTTCTAGGTGTAGTTGCTGACTGGCCTGGTAAGTTTCACTCCTTGCCTCGTGGAAACCACTCACTATGTAAGAAGTGTCCCTGAGACAAATATGCCATGAGAAGCTCATCTTATTGATAGTTCATGAAGGATAAGACACCATGTGGACTGAGAGAATGAGACCAAGAATCCCTAAGATGTTAGATACTAGTGAGGAAAGAAAACATCTTGGATGTCTAGTCTGGGTAGCCTCCAGATAATTTCAGGTCCTACCATGTGACTACAACTGCATTAAACTGCATTAAAGATCATAAGCCAGACCAGCAGAAAAAAAAAAAAAAAAAGGAAGAAGAAGAAGGAGAAGGAAAAGAAAGAAAAAGAAAAAGAAAAAATTTGGAAGTAACCAACATGTCTTCAATGGGTGATTAGCTAGATTAACTATGGTACATATAATGTACCCAGAATGCAAACTTCTCCCTGTAATTGTGCTCTTGAAAGAGTGTAAGAACAAAGTGTAGTGTAAAAACAATTGTAGAAGTTCTGATATGCAGGTATATATTGCTTGTATACTTTGTCCATATATGAAATAAATCAGAAAAGTACTGGAAATTGATACTAACTTTCTACATAAAATTTATCTATATAAAAGTCATATAAGGAATAGCCTAAATTTCTATAAATATCAAACTCCCTTAGTTTTTTTCTAATTATTTCCTTTGCATTAGAAAATGTATTTTAATGTCCAATGCTATAAAATGAGCCACCCCAAAACTTCTTATCTTAAAATAACAAGCATTTAATTTGCTCAAAATCACTTCAGCAATTTGGGCTGGGTGCAGCTGGGCTGATTGCTTACTAGTCTAGCTTGTGAGTGCTCATTTGCCTGTGGCCACCTGATGACTACATTGGGACAGTATTGTCCAGCATGGCCTCATTTCAGTGTCTGGTGGTTGGTACAGGCTGTTGGCTGGGCCATTTTCTGCATGGCCTCTCCAGCAGGTTAGATCAGACTTGTTCACATGAAAGTCTCAGGGCAGTAGAGGAGCTAGCACAGAACTTATCAGGCCTCTTGAGACCTAGGCTCAGAATACCCACCATGTCACGTCTGCCAACCTTCTATTAAATCAAATCACAAGACTGTTCAAGTGAATGAAGAAATAGACTCCACTCTATGATTGGAGAAGCCACAATGTCACATTGCAAAGAGAAAGACATACTGAGGAATTTGTAGTAATTTTTTAAATCTATCAGAGTCTTTCTTATCATTACGAATTATTCACATTTTCCCCCATTCAAGTTAAGTTTATCTAAATCGCAGGACCTTCAAAACTCTCATCCCTCTTAGATGAGTTGGCTTGAAATCCAGAATCTCATGATCTGCATCATATGTGAATAAGGATGAGGCTTGCTGTGGTGATCCCTTTTGTGATCCAGATACCTATTAAGTAAAATACAAATAAATTGCCCACCACCAAAACACAATGGTTAGAAGCAATAAAATACAGGCACTCTGATTAAAATAGGGACAGGAGGTACATTGTAATCACAGGTCCACAGCAAATCTGCAGTCTAGATGGGTCCATATTGTAACAGCCATATATGCTGAGGACAAGGAAGTACTTTTAAATAGGCTCCATCTCTGCTCCCCTGAGTGGTTTTTGGGTACATTGCTATTCTCAGCACTTGGCTCCACTCTCTGGACTCTTGAGTTCTACCTTCTGGGAAATTGGCTCTTCCCTTTGATATTTCTTCTTTCTTTTCCATAATAAAATCTCATTTCATAGCTGCCTGTAAAGAACTGGCAATCCAGAATCCAGTTTGAACTATGTTCATTCCCTTCATCCAAGCTGCCAGGGTTTTCACCTATTGAACGCTTTTAAAAGTTTTGTGGGTTTCCTATGAATGATATCAAGTTGTTCTCACCTTATTAGGTGTGAAATTTTTTTAAATCAGTAACCCATTTACTTCTTCCATTTTCTACCTTTCGGAACTGGAATTCTCTCCTATGCCCATGCCACGATTGTATTTTGAAAGACGATAACTTGCTTTCTAATTCTACAGGTCTACAGATGGGAAGGAATTTTGCCAATGGATATATTAAAACTAGAGTCTCACCCATGCCTTCTTTAGATGGTTTAGATGGTAAGATTTGAAACCTTTTGAGTTGATATTTGGATGAGATTTTGGATTTAGTGTTAATGCTGGAATGCATGTGTTGAGTTTGGGCAACACTGGGTTGAAGTAAATGTATTTTGCACATGGGATGGACATAAATTTTGATGGTGAACTATAGTAGGTTGACTAGTGTCCTTGAAAAATTCATGTTATAGCAGAACCTCAGAATGTGATCTTATTTGGAATCAGGGTCTTTGCAGATATAGTTAGTTAACATGAGATCATATTAGATTAGAGTATGCCCTAAATCCAATGACATGTGTACCATAGTTAATCTCGCTAATCACCCATTGAAGACATGTTGGTTACTTCCAAATTGTGGCAATTAAAATCAAGCTGTTATTAACTTCTGCATGCAGGTTTTTATGTAGACATACGTTTTCAACTGCACTGGGTAAATACCAAGGAGTACTGATAGGGTTTGGCTGTGTCCCCACCCAAATCTCATCCTGAACCGTAGTTCCCATAATCCCCACATGTCATTGGAGGGACCCAGTGGGAGGTAATTGAATCATGGGGGCAGTTACCTCCATGCTGTTCTCGTGATAGTGAGTTCTCATGAGATCTGATGCTTTTATAAGGGGCTTCCCCCGCCTTCACTCTTCACTTCTCCGTGCTGCTGCCATGTGAAGAAAGACATGTTTGCTTCCCCTTCTGCCATGAATGTAAGTTTCCTGAAGCCTCCCCAGCCCTGTGGAGCTGTGAGCCAATTAAACCTCTTTCCTTTGCAAATTGCCCAGTCTTGGGTATGTCTTTATTTGCAGTGTGAGAATGAACTAATACAAGTACAATTATTGGATTATATGGTAAGAGTATGTTTAGTTTTGTAAGAAACTGTCAAACTGTCTTTCAAAGCAACTGTATCATTTTTCATATGAGAGTTCTGTTGCTCCACATCCTTTCCAAGATTGGGTATTGTTACTGTTTTGGGGACTTGGGCAAATCTAACAGGAGTGTAGTGGTACCTTGTTGTCTTAATAGCCCTCCTCCATTCTTGAACTGGAGTAAATAATAGTTCTTATCACAAAGTGTTGAGGGGAAGATTAAATTAGGTAAGTGACACAAATCACTTATAAGGTACATGACACTTCAGGAATGCTAGTATGAATGATGTATCATTACATGGAAACATTTTCACTGTCTCTATACAGGTCCTTCATGATATGGCTCTGTTCCCCTTCCCAGCTTTATTTCTTGGCAATGTTTGCACCCAATTTGGCTATTACTCATTTCTCCACATTCCCTCATGCTCTCTCCTTTGCCTGGGATGCCTCTTCTAGTTGCATTGTAACTGCTACCTTTTGTTCATGGCTCAGCAAAGTAAATCCCCTCAAAGAAGCCTTTTCTGACTCCTGCTTTCTGGCCTGTATCAGGAGCCCACCTCTGCCCTTGAGGGCAGCCTTCTTACCATCATTTTTACTATAAAATGGCATCACAAATGCCTACTCACTTGACTTTCCCCTTCATTGCATGAAAATATCTGAGGAGACAGACAACACTTCTTATGCACCTACAGCCATCTCCAGCATTTGGTAAAGAGTTTGGCACACTATAGGGGCCAAATAATATTTGAGATATTCAGGCATGCATTTAGAAAGGGTGAGAGGAAAGATGGAGAAAATGATGGAAGAATAGTTAATATAAGAGAAAAAGTATATGGAGTAAAAAAGAACAGAGTAAAAGAACACAAGAGAAAGTTACAGATACAGAAATAAGAAAAAAACAAAGAAGGAAAAATATCCATGGCGAAATGTGGATTGGCTGTCACAGCCATGGAAGAGGTCCATAAGTGATGAAGCATCCCTGTCCGCCTGCATTAAATGGCAAAGGAACATGGATGGGATGGTTTACTGGGTGCCTATGGAATGTCAGTCATTACTGTGGGTCCAAGTGGTTACAGAGACATGAGATTATTTTCCCTCCCCTTCTCCCAAGAGCTCACAGACTTTATGAGAGACAAGTCAAAAAAGTTGTGTCATTGATTGAGCATTACGTATATTATGATAAAAGCTGTACTAGAAAGAGCAGCATTAGAGAACTAGAGAAGAGGGGGCACAAAGTGGAGGTGATTTACTCAACCCAAGGAAGTAGGTGGATGTCTTCGAGTTTAGGAGAGCTGTTTATTAAGCTTTAAAATATGAGTAGGAGTTAATGAAGCCAAAAACAGGATCTGGTGCCGTACAGGAGAAGAGAGCAAGGACAGAGTGTATGAAATGAAGTGACTTTTAAGCTGAAGATCATTCTGCATGACAGTGTTGCCCCTGTCCCAAATGTATTTTTCTAAGGGAAACTTGTCCTGAAGGAAAGGAAAAGACACCGGAGGATTTTAGGAGTCATGGGAAGATTTTAGGATGGAAAGTGATATGGTTGGGTTTACATTTTAGAAAAAGACCTTAGGTAATAGTCTGAGGAATAGAATTAAGAAGACAGAGGCCGGGCTCAGTGGCTCACGCCTGTAATCCCAGCACTTTGGGAGGCCGAGGTGGGTGGATCACCTGAGGTTGGGAGTTCGAGACCAGTCTGACCAACATGGAGAAACCCTGTCTCTACTAAAAAATACAAAATTAGCCAGGTGTGGTGGTGCATGCCTGTAATTCCAGCTACTCAGGAGGCTAAGGCAGGAGAATCGCTTGAACCCGAGAGGCGGAGGTTGCAGTGAGCCGAGATCACGTCACTGCACTTCAGCCTGGGCAACAAGAGCAAAACTGTCTCAAAAAAAAAAAAAAGACGATAGAAACTGGGGACTGATTATGAGGCTTCCAATAATTAGATGAACAATAATGAGTACCTAAAGCAGGGTGTTTAGTGCATGAGACCAATATCTAACACATGGAAAAATTTAATTTTTTTCAAACGAGATGCAAAACACATTCTGAAATAAATGTCACATGAATATTGCAACTGTGAGCAGAAAGCAGTCAGTCCTCACATAAGGTCACTGAAATATAATATCTCACACAAGAGAGATCAAGTAGGAATAACTGTGTAAACAATGATGGCATTTAGCAGAGAGGTTTGCACGTTGTACATTTCATTACATATTTGTTGGCTAGTATAATGTTTAAGAGCATGGGCACTGGAATCCAATGTCCCTGATTGGAGCTAGTTCTTTTATCCTTTAACACTACAACCTCAGGAAAGATCTTTAACTTCTGGTGACAATTTTTTCATCAGAGTGAAGATAATAATAGTAGCTACCTAATAGCACTCTTGTGGGGATTAAATAATATACCATATGTAAGGCATTTAGCACAATGCATGGCAGATGGTAAATATTCCATAAATGTTAGCTATTTTTAAAACAAATGAGTGAATTGATGAATTAATAATTCTGGCAAAGGGTGGAAACATGTAGCAAAATGTCCATGCTGTAGAATATTTTGAGACAAATTTGAGTAATTGAGGTGAGTGAAATGAAGTACATCTAAATACCCTTAGGGTAAATTGCCTAGTAGGGATGCGCGATATCTTAGCAGTGATTGTTAAAGAGGTCTCAGTGATACTGGAAATATACATTAGCCCCTAAACCTGCACCTGGAGAGTGGCTTCATTCCATATGGGGAGGTATAAGTCACCCCTAGTATAGTAGTACTATTATTATCTTCACTCTGGTGACAAAAATGTCTCAAAAGAAGTTAAGCTTCTTTTCTGAAGTTGTAGTGTTAAAGAATAAAAGTTTTTGAAGTTGAAACACTGAAGGCAACTTGTCTGTACATTTTGTAAATTTCTGGGTCCCTCTCTCAGAAAAGAGGTGATATGTTTACATGATATGAAGAGGCAGGCTGCAGGTGTTCAATGAGCAGACATAAGGTGACGGCTCAGTTAGAGCACTGTTCTCCAGGGAAAGTTTGGCTGAAAATCTGGACCTTGGAGCAGTGAGACTAAGTTAGCCCTAGCATCACATCATTGCAGACACACATATCCCACCTTAACAAAAAGGGTTAAATTCTCCAGAGATTGTTTGCTGATTACTCCCAGTAACTACTGGCAAAGTTTGGTTTTATTTGTAGACATTGCTGCCCATCTACTACGAAGCAGGTTGCGTGCTGGGTGTTGGATTACAGAATGAGTGAGTTATGTGATTCCTGCCCTTAAGGAACTTGTACGCTAGCAGTGGAGGCACAAGAATCTAATAGCTCTAAAGCATTGGAAGGAATGTCTTAAAGAAGTGTAAATACATACTAGGGCAGAAGAAAGAAAGAAGTCATCTATCAATTTGACCAAAAAAAAGAAAAAAAAAAAAAGGGTTACTAGTTTTAAAACTCTGTTGCTCAGAGTCTGGACTATGATTTTTCTCATACCCTGCTGTTGGGATTGGAAATGGGCAGAATTCAGAGGGCGATTGGTAACACAAATCATGAGATTCAAACGTTCATTTACTTTGACCCTAGCAATTCCTCTCCTAAGAGTCTATACCATATGTGTACATACACACACACAGAGAGATGTGTGTAACTATTTGTTCAGAAAGGACTTTATTCCAGCAATTTTTATATTAAAAAGAGAAAAATACATACCCAATAATAGGCATTTATTACTAAATTATAGTACAAATTCAGATGGTGTATTATGTTGCTATTACAAATGATGTAATAGAAAAATAATGGTGGCCAGGCGCGATGGCTCATGCCTGTAATCCCAGCACTTTGGGAGGTCAAGGTAGGTGGATTGCTTGAGGTCAGGAGTTCAGACCAGCCTGACCAGCATGGTGAAGTCCTGTCCCTACTAAAAAAAAAAAAAAAAATTAGCCGGACATGGTGGTGCATGATTGTAATCCCACCTACTTGGGAAGCTGAGGCAGGAGAATCACTTGAACCCAGGAGGTGGAGGTTGCAGTGAGCCGAGATCACGCTGCTGCACTCCTGGTGCAGCAGCCTGGGTGACAGAGTGAGACTCTTCTCAAAAAATAATAATAATAAATAAAAATAAAAATAAATAAATAATGGTGTCAGAAAATGTTGATCTTATATTGTTAAGTGATAAAAGAAAAATTATAAGTCAGTAAGTGGAATGTGATCTTATTTGCTATAAATCAAATGTTTATGTCTTCTCCAAAAATGTATATGCTAAATCCTAACCTCCACTATATTGGCATTAGGAGGTGGGGCTTTTAGATCATGAAGGCAGAGCCCTCATGAAGGGGATTAGTGTCCTTACTAAAGAGACCCTGGAGAGTTCCCTTGCTCTTTCTGCTATGTGAGGCTATAGTGAGAAAATGACTGTCTATGAACCTGGACCTTCAGCAGACACTGAATCTGCTGGCAACTTTATTTTGGACTTCCAGTCTCCAGAACTATGAGAAATACATTTCTGTTGTTTACGAGTCACTCAGCCTATGACACTTTGTTATAGGAGCCCAAATGGACTTAGACATCCATACAGTAAAATATATATATATCTTCTAGAAGCAAACGACCACCATAAAAAAATGTCTATTTGTCAGTACTGTAGATATTCCAACAAACCAGGAGAAGTTAATTGTGTATTTCTAGGGCAGGAGAAAAAAGGGGAAAGTGCTCAATTGTAGTGACATATTTACTGGGTTTTAAAGGGTAGGCAGGACCAAATAAGCTAAAGCATTGACAAAATGTAGAGTGGGAAAAATGCTCCCAATCTCCAGCACTGCATTCCAAAATATTCAGTTCCACTAGGATCATAGCGTAGGCAAAACTAAGCTGTGTCCTGACCATGCCCTTTAATTGCTGTGTAACTTTGGTTAATCATTTGAACTCTCTGACTTTAAAATCAGAGGTGTGGTATTCGTCTTATGTATTTGGTGTGGTGATTAGATGTTGCGGTGCATAAAGCACCTCATGCACTTCCTATACAGAGTAGTTGCCTAAGAATCATGATGGTGATTACTCTAATGCAGTGGATAGGAGTACAGGCTCTGGGGCTCGAATGCAGATTCTGACTTCATTTACTAGCTCTGTGGCTTTGGGTGGGTTACTTAACCTCAGTTTCTTTGTCTGTAAAATGGGGCCAATAAATGATATCAACCTCATTCTGTCATTCAACAGTAAAATGAGATGATATATGCAAATATCCAGGACCTACCACTAGGGAGCACTTAATTCATGTTAGCAATGGCTGCTGTTAGGAGACATTTCTGTTCACTGAGCCTTGAGAAGAATATCGATAAATGATTTTATAGGAACTACCAAGTAGCAGAGTTTGGGAAGTACTGGACACCTAATATGGATTGACTCCAGAATTTATAATTCCATGGGGTGCATTCTGCATCCTCCTCTCTTGTCAGGGCAAACATAGTTCCTCCATTTATTTAACAAATGTTTACTAGGAATCAACTAATTATTGCTAGGCACGTGCATTCCATGCATGTTGAAATGAGTTGCACGAAACCTTAGAGGTCCTCCAATCTCTGGCCAGTATGCAAAAGTTTTCCACAGGATCTCTGACAAACTTTCTTCTACAATGTGTGAAATCCCCAGCACCATAGAATCTGACACTCTTCAGTTGATCCCTTGCTTTGATAGTTCTGACTTTTAGAAAGTTCTCCCTTATTTTGAGCCAAAATCTGCATCTCAAGAACCAGTTGCCTTTGTTTTATTTTAACTTTTTTTTGAGTTTACTAGAACAAGACTTTTCAATTCTTCACACAGCCATCCTTTAGATGTAGCTCCCTCTAGCTAGAATGTGCCTGAAAAATATTTTATTTTTAGGCTAACCTTCTTCCCCTGCCTTTAAGTCCCCAAGTATATGTTTCTTGAGCTCAGTAGAAACTAGTGATTAAGAGAATGGGCTCCTGAGCCAGACACCCTGGTTTGCAACACTGGCTTTGATGCTTCTGAGCTATACTTGCTCCCCATCTGTGCAGTGGGGATATCATATCATCCACTGTGGAGGGAAATATGAAGGATAAATTAGAGAATCCACTTAAAGCCCCTAGAGTCATTGATGGCATGTGGTACTGCATAAATGTAGCTTTTAATTTTATTATGTGCCTAGTTCTGTTGGCTGCTGACTGGGTATAGGAAAACAAGACTGTTTATAATGTAGAAGCACTGATAGCCTGGTAGAAGAGAAGGTAATTAAAGAGACTTCCGGAAAGTGAAATGCAAGGCAAGCCTCCTGAGTGTTTTAGAGCAGGGACAGCCCAGGGACATTCCTGGACAGCCCAGGAATGGACAGGAGGAGACTCATTTTTGTTTTCTTCCAAAGAATAAGATGGCTGAACCGATTATTCTACATAGATCTTTTTCTCAATACCCTGGTCACCATTTCATCCTATACCTTCCATGTCATAATAGAGTGAGTAGTTGTTCCCACTAATTTTTTAGTGCCATACTTCAAATTAAGCAAGATGTTAAGAATAAAAGGATAGGACAGTGAACTGGTAGAAAATGATGACAAATAAAGTGATTATATATATATATATATATATATATATATATATATATATATATATATACCTGGTAAATTCTCTAGAATGACATAGTTATCCAGCATTCACAAAAAAAAAAAAAAATCTTCGATTCCCAAGAAAACAGATGTAAGATTACTGCAGGGGTGGGAGATGACATTAGTCAATACATTTTTGTGTCGCAGCTTCCTGTGTTTATTTCAAACTAGAGTGTTGTTAGCCAGTGCAGAGCTGGCACTGAGCTACCCTGCCCTGCCTGCCCTGTATGCAAAGCTGCTAGATTCTTCAGATGGAGGTGGCTCATTATAGCCAGGGTGTGCCAGCAAAGGTGATATTGGGAGAGAAGAAAGGACAAAGATGCCAAGAAGAGACATGGGTCCTGTTAATGAGGTGTCAGTGCCTAAAACGCCTACCTGCTGCCAGTTCCGGCGGCTCCTTATGAGACTTTGAGTAAAGCCCAGCTGAAAGAGAATATGCTTGCCAGAAAGAAAATTGAGTTAGGGGTTTTCCAGGGGGCATGCAAATATTTTACTACGTGTGAGCGCTCTCTCAAATCCTGCACAATCCACAGGGGAAAGATAGATGCAGTGTACGTTTTATGATGGTTACTTTACTCCAAAACACTTTCTGATTGGAGGTTGAGTTTCTCAGACATGTTGTCACTCCAGATCCTGCCCTCCACACTTCCTACCTTTGCACCTTAGTCAAGTTTCCGAATTTTTTTTGTCCCTCAGTTTCTTTGTGCACAGAAACTGAGAATGAGAGTAGTAAAATAAAATCAGCTAATCACTGCCCATGTTTGGAATGGTGGCTGACACTCTGGGTCTTTCAGCTGTTGTCATTATCCCCAGTCAGACACATCTCCTCCTCTTCTCCCCCCTGTGCTGGGCTCATTATCTGTGAAACACTGGGCACTTTGGCATCTTCATGCTTCTCCATTCTATTCTTTTGACCTCTAAGTCCTGTCCCTGCTTATTTGCAAGTCATTCTGCAAGTCCCAGCTCAAAGGTTTTTTTTCAAATGCCTTAAGAAAATGATGCACCATGTTCAAGAAGAACATTATATATGTACTTCCATTAAGAAGATACTCATCGCATTGAATTGTACTTTTGACCTTTCTCTAGTATTGGAATTTTAGCTCACTGATGGTAGAAACTTACTTATTTTTCTATCTCTGGCCCTCTTCACTGTGCCATAGCACATGCTCACCACATTTCTTTCCTTTGTTTGCATTTAACAAATGCAAAGTACATGTTATATTGGTATATTGGTTATATATGAATGAAAAAGCAAACAAAATAAATATTACACATTGCTAAAGATTGTGGTTATATTAAGATCGTAGTACAGTGGATTTTTTATTTTTCACTTTTTTGGTAATGTTACTTTTTATAATAAAAAATAATTGAACATTTTATAAAATATCTCACTCATGCAAAATCATTAACTTTTTCAAGAATATTCATTTTTAATTTATTTTATTTGTCTATTTATGCAGCAAACTTTTGCAGAATGCCTATTATGTTATTCTCTCGGGAGTATTGAAAAGATAAATAAGTGTATACAATCTCAGAAAATGGCCTGACACACATAGGTACCAATGAACACTTGTTGAATGACTGAGTGAATGAAGTAATGATGGATGACCACTCTTTCAACATTGAAGTTCAATGAGGTGAAATGACACATCTGATGTCTGATGAAGAGTTTGGTGAGATTTCATGTCTCATTCTTTTTTTTCACACCATAATGCTGCCTGCTTATTCAAATACAGTCAAATGGAGACACTGTAAGTGTTATTTACCATAGCTACGAAACAATGGGAGGGCTTTTGTAGCAGATGGACATCTTTGGTGTAGATATTTCCAACAGGCCTGTGATGGAATTGGAGCCAGTAAAGCTGAGCAGCACAGTGAAAATGAACACATGGCGTCTGACAATGATGCAGCCTTTCCTATGATCCAGCTGTCATATACAAACCATCCTTGCAAAGAAAGGGCATAACTTATCCAAGAGTCCCTGGCAGTTGATAGAGAGTAGGGAGGCATCCTGGACAGCATCTGGGTAGATCCTGGCCTTGGGTTCAGATCTACCTGGGTTCAAATCTTAGATCTGCTACTTACTAATAATTGAAACTTAAGAAATGTCATTAGCCTATAAATGTCTCAAAAGCTTTATTTTGTTTTGTTTTGTCCAGCAAATCAGTTTTAACAATTTTAAAGATTCCTCTTTGCTTGAGTTCGGGAGTCTTCTTCTTGGATACAATTCACTCAGCAAGAGTTTATGTATGGACTGGAAGGCCAAGTGTGAGGTTGCAGAGTGGACATGCTGGCCTCAATGCAGTTATGTTCTAAAGAAGCAGTTGTCACTGACATGTTTTTTCTCATAGCACCTCTAACTTTTCCATTACATTTCTTTCTCACAGTTTTCATAATGATTCTCTCCCACAGCAATGCCATTTCCTTGAAGGTAAGGGTGAGATCTGTTTTGCTCACCTCCTCACAGAGCTCAACATACTGCTTAGCTTAAAATTGATGTTCAATAATTCTCTGCTGATTAAAGACTGAGAAGTTTATTGCCATCTCAAACCCTACAGCCAAGGTTATGTAGAATTTGATAAATAATGAAATTTAGAGCCAGTGGTCAGAGTGGCTTTCCTACCCTCCTGGTGTGCTCATATAAATATTGCTTATGGCTTGAGAGATATAGTGCCTTCATTTGTGATAGAAGATTATAAAACTGCCAAGAATTACTTCCGTTTAATGAAAGTGGATATGGCAATTACAGAGGGTTCATTATACAGTCAGTTTATGTAGGAAGACAACTCTGAATGCCAAGTGATAGACCCTTTCTCAAAGACATGGCCTTGATGCTTTGTAAAAAAACAATTACAAATTATATGCACTTACATGCTCCTAATTTAAGATAAAATAAAAACCTAAGATTTATCTCTTTAATTTATTTTAATTAATTGATGACCACATAAGAGTTTTTGTTGCACTGGTAAAGAGGCATATACTGAATGCTCAGCTCTGGGGAGACTTTCAAGGGTTTCCGTAGAATGGATTTCTAGACCAAAATCTCTGAGTGAAGAGGTATAGGCTTCTTAATTTGGTTACATGCTACTGTAGTTCATTGTGCTTAAACATCATTTCTACCAGATTGAAAATTCTTCAAGGGAAACACCTTCTGTCTTCCCAATCTTTTGGAGCCTATCAGAATGCCATATTGGTAGTAGTCAATAAATTAGAAAGCATGAATGATTATCAAAAAGGCAATGGATTGGTAGGGGATTGGGGGAATAAACAGACTTTGCCAAAGATCTTGGAGCCCAAGGGCCCTGGAGCCTGGAGCCTATCCTACACATTTCCTTCCACCAACAGTAATGTTGTCTTCCTAATCTGAATGGTAAACAAGTCTAAGTGGCAGAGATAGAGTTTGGTCAATGACTGTCTCTGTGTCCTAGTGGCTATGGCACCTCCGCCTTTGTCTGCATTACTCTTTGTAGCCAAGTGCCTGCCCCGCTGTGGCATTGGGTTTTTGTTTCAACTTTGCCTTCATCTATCCTAAATGGACTTAGGACACTTGTAAATAAAACAGGCCATGTTAAATGCCAGAAGCTCAACTCCACTCATTTGTTTGAAACAGGAATTTAAAGGAAGCCTCACCAAACCACTCAGAGAAACAGGGATTCATTAGGGGGCCAGACAGCTGGAACCAGAGCACAAGTGCCACCACCGCCTCTGTTGGCCTCTCTCATCTCCTGCTGTCCAGTGGCCTCTCATGTGGGGCTTCTTCCATGGAGCTAGAAAGATGGCATTTGGCCTCCTCTGCAAATCCCAGCTCACAATTCTACCTCCAGGGAAAGACTGAATGTACTGCCTCAGCTCCATTCAAAAACAGTTCTGGGAAAGATTCGGGGTGGCCTGCTTTGATTATATGTGCATCCTCTTCTGCACCCCCATCTCCTTATTTCTCTGCTGGCTTCCTGGACCATCGCTTGAGCCATGGGTGGAGAGACTCCTGAAAGACCATCACAGGCAGCCCTAACTAGACTACCTGATTGAAATAAGCAGCAGCTTTTCTTGGCCGCAAAGGGGAATGCTGCTCACAGAATAAGAGAGCAGGGCAGAGCTTCCAAGTGTCTACACAGCCTTTCTTTCCCTTATGTAAATAAATTAATTCATTATTAACATATCTCAACAACACGAATCTGACCTCTTTTAAATTTGGGTGGTGGAAAGAGACTTAGATGCAAATTGTGGTTTTATTCATTCTGTGACTTTGGGCAAATAATTTACCTTCTCTGGAAGCAAATATGTTAATTTCCCTTTTCTATAAAATGACAATGGAACTAGCATCTTAATAATTTTATTGTGAATATTGCATTATGTAGCATATTTCAATGCCCAGCTCAGGGTCAGACACAAGATAGACACTCAATAAATGCTGATTTTCCTTTCTCTTTCTTACGACTCTCCCCTTTCCCTGCACAAACTATCGTTTATCTCTTGAATCCACTCTGTGAGGTAGGTAAAGCATGACACCTTTTAACAGACTAATGACACTCAGAAATAGAAAAGTAAGTCATTGATTTATTCTTTCAGTAACTCACAGAATCATAAAATATTAACCAAATGCTAGATGTGCAAAGAACAATAAGACAGGGTTCTTCAAGGAATTAATAAAGGCAAAATCTGAACTTGAAGAAAATATAGCTGCTCTACCTCCTATTCCCATGATTTTTCTACCCTAGCACATTCTCTCTTTGATGCTAGGGTTGATAATATACCCATTTTTTTCCCCTCTAGTGGTTTGGCCAAACAATTCAAAGAATTCAATGAAAGCAGCTTGAAAATTATATACCATGAATACTACATTTTAAAAATGTTATCAGAACTGCACAAATTGTATCTCATTAATCAGGGTTACTCCAGGTTTTTAATTTAACAAATGACAAAATTATATCATTTAAAGCAATGAGACTTGTTAGTGCATATTAAAAATTACTATAAAGACCGTCAAAGACCTGAAGTTTGTTATGCATCTTATGGATTAATGTTTATGTATCTTAAATTGTAGACAACATAGTCTAATTTCACATTTATTCTCACAAAAGGAACATCTTTAGCTCAAAGCTGGGTAGACTCTATTCATTTCCTTAGAGTACATAAGGAGACTTCTATGCCTCCAGTTCCTGAGGAAGATGTGAACTCCCTCTCTTTTCACATCTGTTTCTTTCCCATGAATAATCTGCCCTGTTCCCAGACCCAATGTTATCAGGTAACCAGCTGTGGCACTTTGCAATAATTCATACTGCTAAAGTGTTTCTGGAGATAGTGGGTTTGCATGTTGATGAAGATTCCTGCAGGACAGGGGAGCACCCACTTGATTGACAATGGTTCGTTTTCCAGTTATGAGGGACTGAGAGTATCTAGCATGTGTTCCATCCAGGGATGTGGATTGGAGGATGCCACACCAGGAGCTGGAGACAGGAGCACCTGGGAGAGGGATGACACTAATGTATTTTTGAGACCCTATTATATGCCAGTCACTCCATAAAACATATTTTATCTGGGAGTCTCATTTACTCCCCACTATGGCCTTGTGAGTAGGTAAAAGAGTTATCATTGTTTCTTTAACCAATAATAACATACAACTTTTTTGAAAAGTTGCAAAGGTTAACACAGGTAATGTTTCATGACAAAGCTGGGAACATCGATTTAAAAACAAGCAAGCATCTGGACTCCACAGCGGACTACTCATAAGTCCCATTGCTATTTTCTCTTTACCTCTGAGGAGAGGTTTATGGCTTGGTTGGAAATGGCAGCTCTTGTCTCCAGGCTTCTCTTACAGCAGTATGTTGCAGAATCTCTCCTGGTCCAGGATCGCAGTTGTGTTCCCTGAGGCTTTTATTTTTATCTCATCCAATGGAAACACATTGAATTTTTAGCTTCTTCATAAAATACTGGAATGGAAAGAATACAGAGGGCCTGGATACCCCTGTTGTCATCCCAGCTCCAGCTCTGAAACTCCAGTATAAATGGAGGAAAGTACTATTGTCTCTTTAAGCACTGCCATGCTTTTATTCTATCTTCTCAAGCATTTTTAAAGCAAGAACAATGATGTATATGTTTGGCTGAGATCAGTTCAATGACACATTCAATGCTTACCACATCTGGTATTTGGTGCAAGCCTCTTTTTATGACTATCATATAGCTAGGCACATAAAATATATTCAGAAAATAATTGCTGATTTAATTTCCATTAAACAAATGCACTAAGTCCTATCTGGCAGACCTTGTGCTGGGCTTTCTATAGGCATTCCCTTTATGCTGCAAATGACATTATCATTCTTTCTGCACCAAATGTGGCTCAGAGTGTTAAGATGTCTTAGTTAAGCCAATACATTGAATAGGCAGCGGAGTTCGGTTTCAAATTCCAAACTGTTTCTCAAGCATCTCTTCACTTCCCCACACATTTTGTCACTTATACATATCTTGTGACTCACACAGGATCTAATTTTCCAAAACTATTTTTTTCTTACTCTTCCGTTATTGTATATTATACTTTACAGATTTTAACACCAGTCTTTGGTCATAGATGGACTTCACAGGATGCATAAACCTTAATACATTATGTTCAAAATTTGGTTGTGGGTACATTTTTCTGGTGAGTAAAAGGTCTGCACTTTTTGTCATGTTATTAAAATGGGTCTGTGATCCTGGTTAATCAACACTGCTGACACTTCTCCATTCCAAGGAAGCGAACTAGAGTTATTGATAAATGGATAGGATGCATTCAGCCGAGTTACTCAGAGTGGTCGTCTCTTAAGAACAGATTCTCATTCTCCCGTCCTTTCAGAACTTTCAATGGCTCCTAAGCACCCTGGTTACACAAAATAATGCATCTTCAATAGGTGATTAGAATATTTATTTTCTCCTGCAGAAATTATACACATGCACTTTTATCATGGGCCCATGGAAACAAAGAGGACGTGAGAATAAGTAGTGGGAACTCAATAGGCGAGAGGCAAACCCTCTTCCCTTTGCTCGGGCCATGGCTTCTGCCTTACCGAAGGTTTGTAAGGCATGAGTTTCTGCCTGAAGAGTATGCTTCCACCATCAAAGAGAAAGTTGTCACCTTGAGACGAACCATGGGTGATGACAAGATACTGAGGTAAACAGCTAATCCCTAAATATGCTCACTTTCAATGACTCCTGGGGAAATGAGTTTACTTCTTAAATCCACAATACATGGTTTTATTCTCACAGCATCAGTCACACAACTTTAGGTTATAGAGTTCCCAGTACATTAATACTATTTTAAGTAATGCTTTTCAGATGCAATATGTTTTTGACAAGCTCTGTTTTTTAAGATATTCTTAATTTTTTAGATTCTTCATGGGGAAAAAAAATCTCTATGTTGCTGATGTTATTGAAACCCTTTACCTGCAAACGCATTCATGATGTTTAACAATAATTTATTCAATGTTCCTTGGATTCTACATGTGGTGCTTTTTATGTCCGAACTCTCTTGCCCTAAGGAGGCTGGTTGTGACTCTAGACATAGATATGAGCAAAACACAAATGCTGTGATAAGAGCAAGGGCTAATCAGCATCAGAGGGGGTCAGGCCATGTAACATACATTCAAAATGCAAATCATGATTCCTCAGGTTGTCTTGGAATGTTTCTCCACATGGAGAAATGATTCGGCTATAAAATGGTCATGGTGATTTTGATTCATAATAAATGAGAATCAAATTTACAACCAGATCATTTTCTTTCTTCCACTTGACCAGCTAGTTTTCTTTAAATATTATAGGCCTCATTTTGGGAAAAGGAAGAAATGCAACCTACTGAGCAGAAAATGTGAGTTGTTTTACACATAATTTCTACTTATTTTAGTCTGATAAATCCATCCAAGAAATGAGAAATCCCAAGAAACAACACCTGGGTACTCTAGTCCTATCCTTGCATTTGCCCCGGCTCTCCCTACACTGTAAGCTCCATCAGAGCCGGCGTCATAGCAGGTGTTTAGTTAGCTTTGTGCCCTGCATGACAGTGGAAACCTCTCCTTCCTCTTCCACACTTGCTTTCTATTCTCCTTTCCATTCCACTGACTGCACAACTTTAGCCTTCATTTCCGGATCTTCCTTTATCCTGAAACTTTAGGCAAACTCCCCACTTGTCCGCAGTAAACCAAACATGATTCACCCAGGCTCAGATTCCCTTGCTCACTCCCAGTTCTAATGCTTCAGACCTAGTACTTAGATAATCATGTAATCTCTGCTTATTTAGGCTTCTCATCCATCAGATGGATTACTCTGAATATCTGGTAAATAATATGTAAATATTTCACTCGATTGATATTTGTTAAGTGCATAGCAGTCCAAATCTGAGCTAGATGGAAAAAAATAAGGGGATTAATAAGACAAAGACAAAAGGCTCCCCACCCCAAAGAACCCTGAGTCTGGTTGAACATCATCACTATGGTGAAATGAAATGGTGTAATAACGAGTCCATGTTTCCAAAAGGCCCTGAACCCTGACTTCTTTGTATGCACAGTACTTCACAGTACTTCTGCTGGTTAAGTTTCAATAGAGTGAATCCTAACCAAGTTCCAAGAAATAGCAAGGCTGGTTGCCATAAACAACCTCATGTGTAAAACAAGAAATAGATATTCCCTGATATCCCTGATATTTTTCAAATGTTGAGGCAACAAATGAACACAATAGTTATGAATGTGGAGGGTCGATTCTGAGAAACGAAGGACTGGAAGGAAGAGGAAAATCAAAACACCTTTTTCTCAAGTTAGAATAGACTGTGAAGCAAAGTTTGCAGCTAGAAAAGAAGAGCAATATGTAAATAAGGGTCATTCCTTTCTCAAATCTTCATGGTGCAATCACAGATGTCTGGAATTGCGCTTTTCCCAAATCCTTCTAATCAAAACTTTGCAATTGCCACCAGTTTGACTGTCCCCTCCACCCGTGCATCTGTTTATCTGCTTATTTCCTGGCCACACTTTCTAGTTTTGCAATAATCATTTAATATAAGGAAACTGAAACTAAAAATGGAGAGCAACTGTCTTTACTTCACTCAACATATTTTATAATTTCTAAGCTGATTACAGTAAAAGAGATACTTAATAGCTAACCGTGTATAACAAAAGTGTGTGATCTAGAGAGAAAATAGGGACTGTGTTACAGGTGTTAATTTTTTCATTCTAAGAGTGTAGACTCAGTGGGGATGGTCAGAAACTTGTATAACAAAGCTAGGCTGAAATTATTGTCTCTAATAATTTTAAGTTCTCTGTTTCTGTGTGTGCACCAGGCAGTTAAATAACTATAGTAGATTGGAAGGAGCATCTTATGTCCTTTCTCCTTGCCCTCCTCGTTTCTCCAGTAAGAATGCACATTTTTGAGGGCAAGGGATATCAACATTCAAGGGAAACTCTAAGCAAAAATCTGAAATGTAATGTAATGCAGCATTCAAGATTTCTGCCTATGTCCCCGACCTTCTTGCTTGAATCTTTCTGCCACGTCCTGTGCTTTCCAACATCGGGAGTCCGCTGTGATTCTCCTGTGCGTTGGCTGTTTCTCACTACCATGGCTTAACTCATGCTGTGCCCTCCTTCTGGAATGTCTTTGGGTCATGTTCAACTGATCAAATCTTAATCATCCTTTTAGACTCGGACAGGGTCAACTCACTGTCTTCACTACTGTTGGAAAGCTCTTTCAGACCTGAGCCATCCCATTTTCTATGTTGCCTGATTATTATCTAATGCCTCTGCCTCCTCTAGAAGAATAGTACTCCACGAAGGCAGGCAGTTTTATCTTACTCATGTCTTTATCCCAGTGTCTGGCATATAGAATACATTCAACAAAGATGTCCTGAATGAATGAATGTAGAATTCTTTCCTTCAGAGCCCGATGCTGAGATTCCTTTAACAACACGCCTGTCGATCACTCTGCAGCCTCTCCTAGACACCTCATTCTAATGGATGAACTGTGGTCAGCCGGGAAATCCCGCTCCCATTTCCACTTTGGATTTACTGTGTCTTCTTGTAGCTGGCATACCTGGGGAGGTAGGATGATGTGTTCATAAAGGGTATATATGACTTCAAGTCAGATAATCTAAGGTCTGCTTCTATGAACTTTAAACATAATTCTCTGGACTTGGATATGAATGATCTTTAGTTCTGTGATGACAGACATTGTCACATTCTTCACTTTACATTGTTCTTATGAGGATCAAGCAAGAAAATAGATTTGAAAGAGCCACCTAAGCTACAGAACTATATTTCAGTTATTAATTGTAATTCGTATGACATAATTGTGTTCTCTGGAGTCAAGTGGGATGAGGAAGTGCCATTCTAGGTTGACCCAATGTCTTTTCCTTTAATTACCTTACATATTCAACCGGAAAAGGTGAGTTGCACAGTTGGTGCCCCAACATCTTTTGACTTATGAGTTGAGAAGTTAATATTTTCTAATTGGCCAACTAAATGACATTGCTATGACAATTAATCTTTCTGTGTCTTGACAGTAACAATAACAAGAGTTAATCTTTGTGAGGCTCTGTTCAGTGTACAAAGTACTTCTGAACTGATTGCAAAAACAACTACCATTTTAGAGCCTCTACTGGTAGAAAACACCACGCCAAGCTGTTCGTATATGAAATCTCATCTTTTCACAACTACTTTATAAGATTTATACTACTGTTCTCCTCTTACATAAAAGGGACTGAGATTCACAAAGATCAGATGATTGCACACAGATTATTCAGGAAAGCTTTGACAGGGGTGAGATTAGAAGCCAGTGTCCTATTTCATTGCCTCTCTAATCTGCAACATTTGTTCCCATAATTAACATCATTTCGTCTGATCCTGAGAGCAATTCTAGGAAAGGGGCTTTCTCAAACTTCTCACATTCAGGGAAATGAAGATTTAAGAAAATTAGAAAGTTTGTTTGAGTCCAGAGCTAGGAAGTAGAGAAATTAAAAACAAATTTTCTCTTTCTCCAAGCATCCTTTTCCATCTGGACCTGTTGGAGGGTCAAAATTCAGCTGGAATGATAACTGTTGAGATACATTCATCCCTTGTAACAAGGCAACTACTGCATGGGGGTGGTCTTACTATCACGCTGTCCCTAGGGGCATCCTTAATCCTTCATTGTTTAAACCCATACAATTTATTATACATTTGCCATTAAACAGAGGGCAAAAGTAGATTCATGTTTGTAAGTTTCCACTGCTTCTGCTTCCCTGTCTGCAGTCATGTGCTGTGATTCTCCCTGTGAAACATGCTGTTTCTCAACACTGTGGCTTTGCTCCTGCTGTGCCTTAATAAAAAAAAAAAAAAAAAAAAAAAAAGCATCACCTTAGGACACTGGGTTTTTTATATGGCAAAACTCAAGTTTTCCAAATGCTTTTGATAAATGGCAAAGAATGGGATGTACTGTCCTCCCCCATAGGTAATAGTGCCAATGCTACATTATAGTCTACAAGATACAATGGGCGGCAGATAGGTCTGACTTCCTGGTTGTATATTTACTCGGCGGTCAGGGACCTATAATCCCCAGGCACATGGATTCGTGACATGGAGATGTCAGTACCACCTGTCTCCCAGGGCTGCTGAGAGGTCTACGTTGAAACATTTAAAATCCTTTGCACAAGGATGTGGGTCCTCTTCTCGTTTTCTTCAGTTTCCTTCACACTTGCTTCATGGATGTTATTGTCTTGTTGTTTGTTTGCTTTTGTGTTTGGGAGACCCTTGAGTGCCTTGAATTTAGCTTATGTATTTTTTGAAAATTATTTATATCTAGCCAAGCTGGCTGAAGGGAAAAAGCCACCAATGAGTACACATAAGAGAAAATTCACACCTTTGAGTAGCGTTTTACCACATTCCTGATCCAGCTTCATCCTCTAGGCTCTGAGTCAGCCCCTGTGCGCAGCATGGCCACTCCCACCTCCACATTGTGGCCCATATGTGGATTCTCCTAGAAGACCTGATATGTCAGATGAAGGGAAGAAAAGCATCCAGGTTGACATTCAGGTTTGTGACAGCTCAAGAAGCTAGGTGAATGGTGATATAATTCTCTGAGCTAGTGATATAATTCTCTGAGTAGTGAAGAATGTATTTAGGGAGAAGGTTGGGGTCCCCATGTCATGTCTGCTCTTAATAAACAGCACTGGCTCTTCTAGATTCAACCTTCCAGAAAGGCTTCTCTGATACCCCACATTCTCCACAGCCCCCAGGCTAAATCATGTCCCTTCCATTCTACTCTACTACCTCTGACCCACCTAAACTGTCATACCTCACATGATGTATTTCAGTAGTCTGTTTCAGAATTTCTTTCTAAGAGACTAACTTTTTTTTCACATCATGGACCTAATCATGCCAATTTTTTACATTCCCAGCACTATCACATGCCTGACGCATTGTAAACACTCAATAAAAGTTTTCTGAATGCATAACATAGATAGCACACCCAGGGCCCCTGTCTTCAAGGCCATCGTGCTTTTCACTGTACCATCCCTCTAAATATGTTCCTATTTCCTACCAGGCTCCTCCTATCCTGATTAATCTCATAGTCAAAACCATTGATTAATCTCATGGTCAAAAATCCTATGCTCATTTATAGGGATGTGGCTATGGCAACACAGCTTCAGTGAGGCAGAGTAGGGGGCCGTGGCCCAGCTCTGGCTTTTCTTCCCACCCACTCAGGCAATGGCCATACATTCACTTCCTCATCTTCTCTGGCCAGCCCAGACACTCAGCATCCTTCCCATGTTTCATTTCTCCAGCCAAATTGGCAGCCCGAGAATGCTTGAGGTCTTGCCTGTGTTTTTCTGGTTGTGTTATTCTGTCTCTATCTTCATTTTATGATTTCTCACCTTGAGGGAAAAACAGAAAGAGCTATTTTTTTTAACTTTGCCCTGCAGGGGGCAGAGTGGATTCTGAACAGTATGAAATGATCTTGCCAGGGGCTGGGTCATTCTCAGGTTCTAACCATCTATCTGTGTATTCAGAGAAATGAAGGGGTTTAGTATTTTTTTTTCTTGTCAGCAGAACACAGTGTCTTATTTAAGTTCAGAAAAAGCAGAAACGAAAATAGAAAATGTCAGAAATGGGGAAAGTTCTCATGTCCACGGATCACTTCTGCATCATTTAAAAACCCTGACACATACTTTTTCGACCACAAACAGTGAAGGAAAAATTCCCTTGACCTTACTCCAATTTTCCTCTCATAATGACTCCTCAAATTTGCATAATCTTTTTATTTTGCACAGTGGAGCTGCATCCATTAACTCATCTCATTCTTTGAAGAACCCGGAGTAATTTGCAGTACAAAAGTTATTTCCAAAATTAATGCATGAAGAAAGGTGGGCTCAGAGACTATGCATTCACGGATTGGCCACGAGCTCACTGCCAATGAACTGTGGTCTAGGTAGTGACCTCATATTATCCAAGCCCTCTCCTGTGCCCTGTCTCCCGAAACCATATGACCTTTTGAAATGAATGGCAGCATAAACTTCATACATTTGAATCCTTCATTTGATTGTAATTAAGAGAAAAAAGTACA
Source organism: Homo sapiens (assembly GCF_000001405.40). Taxonomy (NCBI): domain Eukaryota; kingdom Metazoa; phylum Chordata; class Mammalia; order Primates; family Hominidae; genus Homo; species Homo sapiens. The sequence goes on along the minus strand of NC_000008.11, from coordinate 137,934,011 downwards.
ATTAAGCAAGTCATATTTTTGTTTCCTGATTTTAAAGTTTATTATTTTTAAATACTTAAGTTCTCTTTCCCGAAAGATCAAAAAGTGGAACCTTTAATTCTTTATAGGAGTTAAGAGGATGAATCTTCAAGATTAAACAGTTTAAATTTTTTCTCATTGTTTCCAATGTGTCATGCATACTATTGTCTGTGCAGCTTGTGTTTTGCTGTGTACCTTCTCACTACTGAAGTCCAGACAGACCTTCAAAATATATTATGTCACACCTACCATATGTTAGGTGCAAATCCAGAAGAATAAGATAGTTGTTATACTGGAGATAACAATGGTGGTAACCCTTACATAGCATTTCCTGTATGTACTGCACACATATTAACTAATAGTCTTACAATGACCTTATGCAGTGGGCACTATTATTACCCCCATTTTACAGATGGGAAATCTGAGGCATAGAGAGGTTAAATACCTTATCTGTGTGGTCCGTGGAGTGGGGAGTGTGCAGTTGGATGAAGAGGTCAGTAGTGTTTAAATGTCCTGAGATGGGGCTGGCACCACTCTGTCTCATTCCTACCTTCTTCATGAAGCCTCCCGTGATGTTCCCCAAAGCACATTCCTCTTACCTCTCTGTTCTCCAAATTTCAAAAGCAATTATCTTCTGTCTTACTCATCTTCATGTATCTATTAGCGCTTATTCACTCATTTGTTCTACTCTATTTATTAAACTTCATTTGTATGCTAGGCATTGTTCTAGGTGCTAGGATGAAGCGAAGAACAACACAGAAACTATTTGCCCTCTTGGACCTTAGAGAAAATACTTGATATTACAATAGGGGAAGGTCATCAGATAAATAAGCACAAGATATAATATGTGGTGTTGATAGTTCCTAAGAAGAAAAATAAAGCAAGAAAATAAGGTGAGGGGGAATGCTTCAGTCAGGGTGATCCTGTCTCACTGACCAAGGAGCCACATGGAGATTAGAATTCAGGAGATAAAGGATGACCCGAGAGTCCCAGGACTCTTGGAGGGACCAAAGTAAGTACGGTAAAGGACACTTGAAATTAACCTTGATGACCTCAGGGCAGACAGTGGTGGTGAACTCGGGTGTTTTGGTGGAGGAGAGAGAGTGGGAGCTTTACTAAGTGCCAGGGGCTCCTGCAATCCCACCTGATCCCTGTTCATGCAAGTGTGAGAGGCTTTGTTTACTGGAGCACAACAAACTGATGCTTTCTATGAACTCATTGTAAACAATGGTGGTGTGTTTCTTATTTATCATCATCACAATTAGCATGACCATCAGCATTCTTATCGTTGTTATTGGCACCTGTAATTAAAAACACACACTTCCCTTGATCCAGCCGCTCCCTTTTCAGAATCTTCAGAAATAAAAACACAAATACGTCAGGATAGGTAAACAAAGCTGCTCATTGTTCAGCTTTTGCATAGCAAAAATTCTCACAACACGGAACAAATGTTTTTCACAATTTAAATAAATGAACTGTAGAAAACCCACATTATGGGCTGGACGTGGTGGCTCACACCTGTAATCCCAGCACTTTGGGAGGCCGAGGCAGGCAGATCATGAGGTCCAGAGATCGAGACCATCCTGGCCAACACAGTGAAACCCCATCTCTACTAAAAATACAAAAATTCAGCCTGGCGTGGTGGCGAGCACCTGTAGTTCCAGCTACTCCAGAGGCTGAGACAGGAGAATGGTGTGAACCCAGGAGGAGTAGCTTGCAGTGAGCCGAGATCGCGCCACTGCACTCCAGCCTGGGTGACAGAGCGAGACTCCACCTCAAAAAAAAAAAAAAAGAAAGAAAATAAAGAAAAAGAAGAAAAGAAAACCCACATTATGAATATAATTGTAATCAAGAAAGCTGTTTCTTCATCAGTGAGGTTTTACCCAACCCCCCGCCTTCTCCACATAAACACATGTGTAAGGGAAAGGAAGCAGGGAGCTCACAGACTCAAAAATTGCAAAACACCAAAGAAGAATAATGTGTCATTGTGGCTCCAGCACCTTACAGGGGCTTGTTACTCTAACCAGGTAACCTATGAAGTCTCCAGAGGAAAACTGAGTATCATGGCATCTCTTCCATGGTTGAGGCATCTGAGAAATGGCCCAGTGTCCCCTGGATCCATGGAGAAAACTCCTGGAATCAAGCAACTCACTCCCTTTGCTCTGAACCCAGGCTTCTTACCAAGCAATCTTATGTTAAGAACCTGGTTTCTTGTGTACATCACTGGACAGAAGAGGATGCACTGATCAGCCTGCCAGGACACTCCAGTGGAGGCAGCTACCATTTATTATTTTTTAGTTGAAACTATTGTATTGGCATTGGATTTATTCCTCTGCCCCATATAAGCTCAGTCACTGTGAGTCAGTCCCCTTGAGAATGATCACCTGTGCATGTTTCTCAAATTTGGGATTCAATACCCAAAAAGCCAAGGGTGAAACATGGAATCAGTAGGATCTAGCAGCAGTCGTCTTGAAAGAGAGGTCTCCCAGCAACATTTGGCAATGCCTGTGTTGGGGAGGTTGTTACCAGCATCTAGGGAGTTGAGCCCAGGGAGGATGCTAAACACCCTGCAATGCACAGGGCAGCCTCTCACCCCCACACTCAACAAAGAATCTTCTGGTCTAAAATGTCAACAGTACCAAAGTTGAGACATTCTGAGATGGAGCAGTATGCTACCCATGGGTTTTTTTTATGAGCTGCACTGGGCCATTTTCTCTGGATTCACTTTGATACTTTATGGAAAACAAGAATTCTTGCATATTCCCATTAATCAATTCATTTTGTCCTCCCTAGCACCCTTGTGTGTAGGAAAGGCTTGCTAGCTCCGTTTCTCAGATGCATCAACCGTTCAAGTGTTGCCATGGTACTTGTTAAAACTTCTTGTATGAATTAATAATTGCATTACATACTAAAACCCAATTTCTAGTTCTAGCTCTCCTAGTCAGGTATTTTTCCTCTTCTCTGGCAACTCAGACAACAGCCTTGACTTTTTACCTGAAAGTTATGTCTGAATGAGCTATCTGGATTTTGGTGCTTGCACTGATTAAACAGATTATTATTTGTAAAGCATGTCAAATGTTTACTGTCAACTCCATACATCAGATAGAATAGAAAAGAAAAACAATTCACTTGATGTCTTAGAACCTACTGTGGTTTATGTTCTCTGAAGTCCCATTTGCATATAATATGATACTTATCTTGTGGTGCAAAAATGTTCATCTCCTGGATCAGCAGTGATACAGATGAAGAATCTGAGCCATCTGCCGAACAATTCCCTTGTTTTCTTCTTTTACCTCTGATTTATTTAATGTGAATGAGGCAACGCTGCTGTTTGGATGGAGAGTGAGTGAACAGCACCGGAAATGTCACAAGTGCAAATCACAGGCAAAGTGCGCAATGTTTTCCTCTAATGTGAATTGCAGATAGCTTGTCAACCTGTGGATCTGATGTATAGAAGTGGAATTCTTAGCCTTGGCAGCAATGCTTCATGAATGCAGTCAATTCACAGAGTTGAACTTTCATTATGGAAGAGCCAAAGTTATGTGTATAAAGGATGAGACCTACAGAGAAGCAATGCATTGCTCAGTCCTACAACTAGTAATTGTCAGAGTGAGAAATAGAACAGAATTTCTGTCTACCAGGTCCATATTACTATAGAGTGTTAGAGATGGTATGGTCTTTAAGGATTATCTGAAATGTGGAAGCATCTGTAAGTTGTGATCCAAATTATTTGTTGAATGAAATAATGAATGGGCACAGGGTAAAATGTAAAACCAATGCCTGAATGCAGGAAGGAATTATGATTGATAACTAATGCTCAGAGCAGAAAACAGAATGAAGGTTTGTATTAGGGACATGATCTCAGAGCTGATTTGGGGGAGTACTGGGGTTTGGTGAGTCAGGAGGAGTGGTACCCAGGATTCACACTTTAGTTAGGAAAAGAGTTACGTACAATACATATAAAGGATGGAGAAAGGGTATAAACAGGTAAGTATGTTAGAATATTGGAAACCAGTGGAATTAAGGATAGGCCAAGCCTTAAATGGTGCATTTGTGCCACTGTGACTGCTCTCTATGGCGCCCAGGATAAGTATTAGCTCTGAAGACAGGGAGGGGATTTCTGAAGAGCAGTTTCAAAGAGCTGCAATGAGCCAAACAGGTAGGACAATTTGTCATTTAATTATTATGAGCATGGCTCAGTTTCTTAGCAGAGGCAATAAGAGCACACATCATTGAGAATTTCTCAAATCGTTTTGTCTTTGGGGTAATAAAAATTGCCACTTGGATATTAAAGAGATTTTGCAATTCTATGTGATTTTAGTAATGACAGGTAAATACTTGCATTAGCATGAAGGAAGAATTTGATTTTTAGGGGAACTATTGGGCATTTTAGAAAAATTGCCGTTAGATTTTTCTGGTCGATATGTGTAAATTAAACTGAAAATATTTTGATATCTCAATTTGGCATATAATCCTATTAGATCCTTCGAAAGCCTCCCAAGTTCTCTGTGTGACACAGAGGCCCTGTTTATGTCTGAACGCATGGCAAGGCTCTGCCCACATGCACTGTGCCCTGGCCACCATACCCAGACTCCCTAGTCTTACACACCTCGGATTTGCCCAGTCTCTCTTCAGGGGCCTTCTCACACTTTGTCTCATTGAATCTCTTCTACCTTATTTTGAGAACCAAACTTAAATAGTGTCTTCCCTGATAAATGGTCAGGTGTCTGTGAAGGTCACACTCTGACAAAACCTCAATGTCTTATGCCTTTGAAATAGAACATTTCTACCGATTTGTTTCATTTTTGTGGTTGTGCTTCTAGAGGGGCCTACCTTCTGCATCTCCCTTGACACTCAATTTGAGTTCAATGGGACAGTTTATTAAATTCATTTTCCAAACAGGCAAATGAGATCACAGCATAACTCAGTGGTATGTGCAATACTTAAACACAGGCTTTTGAGTGTTCTTGTTATTTGGGAAGGTAACACAGTATAGATCAATGATCCTCAAGCTCAAGCCTGCATAAACTCATCTGAAAAGCTTGTTATCACTCAGGTATCTGATCCCATCATAACCCCACCTTGAGCTTCCAATGAGTAGGTCTGAAGTTGGCTCGGAAGCTTGTCTTTGTGATAAGTTCCAGGTGACACCGCCGCTGCTGGTCTGGGAACCACACTTTGAAAAACGCTGGTCTAGGGCTTAAACTTCTGGATTCTAGAAGTCGACTTTCCAAGTTTGAAGTACAGCTTTGCCAGTTATAGCTGTGTGACTCTGGAAATTTTCTTAACAAATCAGTGCTTCTAACACTTTATCTGTAAAATTGAGAACATAATATTTATTTTATAGAAAAATGAAGGTAAATGAGGTAATCTTTATATAATCCTTCAAATGGTGAACAGGCCATAGGAAGCATTATCTGCTTTTGTTAAACACGTAACAACTAAGCTTTTCCAACAAATATAAAGCACGTATTATTCTTACCCCTAAGCATATTGTGATCATGGATCCCAGAAATCTCAAGAATTGACTTCACAAGCACAGTTCTTATTTTTATAACAACTAAATTGCTATCTACTGATAATAAATTTGGAAATTATAGAAAAAAATAAGTAACAAATGTCACCCCAAATCTCACCAAATAGATGTAAGAATCTATAATTCTATTTATGCCTACATCCATACCTATATCTAAATATATGTTTTAGACTGTATTGCACTATACATATAATTTTGTAGTCTATTTTCTGATCTTTTAGTGATCACATTTTTTATATTGAATATTCTTTACATTATTATTTTTAAATTCTTAAAACATGATTTACAGAAAACCCATTTTGAGACATAAATGGTTTCATGACATCCACACAATAAGCTTATAATTTAGGCAATGTTTTTATTTAATAAAAATATTTTCAAATGCCTTAAGAATTTTCAAGGTCCTTTGCTAGATCTGGGGATACAAAATTGACTAACACTTGGCATGTTAGAACTTAAAGAACGGGCAAGTTAATTGTCCAGTGGAGTCAGGAGATTTTTTTTTTTGCAGAGATCAATGTTGAGGATAAATCAGTAAAATGGGTAGAATGAAACCTATTGGCAAAACACAATTATCATGCAAATTCTCAGTCCTGAAATTGTCTGACGTATTGTAGAAATGTTGAAATATTCAGTAAGACTAATTATCTGAGAAAATTGCAAATGATCATGTTGTTTTTTGTTGTGGTTTATTTCTTTGTTGTCTTTCTTCTCCTTGTGTAACGTGAGGTCCAAAGAATCAAGCAGTATGTCTGTCGTATTCCTTACTGTATCATCAGTGCCCAATAAATATGACATTTTAGCAAAAAATAAGAATATGCTGTAAGGAGCTCTATATGTGTAGGTTAATTTCACCTGTGGAATTCAGCTTAGACTCAGCCATGCTGCAATAACAAATACTTTCCACAGCTCAGGACATTTCAACAACAAAGATGATTTTCTCACTCTTGCTACTTGTCTATCATGGTTTCACCGTGGTTCTGTTCCCTATCGTAGTTATACTGGTTCCTGGGGCTGAAGGAGCAGCCTCTGCCTGCCAGTTGCAACAGCAGAGAGAAAATAGAAACTGATGGAATCACAGAATGACTCCTGACGTTTCTACACAAAAATATCACGTGACTTCTCCTTACATTTCTTTGGCCAAAACAAAGTCGCTGGTTAAATCTGGTATCTGAGGCTATATGGTTATCCACAGAGAAGGGCAATTATTAATTCAAATAACATTACAGTTCACTACATTTTCAGTATACAGATGGGTGAACGGAGACTGTATGAAATGACATAATTTGCTTGAGGGCCCAAGACTGGCAAATTTTAGAGCTTGGTCTAAATCCAGGCCTTTTGTCTCTGTTGCAAATAATTTTTCCACTAAGGTTCGTTGCCTCTATTTGAACTTCTGTCCGTCAATCTTTCTCCAAATCAAAAGAATACTAAATGATGTTGATGGTATTAATAGCATTGCTATATTAAATTAAAAATTTTAGTTAAGGTACAGGAAACATTTGGCTTCAGCTGGTATTCAGAGTGGTCTTTATCATCGATTTAATAATAATCCAGAATGATCAAAGTCAGGAACATCAGGCTTGAGCAATGAGGCTGCAGCAGTTAAGGTTTTCTACTGGATGGCAATGGGTCATCCCAAGACAAAAGTCTCAGGCCAATGAGGAAACCTACAGGAGAAAGACTCCTTTAAGAATCCCAGTTCCCTTTTTCATTTCTTAATCTGGTTCCTCTGGGCATTTCTGCCAAGGCCTATATAACATAGCTTTGGGATCAACTGTCAGTCTTGCAGATTCTAGTTAACTTATCCAAGTCCACCTTTAAAATGGACATAAAATCCCTATTTGCTTAGTGCTGTTGCAACGATTAAATGCCATAATTAATGTGAAGCCACTGGGACGATGTAGGCATTTAACAAATACCTCTGCCCTTTCATATTCTTTTATACTTCCTAGATATACTTGACTGAGCTAGAGTGAAGCTAATAATAGTGACAAAAAGCTCTGGGGTAAGGGACAAGAGCCCTCACTCTCATCCTGACTATGCCACTAAGGCACTGCGTGATTGTGGGCAAGCCATACCTACTTTCTTTGCCTGTTTTCAATTTATTGTCTCTCAGTTTCAAATTCACTCTCTAATATGTTCTCAGAGACAATGGGTACGTTCCTTTAAAAATTTCTCCTTTACTGCCAGTGCGATGCTAAACTTTTGCAGTGGAGAGTGTCTGACAGACATTGAGGGACAGAGGGGCTTCTCTTGCGGGTGGTCAGTGGTGAGTATGAGAGCATCTGATAGCACTCTGTAGCAGTCCTGTGCCCTAATACACAGTCCTTTGGTGACCTCCCAGCCCCAGACTGGCCTGATATTCACCTAACCATGGACCTCTCAACTCAGCAACTATACCTTTCAGGCCTTTCATCCCTACTCATACCCCAATTCCCTTGGCTCACCCATCCCACTAGTTTGCCTTCTGTAGCTCAGCTAATACTCACAACAAGTACCCTAGGTTTTCTGTCCACTGTGGCTCCCTCTTCCTCTCCATACCTGCCCACTAGCTCCTTGTCCAGTAACCATGAACATGCACTGGTCTGGGCAACGAAGGTCTTTCTTAGTCATCCAGTGGGATGTAACTGCACCTGCTGCAATGAGGCCTGTAGCCCAGCATTGGAGAGGGTCCTCCCCAAATTATTTTCCCCTTGGTGCTCTCCCTCAACTGGAGAGCACCATATTATGGACTTATTTTTTATTCTTATAGTTACTCCTTTATCATAGCTTTCTAATTATTTATTTCATCTTCCCTTATTTAAGCCACTACATGGTGTCTGTCTCCTGATTGGTCCCAAGCTGTTATATCTTTGAACTTAAATTATGTTACCTTGAACATGAGCAAATTATATGAAACTTATTCTAAATGCATTCTGATTTCACTCTTCTATGACGTTTTCACCGTATTGCAATGTATATGAATTTTTATTCAATCTGATAATATATTCAATGTTCAAAATCTGAATTTAGTTTGCTTTTTCAATAAGACAAACAGTAACTAATTTCCCTCCCTGGGAAATACTACAGTGATGTGATTTTTAAAGGAATCTAAAATTTATTGAATAGGGGATATGTAATTGTAAAACATTTTTGTTTTTATTAATAACATGTTTTGTGTTTGAGATCATCCAGAAAAATGAACAACTGGTATTAGTAACTTTGTAACATAAAAATAATCAACAAATTACAACCCACTGTACTGGGCAGATGAGCTCAAAATAAACATGTGTTGAATACACACTCTAGACACCAATAAGATTAATCTTCTGCTATATGTTTTCTGATAAAAATCAAACAATACAACATAACCGTATGTTAACAATAAACAACATTTGGCATCAGTCTTCTCATATTCATTAATTATATTTGTGTAAATATGTTTTTATCTCAATTTTACTTTGGACATATTTCAATGACTATAATAGCTTTAGCCTTGTTAGGCTAAAATATTATTTCTAGGTGTGTTTGTAGGCAGTTTTTGGATGACATCAGCAGTTAAATCAGTAGACTGAGTAGGCAGGGCGTGGTGGCTCACACCTGTAATCCCGGCACTTTGGGAGGCCAAGGCAGATGGATCAGGAGGTCAGGAGATCAAGACCATCCTGGCTAACACGGTGAAACCTCATCTCTACTAAACATACAAAAAAATTAGCCAGGCATGGTGGCGGGTGCCTGTAGTCCCAGCTACTCGGGAGGCTGAGGCAGGAGAATGGCTTGAACCTGGGAGGCGGAGCTTGAAGTGAGCCGAGATAGCACCACTGCACTCCAGCCTAGGCTAGAGTGCAAGACTCCGTCTCAAAAAAAAAAAAAAGCAAAAAAATCAGTAGACTGAGTAAGGAATATCCACTTCATCATTGTGGGTAAGAGAATGCACATGGCCAAGCTAGAAAGTACTTGTTGTAGTGTTCAAGATGTTATAACAAAATATACTAAACTGGTTGGCTTATAAATAATGAAATTTTTTTTCTCACAGTTCTGGAGGCTGGGATGTCCAAGATTGAGGCACCATAGTTTCAATGTCTGGTGAGGGCTGTCTTTTCACTGTAACCTCACAGGGCAGAGAGAGGCAAAGCAGCCCTCTAAGACCAATTTTATAAGGGCACTAATTCCATTCATGAGAGGTTCACCCTTGTGAGCTAATCACTTCCTAGAAGCCCTACCCAATTCCATTACATTGGTGATTTAGTTTTCGACATAGATATTTTTAAATTCTATCTTTAAAAACTTGCTCTCTCTTGCTACCTATTACTTTCTTCATTCAGCAGGTATTTAATCAACGATGCCTTCATACTGTGTAATCACCTTATTAAATACCAGGACATACTGAGTATTTTGGCTATTCCACTTTCCATTGGATTAGGCTGGTGGAGAATAGAAAGAGGGAAGTCATTTTGGGTAATACACAACTTACAGACAATGAAGAGGAAGTTTCACTAAGATGGGCAGGAGGTCTCTAAACCTTGTGGCCCCTGTCAATGGGAAGGCTAGGACTAGGATTTGGCCTTGAATGGACAATGAATATAAGGATGGGAGTTATGGCAAGACTAACTGAATGAATGTAAGCCAAGGTCCATGAAAGAAGGTGAGAACGAGAGTGCTCACTAAGAAACAGAAATCCAAAGTCTTAACGTAACTGTCTGCATAAACATTAAAGCTTGGGGTAAGAAGCTACAGGGAATTATTTTAAAATGGAATAAGCTTAGTCCGTGGAGGGTGGTCCAGGACAGGGACTTCCTTACCTTGAGATGATTTTAGTTTGTATACATAGGCATTTGAGACTGGGGTGTACTCACAGATCTGATATGGAAATGGATAGTGGGTGATATGGTTTGCCAGTGTCCCCACCCAAATCTCATCTTGAATTGTAGCTCCCATAATCCCCACATGTTGTGGAAGGGACCCGCTGGGAGGTAATTGAATCATCAGAGCAGGTTTTACCCATGCTGTTCTCATGATAGTGAATAAGCCTCACAAGATCTGATGGTTTTATAAAGAGCAGTTCCCCTGCACACACTCTCTTGCCTGCCACCATGTAAGATGTGCCTTTGCTCCTTCTTCACCTTCCGCCATTACTGTGAGGCCTTCCCAGCCATGTGGAACTGTGAGTCCATTAAACCTCTTTTTTTTTTTTTTTCCAGAAATTGCCCAGTCTCAGGTATGTTTTTATAGCAGCGTGGGAACAGTAGAGGAGTGGGGAAAAGGCAGTCCAATAGGAAGTCACTGGATTTGATGGTTAATTTTTTTGTGTCTACTTGCCTGGGCAAAGGAGTGCTTAGATGGCTGGTAAAACATTATTTCTGGGTGTGTTTGTGAGGTGGTTTTTGAATGACATTAGCAGTTAAATCAGTAGACTTAGTAAGGAAGCTGTACCACACTGTGGTGTGTGGGCAGCAGTCAATGTGTGGGCAGCAGTCAATATGTTGAGGGTCTGCGTAGAACAAAAGGGTCAGGAATGGGTGCATTAACTAGCTCTGAGCTGGCCCCCCCAACTTCTCCTGCCTGTGAACATCAGCACTCCTGGTTCTTTGGCCTTCAGGCTCAGACTGAATTACACCACTGGCTGTACATGGCAGTCTTCAGCTTGCACATGGCAGATCATGAGACAACTCAGCCTCCATGATCACATAAGCCAATTCCTATAATAAGTAAATAAATAATTTGAAGATATATATATGTCCAGTAGTATACACACATATGTATACTATTGATTGTTTCTCTGTAGAGTCCTGAAAAATACAGGTGACATCTGTATTAGTTTTGTAGGACTTCCACAATGCATCACCAGAAACTGTGGCTAACAACAGCAGCAATTTACTCTTTGACAATTCTGAATGCCAGAATTCTGACATCAAGGTGTCAACAGAGTTGGTGCCTTTTGCAGGCTTTAAGGAAGAATCTGTTCCACATCTCTTTAGATTTTGCTGGCTGCTGGCCACTCACGTTCTTTGGCATGCGGCAGCATAACTCTAATCTCCATCTTTGTTTTCACATGATCTTCCTTCCATTTTCTGCATCTTACAGGGATATTCATCACTGAATTTAGATTTTATTGCCCTAATACAAGGTAATCGCTTATTGAGATCCTAAGTTATATCTGCAAAGGCGCTTATTTCAAATAAGGTCAAATCCTGAGGTTCTGCATAGATATACCTTTTAGGGGCCACAATGCAATTCATTACCACATTCTAAAAGTGTAAAAAATAAACAAGGTTTGAAAGTAAAATAAGTAGAAATACAATCAGGTAATACTTAGGTAGTCTGTCTGAATGTATCCAGGCACCATGAATCCAGATTCCCAGTTAGCATTTAGGGGCAGGATTGAGCCTCTTATGAAGGATTTCAGAAGAGCATATCTGGGCCACAGTACTAGACCAGGAATTGGGACTTGAGTGCAAATAGTTTATTGAACAGGTGACACTACAAAACACCTAAAGGTGAGTGGTAAGGCAGGTATAGGAAGGAAGTCGATACAAGGTGACTTATCAGACAACTAACACTGTGTAATGGGAGCTAAACCCCATGTGTACAGGACATGCAGGGTGAGTCCTGCTGAGAGGTGAGGAAAATGGAGTATTTACATTCCACATTCCATTAGTCTTTGGATGAGAAAGCTGTATATTAATTTGGTAGCACTTTTGGCTTATCACTAAGGTTGGCAAAGTGGGCTCTGACAACTAAAGAAATCCCTTAGGCAAAGAAATGCAGATGCTGTTCCTTGGAAGTAGGGTCCTTGTACACTGAAAAGGTCATGATGAAAGGGCATGAGCAGGGCACCAGCAGCATCTGCTATATGAATGCTTAACACATTTGCAATAATTATTAGCTAATATTTTTATCTGTTGTTAATAAAGTGCAAAGGATAAGGTTAGGCGGGAAATATTAGAAAGAAAATACGTTTGTAAATTGCATCAAACATATTAGAAACTCAATAAATATTTCTTCCTTCCATTCTTCCCTTTTCTAATTTACATTATACTTATTTGCTTACATGACAGTTTTTCCCAGTAGCTTAAGAACTCCTGGGGGATGAAATCCAGAAGCCTGAAGAACACTATTTCACAGTAGGTACTGAGAATACTTTAGCGCCTTTCTGCCCATCCTCTCTCCCCAGCTTAAAGCAAAATAATATGTGTAAAATGGGTGCCAAAGAAGGCCAGGGAATTAATACTATGGTGATGGAAATCCAATGGCTTTCTTGTTAAATGTCCATTATTCAAGCCTGTGGACATCTTCTTGGGAGGCTCTGAAAACAGTTTTATATCCATTTGAGACTCTCATGGATGAAGATTCCTAGGGTGAGGTCCAGCCAGCAACTGCCTCATTAATGTATCCAACAGCACATGCAAATATCTGTAGCCTCAGTGTGTTGAGCTCCAGAGGGAATTTCTACTACTGGGATGAGCTGTTCTGAAGGCAACAATCTTTCTAGTGTCATTAGGGTAAATGAGGTGGTAATGGAACTGCAGATTATAGCAACTTCAATAATTTAGTTCACACTCTTTCATCAGGGTAGCTTTTACAAACAGCCAGCATCTTTAATTGAAATGTAAATGAATGATAAATTATGAAAAATGTATTATGAAAAGTAAAACATGGCCCAAATAAAAGATCAGAAATGAAAGGTTTTATGAAGTTGAGAAAATGAGTCTGAAATGTTAATTGCTTGGCAGGGAATAGTTCTCACCACCATCGCGAGGGCGGGAGTGAACTGAGGAAAGTCCTTTTCCCCAACAGTCTGTGGAATTTGCCAATGCCCTTTTGTTCTCTACGCTGAAACAAGTGGAGTGTGTGAACAGAGCCCTGACAACTTCCCCTCCTGGAGATCCAATCCGAGGAAAAGGAAAGGAAGTGGAATAAAAGAAAAGGATAGTGCTGGGAAAGCTGGGATGGGTAATGTTAAGGCTACTAGGACGTGGTGCCCCCTATCTTTTTTTTTTTTATAGATGGAGTCTCACTCTGTCTCTCTGTGACCTAGGCTGGAGTACAGTGGCACCATCTCGGCTCACTGCAACCTTTGACTCCAGGGTTCAAGCACTTATTCTCCCTGCCTCAGCCTCCTTAGTAGCTGGAATTACAGGCACCCACCACCACGCCCAGCTAATTTTTGTATTTTTTAGTAGAGACAGGGTTTCACCATCTTGGCCAAGCTGGTCTTGAACTCTTGACCTCTCGGGTAATCTGCCCACCTCAGCCTCCCAAAGTGCTGGGATTACAGATGTGAGCTACTGCACGCAGCCCCCTACCTTTTAAAAATCAGTACTGTGGATGACCAAAAATAGCCATCTATTTAAAAACTACATAGAACATTAGCCAGTGCACATGTGAAAATCTTGTTGACCCGTGTTATTCCCTTTATCATAGAAAATAGGCATTGCCTTCATCCAAACCTGAGTTAGAAAGAAGTTCATGATATTTAAAAGATAAAATATCATAGGTGCCTCCCAATTCCACCCCATTCCTTTACACAATGAGGGTGTCCACATAAGGAAAGGGAGCTGGGATCTATTAATATGTTAGATAGGGAGTCATTTCGTTTTTCTCAATATCCCATGTTTTTCAACTATGTTATTAGGGACAACACTGTGCTTTGAAAAGGGAGTGCATTAACTTCCTATGACTACTACAGCAGAACAAATTACTACAGACTTAGTGGCTGAACATGGCAAAAATGTATCACCTTAAAATTCTGGGTATCCAAAATCAGCCTGAGTGGGTATATTAAACCATTTTCACAGTGCTATAAAGAATACCTGAGACTGGGTAATTTGTAAAGAAAAGAGGTTTAATTGACTCACAGTCCTGAATGGTTGGGGAGGCCTCAGAAAATTTACAGTCATGGCGGAAGGCAAAGGGGAAGTGTTTTAGTCCACTTTCATGCTGCTATGAAGAAATATCCAAGACTGCATAATTTATAAAGAAAAGAGATTTAATTGACTCACAGTTCTGCATGGCTTGGGAGGCCTCAGGAAACTTATAATCATGGAAGAAGGCACCTCTTCACAGGGTGGCAGGAGAGAGAATGAATTCCCAGCAAAGGAGAAAGCCCCTTATATGACCATTACATCTCGTGAGAACTTACTCGCTATTGGGAGAATAGCATGGGGAAAACCGCCCCATGATTCAATTACCTCCCACAGGGTCCCTCCCACCACACATGGGGATTATGGGAACTACAATTTTTTTTTTTTAAGAAGGAGTCCCACTCTGTTGCCCCGGTTGTAGTGCAGTGGCACTATCTTGGCTCACTGCAACCTCCACCTCCCAGGTTCAAGCGATTCTTCTGCCCTAGCCTCCCGAGTAGCTGGGATTACAGGTATGCACCACCATGCCCAGCTAATTTTTGTATTTTTAGTAGAGATGGTGTTCCACCATGATTGCCAGGCTGTTCTCAAACTCCTGACCTCAGGTGATCCACCCACTTCAGCCTCCCAAAGTGCTGGGATTACAGGTGTGAGCCACCACACCCAGTGGGAACTATAATTCAAGATTAGATTTGGGTGGGGCCACAGCCAAACCATACCAGGAAGCAAGGAATGTCTTACAGGGCAGCAGGAGAGAGAGAAGGAGAAGGGGAAAGTGCCACTTTTAAACTGTCAGATCTCCTGAGAACTCATTATCAAGAGAACAGCATGGGAAAACTGCCCCCATGATCCAGTCACCTCCCACAAGATCCCTCTGTTGACACGTGGGGGTTACAGTTTGAGATAAGATTTGGGTGGGGACACAAAGCCAAACCCTATCAGTGTGCTAAAGTCAAGGTGTTTACAGGGCTGGTTTGTTCTAGAGGCTCTTAGTGAAGAATCTGTTTCCTCGGCTTTTTCACCTTCTGGAGACTCCCTGTATTGTAGCTCCGTCCTTGAGTCACTCTGAATTACTCCCATTCTTAGGCCTCTTACTCTTACGCTGACCCTCCTGCCTCTGTCTTCGAAGGACGCTTATGATTACACTGTGGTCACTAGGACAATCAGGATTATATCTGCTCTCAAGATCCTTAACTTAGTCACGTCTGCAAAGTCTTTTTTTTTTTCTTTTTTTTTTTTTAACCATATATGCTGACACATTCTCAGGTTCCAGAAATTAGGACATAGACATCATTGGGGGCCCTTATTCAGCCTGTCATAGAAATTTATTTAAATATTCATTTATCAGAGGGACTGACTTATAGGGAGATGCTTGAGTATTTGTGTTTATTTAAAACATTTGCCTGAGGCAGAGTAAAACAAAAGGGAAGGCAATTCTGCAAATAACTAAACGCTCTGACTTTTTTATTTAGGGAAACTTCTGCTGACATAGTGGATGAGGAACAGATTGTAAAGTTTTTGCTTGTCTGAATAATTTAGCCTCCCAATTATCAATACCAAACATCTGCAAGTTTATCGACACTTTATGTCAAAAAGTAGAAGGCTAAATCAGAATGGATCGTACCTTCAAAAAGTATGGTTTCAAGAGAAATCAGAGATTAAATAAATGCCTTCAGCATCGCGTGGCAAACACTAATTAGAGACAGATCTATGGAAAGGAGAGTAGAAACAAAAAGAAGGGCTTGGTTAACTGTATCTTCACATGGGAAGGGTTGGTGAAGAGGCAGAGTCATAGAGAAATGGATGTTTCATCTTAGTGGAAATATAAGTTTACAAGCCAGCAATAAAAGGGAAGAGTGTCAAAAACTATACACTATCTAGTCCACAAACTTCTTTGTAACATTTTGAAGGACACACATTGCAATCTGTCACATCTGTGCATCCCATCTGAGTAAGAAACTGATGATAGTCAGTGATAGTCATTAAACAAAGTGTCCAGTCGTGGTCTGGTCTGGATTCTTTGGTGAGTTTGATGTTGCTTTTTATTCTACATGGTCTGCACAGAGATACCCACTCTTGCTTCACAGCCTTTTATTACTAAGTGCAGAAATAAACACTGAAATTATAATTGACATGATTTGAGGCTGGTCAATTGATTTCTGCTGAAGTTCCTGCCAGCAGACAGGATGCTCTGTGATAATAAAAATATAATTTTGGAGGCAGATGATTTTTGTCTGAGGGTGGATTTTGTTACTGAATGACCATATGATTTTGTACAAATTGCCTCACCTCTCTGCATCTATGATTTTCTAGTTGTGAAATGAAATTGTTTTAAGAGAACATAATTACTTCAATGGAAACACTGATTTTTCACAGACAGCAAACATCAAAGCACCAGCTAATATTGGTTAATTATTATTGTTGTTATAGTAAGTGTCTGCTTTGGAAACAAAGTAAAACAAAGACCGTGAACAACACTAGGGACTGCAGATATTGCCATATTACTTCCAGAAATGAGGTGCAATAATTTAAATAGTGAGCTTGGGGATATCTTTTCCTGTGGAGAAACAAGTAGGGCTGATAGTCAGAGGCCAAAATTAAATGATGTTTCTAGAGTCTGGTGTTTTTGAGGGATTTGGGAGTCCCGACAAAAACACACATTCTTGAGGTCATGAATTATGGCTATGGCATGTGTGTGTGTGTGTGTGTGTGTGTGTGTGTGTTTTCATGAAAGTGGAGGGAGAAGAGATGGGTTGGGGAGTAAATCTTTATTTCTACAGAACATGGGCAGGTCTTAGGACCTCTGGGTCAGTGCTACTTTGGCAACTGTGCTCAACCATGGTGTGCTGTATGACAGTTGGCCTATTGGTGTGGGCCATGGATGTAAAATGTCCTAAATAGAATGCTCTAAAAATGAGCAAAAATATGGTTGGATCAGAAACCAAATGGATGACCAAACCACAAACATGGAAGATCACACTGATATTTAGGATATAAGCAAAGACTTAGATAGACAGGAGAAGATGAAATGTGACCCTTTTACAAGGACATCTGTTTCATCAGAATGGAGTCACAGCCACAAGAGAAGAGCAGATTAGAGAGGAGGTCACAGCTTCTCTCCACCTATGACTTGACTGCCATAGTTCAGCTTATTCCAATAGCCACCTGCAAACACCAGTCTTATGTGTATTTCCATGCAACAGCACAACAGCAGCATCTAGCAAGGCCACAATAAATAGCAGTCCCAGTTATTCCTCATACCTACTAAATTTCCAACAAGGACAATTCCAAATATGAGATGTTCTCATCGTTGTTCTTGTTGTTGTTCTTAGGTAATCTGCAGAGATCACTGGCATTCCTTCACCCCAGTGAGAAATCAACCCTCCTTCTTGACTCAGGTTATAATTTTGACCCTTCCCACCTTCTGTTCTCTTTAGATATTTCCGGACATATAATTAATTTCACAAGCTCTATTGCTAAGTGTTTACAATGTCAACCATTGTTCAACAACCATGTTTACTGGGACATACTCTGTGCCAGGTACTGTATGCAATACTAGGGCTGTAGAAAGAATAAAACCGTATTTTTAATCATCCATTTCTGTAATAGTAATGAACAGTATTTCCAACAGGGAAGAAGAGAGTGATTCTCACACAGTAAGGAAGCTGACATGGTCACAGATTTTCTTTCATAGTAGTTCAATGCTTATTTCTCTCAGTGAATTCATACCTTTGCATATTTTTCCAAGGGTTAATCATGACATAGAGTTTCTTAAAGAAGCTAGAAGAAATTAGACTGCATCAGATTGACTTGGACACATTCTATTTTCTCTACCATGGACCTGCTAAGTTTTCTAGCCATGGACAGACAAAGCCTAACATCCATGTCAGGACAGAGTCACTTACTGGCCTCAGTAAATGCTGAAACGAAAACCTCCTTATCTAAAAGGGCTAGTTGCTGGTTGCAAGAGATAAACATGGAGCCAGAAAAAAGAAGAACTGATCTTATTTCTATTTCATTAACAGAGACCTAGAAAAGCCAGCTATTTTGTCTATGTCACATACCATTTCTTGTCTGTTCAGGATAATAATGCAAGTCTTTCAGCTTCACCCATTCAGAAATGATGACCATAAGTAATAATTCTGCAGTGGAATTCTTACAAGCAACTCTTAGCGTACACAATCACGAAATAGGCTATCAGTTTTGGTGAACATAAGCAAACAGCTTAGCTGTTAATTTGATGGTTAATTTTAGGTGTCAACTTGGCTGGCCATGGAGTGCCCAGATTAAGCATTACTTCTGAGTGTGCCTGTGAGGGTGTTTCAAGATTAGATGAACATTCAAATCAGTGAAATCAATAAAGTAGATTGACTTTTTCAGTGTGGCGGGCATCTAATTTGTTGAGGGACTGAATGGAATGAAAGGCAGTGGAAGGGAAATTTCAACCCATTTTTGCTTCCTACCTGGCTGCTTGAGTTGAGACATCTCATGTCATCTTCTCCTGTCATCAGACTTGGATTTATACCTTTAGATTCCCTGGTTTCCAGGGCTTTTGAAAAGATGTGGACTAAATGATACCGCCAACTTTCCTGGCTTTCCAGTTTACAGACAGTAGATTGTGGTACTTCTCAAGCCTCCATATAATCACATCAGCCAATCCACATAATCTGTCTGTCTTTCTTTCTGTCCCTTACCATATCAATGGGTAGATAGATAGATAGATAGATAGATGAATAGATAGATAGATAGATAGATAGATAGATAGATAGATAGATAGATCTATCTATCTAGGCAGAGAATACTAACAAGATCTATAGATAGATAGATAGATAGATAGATAGATAGATAGATCTATTAGATATCTATCTATCTATTGATCTATCAATCTATCTTTCTATCTATTTCTCTGATGAACCCTGATGAATACAATGGGCAGTCAGGATTTTTTGTAAAGGAAAGATGAATCACTTGCTTAATTGAATTTTCCATTCAGTCAAAACCATCAGTTCATTAAAAGAGCCTAAACCACACAAACAAGAAAGAATAAGATATTCTCCTTGGATAATCATCAAAGGAACCACAAATGTTTTGCCTGATATAGTTTTGTTTTAAAATAGTTTTCCTTGCTTTGTTTGGCAGTGAGATTTCTGTTTTTTTAAAAAAATCTTATGAAGCTTCTACATTCCTTCACCCTTACCTCAAGTTTTTGCATATTTCTTTTGCTTTTATTTTTCATTTTGGTGTATCAGAAATAGGAAGCAGTAATGACGTACTAGGTAAGTCTCAGGAAAAATAAACGAAGAGACAAATCAACAAAAAAACAAATAAGCCTACTCTTGCTCTTGGAAGAATTATTGTGATAATTAGTCATCATGCCTGTTCAAATGGCTTCCTTCCATCTGGACTGATATGGTTTGGCTCTGTGTCACCACACACATCTCATCTTGTGGCTTTCATAATTCCCATGTGTTGTGGAAGGGACCTGGTGTGAGATAATTGAATCATGGGGGTGGGTCTTTCCTATGCTCTTCTGGTGATAGTGAATAAGTCTCATGAGATTTGATGATTTTAAAAATGAGAGTTTCCCTGCACAAGTTCTCTCTTTTTGCCTGCTGCTATCCATGTAAGACGTGACTTGTTCCTCCTTGGCTTCTGCCATGATTGTGAGGCCTCCGCAGCCACATGGAACTATAAGTTTATTCAATCTCTTTCTTTTGTAAATTACCCAGTCTCAGGTATGCTTTTATCAGCGGTGTGAAAATGGACTAATATAGTAAATTGTTATCAATAGAGTGGGGTGCTGTTGAAAAGATACCCAAAAATGTGGAAGCAACTTTGGAACTGGGTAACAGGCAGACATTGGAATGGTTTGGAGGGCTTAGAACAAGACAGGAAAATGTGGGAAAGTTTGGAACTTCCTAGAGATTTGTTGAATGACTTTGACCAAAATGCTGATAATGATATAAACAATGAAATCCTGGCTGAGGTAGTTTTGGATGGAAATGAGGAACTTGTTGGGAACAAAAGTAACTCTTGTTATGTTTGAGCAAAGAAACTGGCTGCATTTCTCCCCTGCCCTAGAGATTTATGGAACTTTAAACTTGAGAGAGATGATTTAGGGTATCCGGCAGAAGAAATTTCTAAGCAGCAAAGAATTCAAGATGTGACTTGGGTGGTGTTAAAGGCAATCCAGTTTATAAGTGAAGCACAGCATAAAAGTTCTGAAAATTTGCACCCTGACAATATGATAGAAAAGAAAATACCATTTTCTGAGGAGAAATTGAAGCAGGCTGTAGAAATTTGCATAAATAATGAGGAGCTAAATGTTAATCCCCAAGACAATGGGGAAAATGTCTTCAGGCATGTCAGAAGTCTTCACGGCAGCACCTCCCATCACAGGCTTGGAGGCCTAGGAGGAAAACATGGTTTCATGGGCCAGACCCAGGGTCCCTGTGCTGTGTGCAGCCTAGGGATTTGGTGCCCTGCATCCCAGCCACTCTAGCTGTGGTTGAAAGGGGACGAGGTACAGCTTGGGCTGTTGCTTCAGAGGGAGGAAGCCCACGAAGCCTCGGAAGCTTCCACATGGTGTTGAGCCTGTGGGTGCACAGAAGTCAAGAACTGAGGTTTGGGATTCTCCGCCTAGATTTCAGAGAATGTATGGAAATGCCTGGATGTCCAGGCAGAAGTGTGCTGCAGGGGTGGGGTCCTCATGGAGAGCCTCTGTTAGGGCAGTGAAGAAAGGAGTGGGGTCAGAGCCCCCACACAGAGTCCCTACTGGGGCACTGGCTAGTGGAGCTGTGAGAAAAGGGCCACCATCCTCCAGACCCCAGAATGGTAGATCCACTGACAACTTGCACCATGTGCCTGGAAAAGCCGCAGACATGCAAACATCCAGGAGGGGGCTATACTCTGCTAAACCACAGGGGTGAAGCTGCCCAAAATCATGGGAACCCACCTCTTGCATCAGTGTGACCTCTATGTGAGACATGGAGTCAAAGGAGATCATTTTGGAGTTTTAAGATTCGACTTCCCCACTGGATTTTGGATTTGCATGGGGCCTCTAGCCCCTTTGTTTAGGCCAATTTTTCCCATTTGGAATAGCTGTATTTACCCAATGCCTGTACTCCCATGGTATTTAGGAAGTAACTCACTTGCTTTTGATTTTACAGGCTCATAGGCAGAGGGGACTTGTCTCAGATGAGAGTTTGGATCGTGGACTTTTGAGTTAATGCTGAAATGAGTTAAGACTTTGGGGGACTATTGGAAAGGCATGATTGGCTTTGAAATGTGAATACATGAGATTTGGGAGGGGCCAGGGGCAGAATGATATGGTTTGGCTGTGTCCCCCCCGAAATCTCATCTTTTAGCTCCCATAATTCCCATGTGTTGTGGAAGGGACCCAGTGGGAGATAATTGAATCATGGGGGTGGTTCTTTTTCATGTTGTTCTCCTGATAGTGAATAAGTCTTATGAGATCTGATGATTTTAAAAAGTGAGAGTTTCCCTGCACAAGTTGTCTCTCTTTGCCTCTTGCCATCCATGTAAGACAATACTTGTTCCTCCTTGCTTTTTGCCATGATTGTGAGGCACCTGCAGCCAGATGGAACTGTAAGTCTATTAAACCTCTTTCTTTTGTAAATTGCCCAGTCTCGGGTATGTTTTTATCAGCAGCGTGAAAATGGACTAATACATGGACCCAGCTCCTTAGCATGGTGAAAGAGAGATTAATAATCTGCTGCCAGTTGGATTTTATTTTTACTTTGTATACAGCTCTTCTTCACATAAAACCTGCCATCAAGACATGCTAATTCTTTTTTACTGCGTCTAGGTGGTCTACAAATATTTTGTCTGGGAAATTTCTGCTCATGTTTTTGGAATACTTTGTGAAAGTCTTGTTAGAGATTATTTTTAAAATATATACATTTTTTGTTTAAGAAGATATGAATCACATACCATAAATTTATTATTTTAGGGTGAAAAATCAAGTGGATTTTAGCATATTCTCAAACTTGTGCAACCATCACCACTATCTAACTTCAGAATATTTTTATCTTCTCAAACACACACACACACACACACACACACACACACACACACACACACACGCCCTTTACTCCTTAGCAGTCATTTTCAATTCCCTCCTCTGGAAATTAACAATCTTCCTTCAGTCCCTATGAATTTTTCTATTCTGAACATTTTATAGAAATGGAATAAAACAAATATGACCTGTGTGTCTACCTTCTTTCACTTAGCATAATGTTTTCAAGGTTCATCTATATTGTGTCAGTACTTTATTCATATTTATGGGTAAATAATATTATATTGCTTAGATTTACCATATTTTGCTTATCAGTTTATTAACTGATAGATACTTGGATTGTTTCCAGTTTCAGGCTTTTATGAATAATGGTGCTATGAATATTCCTGTATACGTTTTTATGTAGAAATATATTTTTAATTCTTCTGGGAAAATAGGAATAGACTTTCTCAGTCATGTGATAACTCTATTTAACTTTTTGAGGAATAGTGGTCTCTTTCAATGGCCAGTCAGGTTCATCAAGGCTCATAATTAGGCTGAAAATGATTTTGTGGAGGCTTCAGTTTGAAGAGCTAGAATCTAAACACAACTCATCGATATGGAGTTTGTTGGTGGTTCTCTTTCATGGCCTTATCCTTGTCCAGAAAGACCAAATTCTTTGGATATTTTTATAGCAATGAGGACAGCAAATCCATGGAACAATTGCTGACGCCTTGCCACAGATGAAACTTAAAGCAATGTTCCTCAACCTTAGGTTATCAAGCCATGAATTCCTAAGTCCTATATAAATATTTGTAATTATTTTATTCTATTTTTATTGATAAGCTTGATACAAAGAATTTTTCTACCATTGAGATGACCACTTTTGATGGAAGGACTGCCATATTATTTGAGAAACCATTCAGCTTATGAGAGTGATGCAACCAAGGAGAATTGTTTTAATTGCCATTGTCTAATGAGATTAAATATATATGTGACTTAAGGAGAATATGACACAATATATAAATACATGTTTTTAAAGTGGTGGGAAACTTGTTCACCCTGCAGAGTACAGGCAGGGCAGACTCACAAGAGCTTGTTTCTCAAAAATATATTCACATGACAAAGAAGAGGTTTTCTTCAACAAAACAGCATCACCTATCCCATTGCTTTGTGTTATTTCTTAGTGTTGTATCAGTTTATACTTTTGTTTATATCTAATTGATAAATCTGTTTTGGCTGCAGGAATGCAAAATAGCTCGAAGCATAAAGAATGTATTTAAATGTTTTGTTTGAAAATAATTAAAATACAAAAAGTCACAATATTTTCTACTTTAAAAGAAGCCCGTGATTTCTTAAGTTT
Organism: Homo sapiens; assembly: GCF_000001405.40. Taxonomy (NCBI): domain Eukaryota; kingdom Metazoa; phylum Chordata; class Mammalia; order Primates; family Hominidae; genus Homo; species Homo sapiens. Next base: position 137,910,231 of record NC_000008.11, on the reverse strand, counting down.
GATCAACTATTATATATATTGTTACAGACATAGAATACTTGTTTGTGTTAAAAATGATAAATTACTTTGAGGAAAAAAGAGAGGTTGATATTGTCACTTTTGTATACATCAATTGTTAAGGGGACTAAATATTCACGGTATGAAAAGTGAAGATTCATCAGTTGACAATACTAGGGATTTCCAATGTGTGTCCTAAAGGGAATGAGTAGGTTATATACATGACTGAAATTAGATGGATTTACTTCTTTAGTGATTGAAGACATAACTGTGTAATTCAATGGTAAGTTCACTTGACATGAAGTATCAACAGTAGTGGTACCATGATGAGTGGAATGTGCTGTGGTGAGCGAGGGGTACATAGCTTATCTTAAGAAGGCAGCTGATGAATAAACAACCTCCCAACATGTTTAAATGGAAATGTTGGCTCATGTTCCCAGATTTCCTACAACATTTCAGTGGAAGCCAACAAATCCAGATTTTTTTTTCTATAAGATATTTTGATTAAAAAAGTCAATCAAGAAAACATTTTTTTTGAGCTAAGAAAGACAAATTTATACAAATAATAACTTGGAGAGCCAGGTAAGCGAGACTTAATGAAATAAGTAGAGACGGGGTTTCACCATGTTGGTCAGGCTGGTCTCAAACTTCTGACCTCGTGATCTGCCCACCTCAGTCTCCCAAAGTGCTGGAATTACAGGCGTGAGCCACCACGCCCGGCCTAAGTGTACTTATTTTAAAGTACACTTTAAATTCACACACACATACACATTCCAGTTGCTCTTATGTGTGTGTGTGTCTGTACTTTTTGGAGCTGGAATGGGGGTTCTCCTCGTTTGCCATGCTTTCTCTTTCTCATGGTGTTGCAGTTCCACAGCTTGACCTGCTGCATTGCACAATTCTACCTTTTACATCAGAGGGTTTGTGTCTTTGGTGTACCTTGGGAGTTGCTGTTGTCAATATGCTATCCAGGAACAATTCAAACGAAGTTACTGTTTATAGGGTTGCTTTTAATTACTCAATAAGATACACAAAAAAGTGTCATTCAAGCTGTTGGGTGAAATGATTTCAGGTCAAGTTCACTGATGGGAATATCCTGTTTGGCTTTTTTTTCTTCACAGACTCCTGGGGTCCTTCCCCACAGTGAGTATCCAGCCTCTCCTTTCTGAGAGCTACAGGGCTTCACTGTCCATCAACACTCAATCCCAGGAGTTTCCTCTACTGTTAACCTGCACACATTTTTCTTCTTGTTTTTGAGAAGTGCCGAGACCACCTCGGTTGGGGAGACCCTAACCCAGCAGCGCTAGAGGAATTAAAGAAAACACACACACAGAAATATAGAGGTGTGAAGTGGGAAATCAGGGGTCTCACAGACTTCAGAGCTGAGAGCCCCGAACAGAGATTTACCCACATATTTATTAACAGCAAACCAGTCATTAGCATTGTTTCTATAGATATTAAGTTAACTGAAAGTATCCCTTATGGGAAACGAAGGGATGGGCTGAATTAAAGGAATAGGTTGGGCTAGTTAACAGCAGCAATAGCATGTCCTTAAGGCACAGATCGCTCATGCTATTGTTTGTGGCTTAAGAATGCCTTCAAGCGGTTTTCCACCCGGGGCAGGCCAGGTGTTCCTTGCCCTCATTCCTGTAAACCCACAATCTTCCAGCGTGGGCGTTATGGCCATCATGAACATGTCACAGTGCTGCAGAGATTCTATGGCCAGTTTTGGGGCCAGTTTATGGCCAGATTTTGGGGGCCTGCTCCCAACAGAGAAGTACTACATGTCTTTAAAGAGAAAAACAATGACAGAATGTTGCATTGAAATGCAGGGAAGAGGATTATGAATTCTGTCTGTCATCTTGAATATAAGACTGCATTCCATTTTTATTGCTTCATGTTGAGACCTCTTGCCTCTACCAGATCTCTCCAACTTAGCGTTTTTTCTGGATTTCAAAGTTAAATGCAGCAATTTTCTTACTTCCTACCTTTGAGTCATGTGCAAATTACTTTATGTTTCAAAATCTCCATCTACACTTTTGGATACCAGGGACAAATAATACTGTGTATTGTTGTCAGGATGTTTATAAAGTATGTGAAAGGCCAATTAATATTAAATGTTGATAAATGCTGTTTATAATCAGCATGTGATTATTCACTGTGTGAAAAAAGAGTTAAATGAGACCCATTGGTTATGGTTATGTGCTTTGCAATTAACATGCTATGGTTTAAATCCTAGCTCCACCACTGCCTGTGATTTTAGAATACTACTCAAGTGCTTTAATGCCCTAGTTTCTTCATGTTTAAAATGGAGACAAATGAAATTTTACATGTAAAGCCCATGACCTGTGGAGTAAGCCCTCAAAAACAAAAACAAAAACAAAAACAAGACTATCATTTTAGTTTTAATTTTTGCCTTTACTAATTATGACACCTCAACCAAACTACCTCTAAGATAGGGAAACACATCTATATCCCGCAGGTATATTGCAAAGATGGCATAGAATTCTATCAATTTGGAGGAGCTTTGTTAGCTAGATAGTTCAATTCCTGTGTCAGGGAAGGTTTTATGGATTGACTGGTGTCCCTGAAAGAAATATATGTTGGTCCTAATCTCCAGTACCTCAGAATGTGACCTTATTTGAAGATAAGGTCTTTACAGAGGTGTCAAGTTAAAATAAGGTCATGAAGGCCTACCTTATTCCACTGCCTGTTGTTCTCATAAAATGGGAGAATTGGAACACAGAGACAAACATTACAGAGGGAAGACCATATGCGGAGACAAGGCGAAGAGGACCACGTGGTGATGGAGTTAGGATGGAAGTGATGCAATTACAAGCCAAGGTGCTCTTGGAGCTCCTGCAAGCAAGAGAAGGGCCTGGAACATATTCCTCACTAGCACCTTCAGAGGAAGCCTGGCATTGCTAAGACCATGATTTCAGACGGCTAGCCTCCAGAACTGTGAGATTAGATATTTACATTGTTCTCTGTCACCTGGTACTTCTTAATACCTGGTACTTTTTAAGCCCTAGGAACTTAATACAGATGGTTACGATCGTAACTATCATTATTAAAAGTAGGTGGTTCTTGAATCTGTGACATGTTCCCACACAATACTCTCCCTGAATGCTTACTCAGGTCTCTCTTCCATAAGCCTAGAATGTTCTCCCACTCTCTACGTATCTTTAACCTACTTTTAGGCTTAGCACGATGTTACACCATGGTTCTGGAGTGTTCTTTCTGGCTAATCTTCTCACAGATGTGATTAGATGTTTCCCCATACTCCTGATTCTTAGCTCTGAGCTCGCTGCCCTGTGAGTTTTGACACCTGTGTCTCTTCCACACACTGTAGTGTGAGATCACTGAGAGCAGAGCTGTCTCATTGATATGTTTCATCTCATGGGGGAATAAAGAGAAAGCAGTGAGTAGACATTTTTTGGGGCTTAAATCCATGTTACCACTTTATATTCCCAGAGTATGCCAAATGAAAGCTTGCTATTCTTGGAATGGAAGCACATACTAATCAATCTATGTGTCAAATGCCATAGCTCTCCTGAAGCTATGTACATAGTTTCAGGGCACATGTGCTAATTAAATACATTCATATAATTTATAAAGATCAAATCAGTGTGCTTGGGATATCTATTGTCTTAAATATCTATCTTTTTAATGCTAAAACCATACAAATTCTTCTCTACCATTTTGAAATACAATAGATTATTGTAAATATAGTCACCCTACTTATCTAGCTAATACTAGGTCTTATTTCTTCTATCAGGCTGTATATTTGTACCCATTAATCAAATTCTTTTAAATGCCCCCATGCTTCCCAGCCTCTGGGCTTTGTGGTTGTTTTGTTTCATTGATTTATTTTTTAAAGGAAATAGCTATTTAGACTTGGGCTTGATATAGAGGGTAGTATCCAGAGAGTGCACACTGGTGGGTCACCTGTTGTTAAAATGCGGAAATATTTCTGAACGGCCTGCAGCCCCTCAACTGATTCCCCTGACTCCTCCCAGAATCCTTGTTCCTTCCCATGATCTCTCTACAAGTACTAAGTTGGGACCAGCTGCAGGTCTCCTCCTGATCTAAGGCCGGAGTCTCTGTGTGGCCTGGGCTCATATGCAACTGGTTGTGGACTATGTTGAATATAAGCCCTGTCTTTGTTTTTGTTTCTCTGCTATCCTCAAGGTGTATCAGTTCCCTTTTCTTTTTTAGAAATGGAAAAACAAGAGCTTTCTGTTACTTTCTGTGGTTGTTTCAAGCCAATGGATGGGTTGCCCAGTGGGTGGATGCCCCTCCCTGGCTAGGCTAGAGATTTATTACAGCCAAGCACTCCTTCCTCAGAGGGAGGGAGCATATTTGACAGAATGACCCGTTTCAGGTCAAGATCACACCGACTCTCCAGACCCAGCAGGTCTCATTTGTCTCTGAGCAGGATGTCACTCCTGACAGACAGGCACATGCAGCTATTTGTATAGGAGTGGGCATTACTGGCCTTGCCCTTCTGTCTAGCATTCCCATCAGCCTGCTCTCTGCTGCTTTTTCTTTCTTTCTTTTCTTTTTTTTTTTTTTTTTTTTTGAGTTTATTTCCCAAAGCCTCACCTCTCCGACAGAGGCATTCCCAGATCCCAGAGCCCAAATTCCAGTTCAGGGCAGATGCATTGGAAAAGTAAAAGCCAGCACTTAAGAGTTGAGATGAGGAGAGTGAGCCCTAATTAAGTTCATGTTTTTGTCCTCATTTCTCTAAACAGAAAAATCAATAAGGCTCTATGGAACCATTAATAGAGATTAAATGCCTAGAAACAGGCTTTACTTCATTTGGAGGCTGAGGCTCTTTTGGTATTAATTGTATACTCCTTCTGTAGCCCTCATCACTCCATTCCAAAGGCCTGGGCCATGCACTGTTGAAGCCCCTGTTCTTACTGGCATTATTGAGTACGGTAAGAATCATGACGCACACAACCCCTTCCCTGAAATTCTGTCCTTCTTGTGTAATCCTCTTTGCTCTGTCCTCTCTGTGTTGTCTTTTCATGGGTTATTTCCTCTGCATGAATCTAGTTAGATTTGCATTCAAACTAGTTCTTCTTTCTTACAAATTTAGCCTTTGCATTTGCAGTCTCCTCTGCCTATTCCTCCTTTTTTTTTCTTTTCTTTTCTTTTTTTTTTTTTTTTTCCCCGAGATAGAGTCTTGCTGTGTTGTCCAGGCTGGAGTGTAGTGGCGCAATCTCAGCTCACTGCAAGCTCTGCCTCCCGGGTTCACCCCATTCTCCTGCCTCAGCCTCCAGAGTATCTGGGACTACAGGTGCCTGCCACCATGCCCAGCTAACTTGTATTTTTAGTAGAGACGGGGTGTCACCATGTTAGCCAGGATGGTCTCGATCTCCTGACCTCGTGATCCACCCACCTCAGCCTCCCAAAGTGCTGGGATTACAGGCATGAGTTTTTTTTTTTTTATGTTGTTGTTTTTACAGAATTACTTTGCTACTCAAAGGTTATCACTTTTGAAAAGTCTTTCTCTTCACCGCTCATCACACTGCATCTCCTTAAGTGGCAACACATTATTGTTCATCCTCCGTCTACCCCACTTCATAAAGCAAAATGTTTGCACACTTCAGTGTTTCTCCAGTACCTGAAAGAGTGCCTGGGACCTAGTAATTGCTCAGAGGTCTTTATTAAATAAGTGGTGTTGTTTTCTTGGAAAGAGAAACTCTTCCAACAATAGCAAATGAATTAACATTTTATCACTCAGTGGGTTGTTCCGCACCTAAAAACTGTGATATATACTTTTTTTAAGGCACAGAAAATGCCTAATTAATTTTGCTGTCATTTCTATTAAAGTCTGTGCTCCAGCCTCTCCTCTCTAGAAAGACCCCTCTAGAAAGACTTATACCATATCTTGTATCTCTCATACATATATTTCTCATATTTCAAGGTTAAATTCCAGTGTGACTACTGAGAAATGAAAATGAAATCCTCAGCTCCCCCAACAACTGAATAGACTCCCTCTTGGCCAAAGGGACTGCAGGGTACCCTTGAAAACTTGTTTCTCTGCCTCGACTGAATGGGAGGTCAGATACACCCTCTTAAACTGCCACTAGGCTTTCTTCTCTAAGGGCTAAACAGAAATCAGCCCTTTCAAGAGACTCCATTGCTGATATCAACTATTCACATGACTGCCCCCTCTTTTGCAGTTTTAACAAAACAACTAACAGACGTTTCTTCCTGATAAGAAACCACCAACCATGGAGCAGTTGTGGCCAGTCTATGGAGGATGTGCAGTAAGGGTTTTGGGGTTCTCTGCTTCATATTTTGACATCGGAGGACCCAAAACTGCATCCTTAGATCATGCTAATGCTGCCATTTTTTTAACACAAGTCCCATGGAGTGACATGGAGCTCAATTGCCCGTGCATAATTGTCTCCTTTCATAAATATTTATGACTCCTCCTATAGCTCATTGAATATGTATATTGGGCCATGCTACTCAGCATAAATTCCTGTCCCCCTTTCCCCTCCTTCAAAGTGTCTGTTTCTGGCTTCTGTCTGGAAGTGATGCTTCCCAGCCTATCAGATGGCCAATCTGCGGGCTGCAACCTTTTATGACAAATAAAGCTCTCCTTTCCAAATTTGTAAACCTCGTCATTCCTCAGTTGAAACCCCTTACATGAAGATGTCTCTTAACACACCTCTAGTGGGAAACTTTGGGGCTATACATTTAGCCCACACACCAGGAACATCTTTCTCTTTGGTAAATCTCCGTATTGCCCTAATTTATAGGACAGGTTTTAGCCATCATAGATAAAGAACCACGTTTGGGTACCTTGCCAGAGCTGTATCCTTTGGATTCTTTTTCTGAAGAATTGATTTGTGGGGACCAGAGAAAGTCAAGTCAGTCTTGGAGTGGAGTTGGAACGAAAGCATATGAACACTAGAGGACTGAGGTGGCTGTAGTTTGCCACAAAGGGTGAGGATTAGAGATCGGCTGTTCTTCAGAGAGAAATGAATAAAGCAGAGATGAAGAAAAGAGAAGGCTGATGATGGCTGTCCAGTTTCTAGAGAAGAAACCTCTCCTTAAGAGGAAACCCTTATCTTTAGCTAACTGGATGCCAAAACGAAAGGTTTCTTCTCTCATATTGACCCCAAAGCATGAAGGCACCACATATTAGATACCAAGTAAAACGGTGAGCAGTCTACCCTTGAGGATTAATAAAGTGTGATTTAGCCTCAAACTAGTTAGTAAAATTATAAATAATAGGTTGAGGCATTAGGGATGGGAAGAAAATTTTTAAGGAGTTTTACTTTGCAAGCCATTTTCTCTCCCTCTCCTCCTCAACAGCCAGCGTGTTTGGTCCTCCTCATCTCAAGCCAACTGAGAGAGGTTTTAATAGATCACTGAAAAGCCTAAAATGTGTGCCCTATAGTTGGAGGGATGGGGTGAACCACTCTGTGACCCTTGCCTGGTAAATATAAAAGAAAAGAGCAGGCTGGCTGGCTATATTGATGAAGGTGCACAGGAGAGCTGCTGCTGTACTGGGATCCAATTTCACTTTAGGAATTTGCTCAGGCAGAGAAGCTTTAGGCCACTAAAGTAAGAGAGGCAACGTGGGGGTTTCTTACATGACCCTACCCAATAGGGTAGAGAAGAAAGGTCAGCAGAGGAGGAGCTGGAGTTTAACCCCAAGGTTTTTAGAGGTTGAGGAGGAGGTAATCAATCACTATCAAAATGAAATATATTTGTCCCAGGTCAAGAAACTTCAGTTAAGAGACCATCAGCTATGGTGGTAGAGAGAATAATTCCAAAGAGCCCACAATTGCACATAATGAGAGAAAGATTCAGTGTTAAATAGCCTGCCAGTCCTGGAGAAAGAAAGCCAGCATATGATGGCACAATTCGAGTAAGAAATATCCCATTCTCCTTAGCCCTCTCCCCAAAGCCCACCTTTGCCTTTGTACTAACTTAGAAAGAGGTTTAAAAATGACAGAAGGAAGTCAACAAACTGCTGAGCAAGAGAGAAAGACAAGTCCAGGTGGACCTGCAAACCCTAGAGACGTGGCAGCTTCCCTGGCACAGGTCCTCACCAAGGCAGAGATCAAGGTCCTGTTTGTTTCATTATCCAGCTACACTTATAAAATTCTTTTTTGCTTTAAAAACACGCAAAATGATTTCTGTTTCCTGCAACCAAATGGTTTTGACTAATGTATTTCCCATGCCCTCCTAAAGCACTGATGACTCTACCAAAAATGCTTGATTTAAAAAAAAAATTATAATTTATAGGTCAGGACTTAGTCCTATAGGTGATGACTTAGCCTAGATATTAGAACTCTTCAAAAATCTACTCACAGGATCAGTCTCAGAGCTTGTGGTAGGTAGGTCTGATGAACTAATCACATTATTTAGGAGACGGGGAGAGTTAGTGAAGAAGCCCAGGTGGTCATTGTACCATACGTGTTCTTAGGCTATGTTCTTAGGCTACGTGTGTGGCAGAGATTAAGGGATACTGTTTACTATTCATCTATGCACAGTCACAGTGCTGATGGCATCTAACTCTTCTCCAATTCTTGCTACCTACCAGAAAAACAGTATGATGAACACTTTGCAAGATTTGTCTACACATAGCAACAGCATAAAAGGTGGGCCCTAGGCCGGGCATGGTGGCTCATGCCTGTAATCCCAGCATTTTGGGAGGCCGAGGCCGGCAGATCACGAGGTCAGGAGATCGAGACCATCCTGGCTAACATGGTGAAAACCCGTCTCTACTAAAAATACAACAAAAAAATTTAGCCAGCCATGGTGGTGGGCGCCTGTAGTCCCAGCTACTCTGGAGGCTGAGGCAGAAGAATGGCTGAACCCACGAGGTGGAGCTTGCAGTGAGCGGAGATTGCGCCACTGCGCTCCAGCCTGAGCGACAGAGCAAGACTCCGTCTCAAAAAAAAAAAAAAAAAAAAAAGGTAGGACCTAGTATTATTATTTGCTATTCAAATAAGGAAGCCTAAATAATTGGCTAATATACATTAAGAGTTCCTGGTACAGAGCATGTGCTATACAGTTTGTTTTTATTTCAGCTATTATTTTTAACTAGTCTAAGTTGGCACAGCTGGCAAGCAGTGAAAATTCAAATCTAGTTATTTTGATTCTAAAACCCATTAAAAAAATCCTGATTCTTTACTGTCTACTTATATTATGTCAACAGATTTTCTAAACATCTCTGAAAAAAGCAGACATTTTATTTTATTTTTTTTTGTATTTTTAGTAGAGACGGGGTTTTGCCATGTTGGCAAGGCTTGTCTCGAATGCCTGGCCTCTAGTGATCCCCCCACCTCGACCTCTTAAAGTGCTAGAATTACAGGCATGGGCCACTGCACCCAACCCTCATAGACAAGGTTGTAAACTTCTGCTCAAAGTCACATTGTTAGGAAGAAGTTGATGACCCAAGGATTCCTCCTCAGATATGACTGACTCCAAAGTCTACCCTCTTCCCGCTCTTCAGAGGAAAGACAGCTGCAACCAAGAGATGTAGGGTGCAAAAGAGAGGAGAGGAACTTGGAGACTAATTCTGACCACTTCTTGTTTGTTCTTTAGATGATACTAATAAATGGATCAAACTAAAGAGCAGAACTTTTGTCTTATAGCCAACCACCAATCAATCTCTTGATGAATTTTGCCTTCTTATGTGAATAATCATTTATCTTTGTCATTTTCTCTGGAGTAATTATTATGATTTCTCATCTCAAAAAAGCTATTAATGTCAGTCTGTAGCAAAAAAAAATTAAAAACATTTCAAAAAATGTCACAACTCATTATAGTTCTAATTGTGCCTGTTCCCAAATTTAGTAAGACATTGCGCATTACTGGGTAGAAACAAACCATAAATTATTGTATTTATGACATGCATTGCAGCACAGAATTGCATGCCAAATTCTTATGATAAGCATAAAAGAATTATTCAGAAATACTGCTCTGTTTGGTGCCAAATTTAGTGATAATTTATAGCTGTCTGAATTTCCACACCTGCTGCAAATTCCCTCAGGTCCTCAAGTTTTACTGATTCCCCACTGGTGGAATTTCAAGAGCATCATTTACCTGTGGGGAAGCTATGACTATTTCACTGTGTCCTTCATTACAAGAATCTAAAAATCTAGAAATTCAGTCCTTGCCAAGATTTGACAACGGCATGTGGAAACACATCTCATTGTCCTGTGTCCTGGAAGGCTGCTGAGCTCTCCACTATTATGGCCAGCTTTCCCATTTATTATGGTAGAAGAAGTTTAAAGAAAATATTAAGAGTTTGTGCAATGAGCAAATGGGGACCCCATCTATGCCTGGGTTGACTTATAACCCACTTTTTTGTAGCTATCTATTTAGTTAAAAAAAAAAAAAAGCCATTCTTCCATGAGCACAGTTATTTAGATCCTTTTTTCCCTCAATGATAATGTGGCAATAATTAGGATGACAATAATGCATGTTTCTATAATTTACTGAACACCTACTTTGTTCCAAGCTGTGGTTTTTTTTCCTAGCACGTCTAATATCCTACTTAAAATTTTGCAGAGCTGATAAGATTGACTACATTTTAAAGAGATAAAGAGAGAAATGCTGAGGTTTACTAAGATTATGTAACTTTCTCAGGGTCCTATGGCTAATGAGGAAAAGCTAACACTAATTGAGTGCCTAAAATGTGTGAGGCCTGCTCTATGAATCCATTTTTCAAGGATCCTCTTCTAGCCCTCTACGGTGGCTACTGGTTTTTATCCATTTTATAAACAAGAAGCTAGAGCACAAGGAAGTAACAGGATTTATCACAAATCTCACAGCTGTGTGAGTCCTCATCTTCGGGAGTGGTCATTTAAAGCCTAATATCAAGCCATAATATGTTTGTATGACTTGTACACTAGAAAGAACATGGAGAGTAGCAAGCACCCCTTTGGGCTGCCCAGGCTTCATGTCCACTATGTTCCATGCCAGCAGTGTTCCATTGAGGAGCTGCCTCTGTTGTCTTGACATGCAATATTGGTAGGACACTCAGTCAAGGTGCCCCATCTTACCATGACCAGGGGGTGGGATTATGAACCAAGCTGGGACACTTGCTCTGTGAATCCCTAAAACAATGGGTGCATAGAGCAGGCCTCATACACTATAGGCAATCAGCGTTAGCTTTTCTTCATTAACCATGGGACTCTGGGAAAGTTTCATAATCTTAATCTCAGTTTTTAAAAATGTGGTGACATCAAAAGAAACTTATTTAGTCTCTGCTATGCCAAGCCCAAGAACTGCCTGGGCATCAGCCCTTTATTTTATTCATTTATTTACCAATATGTCCATAACCCTTGCCAATTCTGTTTTAAAAGCTTTGTATATACTAATTCATTTCCTTCTTACGTCATGTGTTCCTTTGTGAGACCTGCCTTCAACTTTTGAACTAACCCTTCTCCCCTCAATAATCTCCATGTATAGTTTTTCCTTTATATTTGTCAGAGCTGGTCTCTATGGTTGGCAACTAAAGAATCCTGTTTAGGCCGGGTGTGGTGGCTCATGCCTGTAATCCCAGCACTTTGGGAGGCCAAGGCAGGTGGATCACGAGGTCAGGAGTTCAAGACCAGCCTGGCCAATATGGTGAAACCCTGTCTCTACTAAATATACAAAAATTAGCTGGGTGTGGTGGCAGACACCTGTAGTCCCAGCTGCTCAGGAGGCTGAGGCAGGAGAATCACTTGATTCCGGGAGGCAGAGGTTGCAGTGAGCCGAGATTGTGCCACTGCACTCCAGCCTGGATGACAGAGCAAGACTCCATCACAACAAACAAACCAACACACAAACAAAACAGAATCCTGTTTAAAAGCTAAGTAAACTGGCACATAGAAATTGATTAATAAATGTTACTCTCCCTTTCCTTACTTCTGCAATTTAAACAACCATGAAACATAGAAACTAGGAGTAGAAAATAAGTGAGGTACCAATCCAGGAGAACTGCAGATTTGAGGAGCTAGCCAAGAGTTTAAAGACCTGAACAAACCCACATTTTGTATTGGAAACCCAGGTAAGGAAATTGAGCTCACCTGGCACTATCCTGTCCTAGTGGGTACAGTGGGTCTGAATGGGGTGTGCAGTGCGGAAGAAAATCATTCGTGCTTTGTTAACTCTCTTAAGTTTTAACCAGTTTGGTTAATTCTGTTCAAATAAAGTTGGGAGATGGAACTCAACTTATTGAAATAAATTAATAAAACGAAATATTCATTTAAAGGTGCATGTTGCCGGGCGTGGTGGCTCACGCCTGTAATCCCAGCACTTTGGTAGGCCGAGGCGGGCGGATCACCTGAGGTCAGGAGTTCGAGACCAGCCTGGCCAATGTGATAAAACCCTGTCTCTACTAAAAATACAAAAAAATCAGCCAGGCATGGTGGCCCATGCTTGTAATCCCAGCTACCCGGGAGGCTGAGGCAGGAGACTCGCTTGAACCCAGGAGGCAGAGGTTGCAGTGAGCCGAGATCGAGCCATTGCACTCCAGCCTGGGCAACAAAAGCAAAACTCTGTCTCAAATAAATAAATAAATAAATAAATAAATAAATAAAAATAAAGGTGCATGTTATAGTGGAAAGAGAATTGAACTAAACCTGGGTCCTGGTTCTCTGAGCTGATTTTAAGCAACTGACTTCATCTTCCTGCATTCTAATTCCTTCATCTGCAAAATGAAAGTATTCCACACTTTCATCTCTGAGATCTCAATTTGTAGTCACTAACATTATAATTTCATGACTTTCATGTCATAAAATAGCAGGTACATTTGAGAAGTAGGGTTCAATGTGATTTACTATGGACCTGGCCATTTATATAGCATTTTATATTTCATAAATCCCTCCCACATAAACCTCATTATCAGATCTTTGTCATGCTTGTGAGTATCATCCTTTGTGTTGTAAAGGGACATAAAATGATTTTAATGAGACCCACCACGTGCTGAGCTCCATGCTATTCAATCAAGGAGGGTTTGCATCATACCTACTTAGATTCCCGTCTTAGCCCTGCCAGTTAACAGCTCTGCCATTACTTTCCCTTTGAGAGATGCAATAAACTGGGGATAATCATATATACGTCAAGAGCTGGTACCCCGTCTCTACTAAAAATACAAAAAATTAGCCGGGCGTGGTGGCGGGCGCCTGTAGTCCCAGCTACTCGGGAGGCTGAGGCAGGAGAATGGCGTGAACCCGGGAAGCGGAGCTTGCAGTGAGCCGAGATTGCGCCACTGCAGTCCGCAGTCCGGCCTGGGCGACAGAGCGAGACTCCGTCTCAAAAAAAAAAAAAAAAAAAAAAAGAGCTGGTGAGCAGATACGTAAGACGAATGAGTCCTTGTAGCACAGAACCTGGCTCACTTATTCACTCTATCAATAAATATTTATTATCTTAGTTTGTAAGCAATTGAACAAGGTGATTGTAGGCTATGAAATAATAGACTTCTGTAAGCTTTCAGGGTTTGTTTGTTTATTTCTTTGTAAATACAAGTCATCTAAGAAGTAAGAGATAAAGTGGTCTGTGGAACAAAAGTGTGGAAGGGTGTTTTGGTGTGGGCACAGAGTGTGTGGGTCTTTGTGTTTTGCATTGATGCCAACCAGAGAGAATGTGCCACAGATGAGGAACTGAAACACCTGTAGGACAGGTGCACATCCCACTGGATGTTGACCCCCTTTGTGTTTGGCAACCCCTGTTGTTATGTAGGGGCCTGTGAACAGAGTAGCCATGGTGTCAGGATTACATACTATGCATGGGCTTAGAAGCATGGGTTTCCTCTTCCTATGGCTGATCTAGCTACACCTGCTGCTAAATTCTTTATCTGTCAGCATGAGACAAAAGTGCTGATCTCAATACATGGTAGAGTTATGAGGAGATGCCAATGAGCTACTTGTTAGCAAGCTGATTATATTGGCCTTATAGGTAATTGGGAAGAGTTTTACACTGACTAAGATAGAAAGCCTTTGGAGGGTTTGAGCAGAGAAGTGTAATAATCTGACTTGATTTGCAAGGATGAATCTTGCGGATTTGTTGAGTATAGATTATAGAGAATAAGTTCGAATAAAGGAAAATGTCAAAGAGGCTATTGAAATGATTTTGACAAAAATTTGGACTGGGATATTAGTAGTGGAAATGATAAGAAATGTTCATATACTAGATGTATTTTGAAGATAGAGAGGATTTGTTGATGGATTACATCGGGTTTGAGAGTAAGAGATAAATTCATAATTGTCCGTTTTTTTGGTATAATCTCATAGAATAATGGAATTTCCATCAAATGAGGTAGGAATCTAAATAATAGGTGTCTTTGGGGGATAATGAAAGTGTTCAGTTTTGAGCATATTTTAAGTATATGATGTCTATTAGACATGATTGGATATGTTGAGTAGCCAGTTGGAAATATAGTCTGGAATCCAGAGCAAGATCTGAGGATATAATTTTAAATGACATAAGCACATACGGAGTATTCAGATCCATGATGTTTGATGATATTACTAAAAGTAAAAATATACTTTTTAAATACAAACGAACAAAATGAAGTGCTGAGACTTCTGGTCTCCAATACTCTCAACTTATGAAATAAATGGAAGCTAAGAATGCAAAAGTAGAAAGAGTGGCCAAAGAGATTGAAGGTAAGTCATGTGAGAATAATATTGGGGGAAGCTAATTAAAGTGCCTTAAAGGGTAACAGTCAACCCTTTCAGAAGTTGCAGATAGGTCAAATAACATGAGGACTGAACCATTCACCACTGAGTTTAACAAAGTGAAAATTACTGATGTTGTTGCCAAGAACAGTTTGGTAGAGAGGGAAGAAGAACCTGATCAGAGTAGATTTAAGAAAGAATGAAAAGAGATAGTTTGATATAAAGAGAAGAAGATAGGGTGCTGGTTGAAGATTAAGATAGAGTTGAAAGTTTTTACTTTAAGATAGAAGAAATTATTTTATGCTTTTAGGTGATGGAAATATTGCATTAGATGGGAAAATATTGATGAGAACTACAATTGCTGAGCACTTTCTTTGAGTAACAGGGTGAGCACTTTTCTGTTTTTTAATGTATAAAATAGAGCAGTGCGTCTATGGCATATCGTATATTCCAAAGTTGGCCACAATTCTATCTCCTATTCCCCAAGCTTTTCTGCAATGTAATTGTGTAATAACCTACCAAGAGATGAAGCCCATCATTGTGGATTTAGCATTTGCTTTGACCAACAACATGCAGCAGAAGTTACACTGTGTACATTGTAGGCATAGCACTTAATTAGACTGGCAATGACCATTGACTGCCTGTTAGAAAACTTGTTCTTGGGAAGTTCCAGCTCAGAACCAAGACCCCATGTTTTGAGAAGCTCAAGGTCTAGACACACCATACAATAGCCCCAGCTTATCTGTAAGCCAACAGCTATCATCAACTCCCAGCGTGTAATAAATCAAGTTTAAGTTCAGCCACCTGAGCCTCCAGCCACCATCTGAGTGAAACAGCATGACAGGCCTCAAGTGAACAAAATTCACCGGAGCCTAGACAACCTTCATACTTATGAGAAAAGAGAAATAAATTATGATTTTAAGTCACATGTTTTGGAGTGTTTTGTTACACCATAAGTAATCAGAACAGAAACTGGTACCAGAAATGAAGTGAAATCCTGCTTAAAAGAGTTGGCACTGGATTTAGGACTGGGATGAAGGTTCTAAATAAACACCTGGGGAGAGCTGGAAAAACAGCGATAAAACTATTATAGGAACCTTGAGAAACACAATATATGCTAATAAAAAGTTGAAAGAAAATATTGCTAATAGTAACATGAAATGTACTGTATACAAATAATAAACTGATGTGTTTAGTTAAAAACTTTAGAAGACAAAATGATGGAAATGCCAAATTATTTCTTTGAGCCACATATAAGGTACAGATAGAGAAAGTGAAGCTGAAAAAGTAACTGTTCAATTTTCAAGCAGGACTTAGAGGAGTATAAAAAATCCAGGACATATGGGGTTCAAAGCTAAAACTGGTTCTCATAACTAGTCTTTCCAGACAGCAAAACACCACAAAGAAAGACATGGTCACAGGGTAGAGAACAAGAGTTGTAAAACTGTTGTTAAGATTTCAGATTTAAGAAGGATATTACTCATAGTCTGCTTCAACCATAAAACAGAGGCTTCTGAGAAAGTTAAGGGTATTTTTCCATAGAACCCTCATTCTAACACCAAGCCAGAGAAAAGACGATCTCAAAAAGAGTTCTTTGTGTGTCTTCTTTCTAACAGAACCAACTTCAGTAAGATTTATTACAAACACATAATGTTTATAAGATATCTGTTTATTATTTTTACTATTCCATCACAAACACTGTCTCCTTAGACAAACATTGACAGAGATAGTCCAAAATGGAAAGAAGTTTCTGGACCTCAGGCATCATATGGACAGAAGAGCAGAATAAAGAAGACACTCAACTGCCTGTGCAGGCTGTTTCTTGTGGAAAATGAATGGATGACTCAGAGGGTGGAGTCAAGAGCCACTGTGAATGACATGGGAAGCAGGACTGGTCTCTATTCCTAAGACTGGCAACAACTTTCCAACCAAATTTCAGAATTGCTATGGACCAGTAATTACAATGCACGTTCTGATTTTTATCCTCTTAGTAGAAATGTCTATTGAAGGCATTCTCTCCCCTATTGTAGGTTTGATGTGTGTAGAGTGAATGACTTGTGTCTTTAGTTCATAGTTCCTCAAATTGTTAGAAATTCTACTTGGAATCCTCCTCACCCACCCAGCCAGGAGGACCACCCACATGTGGATCTGGTCGGGCTAGTGAGACCCTATGGTTTGAACTGATATTGTAATAGGATGAGTTGAGACGATGGAGAAACTTAAGGGTATTTTTCCATAGCACCCTCATTCTAAGGCCAAGCCAGGGAGAGGACTATCTCAAAAAGAGTTCTTTCTGTGTCTTCTTTCTAAGAGAATCAACTTCAATAAAATTTACTACAAACAGATAATGTTTATAAAATATGTATTTATTATTTTTACTATTTCATCATAAACACTCCTTGGGGGAGTAGTAAGCCCAAGTGTGGGTTCCCCATAAGTGCATGTGGGATACATGTGAACTGTAGATTATATTTTCTAAATATAACCCCAGAAATATCTCCCATCCCACATAATCCTCTGCTATATGACCTTATCAGTCCTCTGTCAAGAAGTGAAATTCATTCTTCACTCCACTGAATCTGCGCTAGCTCTGTAACTGTTTTGGCTGATATAATTCAGTGGAAATCATGTCTCGCCAGTTCTAGCCATGTCCATTAATTGGCCCAGGACCTTCACCTTTCTTCCTCATGGAATGTTCACCCTTGAGACACCTTCTTTCTAAACCCAGGACCTTCACCTTTCTTCCTCATGGAATGTTCACTCTTGAGACACCCTCTTTCTAAACCCAGACACCATGCTGCAAGACGCCCAAGCCACAAGGAAAGGCCATGCACAGGGTCTCTGTTTGATGGCTCCATCTGAGATCCACAGTAACCAACATCAAACGCCAGTCATGTGAATGAGCTATCTTGGATACCAGCCCATTTTAAGCCTTCAGAGGGCTCCTTATGCAACCCCTGACTTGCTGCAACCACTTGAAAGAATCCAAGTGAAGGCTGTCCACCTGAGCCCAGTGAGCTTATGAAATCATGAGGAAAATAATTGTTGTTAAAGCCAGTATGCTTTGGAACAATCAGTCACAAAGCAATAGATAACCAAACACTCTTTTCCTTTGCATCACAGTGATGTTTACTGGGTTAATGGATGCAAAATGCCTTGCTCAATACTGTACTTGATACAGAGAAAACAATTAATAAATGTCCTTTCTTTTCTATTCAGTTCTAAGTTGAAATACAACAGTGTGGCATTGGAAGAACCCGAAATTATTCAAATTTCTCTTTTAGTACCTACTTTCTGCTTGTGGTCAAGTGACAATTCTGCCATTTCAGAAATAAAACATTGGAATAGAGTTCTCTGACTTCTTTTCAACATGTAATGACACATGATTCTGATTCAGCTGTGTAGTCAATATCACCTTTGATAGGTTACTTAATAAAGTTTTCAAATATGCCCTCTGAGGCACATTTAGGATTATGGAAAATGTCATATTCAAGGACAAATAAACACTGAAACAAAAAAATTACTTTGTAAAACAAAAGAAATTCATAGTTGTGTGATATATTGAAGATTGCAGTGTTTTTTATTATAAATAGGATTTGTTTATGGTAAGAAAAGTTTCGCTTAATCCTGTATGACAATTCAGCACAACTTAGAAATGGGACCTTCTGTCTCTATGTGGACCATTCCATCTGCCCATCAGTAGCAGCTCTACATTTTCAAGTGCTTATCACCCTAAGATCAGAACACTGAATTCCTAAGTCTACTATACATAAAATTCTCAGCATTGCAAAATTCAAGTTCTGAAAAACAATAGAACAAAGGATATAGGAATCCTTTCATTTGGTAGTTCTTCCTTGATTAATCTCAGACAAAGCGACTCTTATTACCTGTACATCTACTTGCTAAAGGACCTGCATTAGCTTATTTGGATCAAGTTCTATGTGTGAGGGGTTGCTGTGCTGGACCTCCATTGCCTTCAGTGGGGATAGCACCATGTTCCAGAGACTGATGAAGAGAGCCAGAGCCAGTGAATGAGACATAGGGTTTATTGAGATGACTTTCATACTTCCCATAAGAACCACCACCTAGCAATCGTCATTTAACCCAGTACAAAAGGCCTTGATCTCCTGTATGGCCCAGGTTCCATGGGATGGGCCAGGGGCTCAGATGTGCCTTGTAGACACTGAATGAATCTCCAAGTTGGCCACTTCAGATTCCTTAGCTCAGAACTCTGAGCACACATTCTTTTTAGGCCATAGGGTCATTCTCACGGCCATGCTCTTCAGTTAAGCTATTAATGTCAGGTGCATCTGCCATACAAAGGCTTTCCAACACTCCCCCAAGCTAAATTAGTGTCTCCTCACTTTACAAGAAATGGTGTCTGAAGTCCCTACGTTACTTTAACCTGTGGGTGAAAAGACAGAAGTTTTCTGTTTACTGTTGACAAGCCCAAGTGCAGATTGCACACAGATGTAGGACTCGATGTTTGGACGACCTGAGCCACAGGGGGGCAGCAGCGCGCCGTGTTCCTGAGCCCAGCAGCCTGGCAGGGCCGATCCTAGAATCTTCATAGTCATGCTAAGGGCCAGTCACTGAATCTTCATCCCCACGCTTCTGAGGTCCTCCGGGCTTCTGGACAGCATCAGGCTGAAGGAATTACTTGTTTGATCCCGTCTGCAAATCCAGGATTCCTTGTTTCTATCTCCTTTCAGTCCATTTGCCAAGGGGCTTATCCAGTTTTATTTGTTCATCAGCTCATTCATTCATTCATCATGTACTTTCTTGTAGGTTCTGGCACTGTTATGGGCATTGGGTCTACAAAACACATTTGACTGGGTCTTTTCTCTTGAGTCCCTGTGAGTCTAGTGGCAGAGGAAGATGACTTAGCGGAAAAGACACATGCAGAGGCCCAAGACCCAGCTGTGTCCAACCTTGACTCTCACCACTCACTCAGCAGAATGACCTTTAAATGCTTGAAACTCCTGAACAGCCCTGGCTCCTCACACTTCCTGCCATCCCACCTGCGTTCACTCTGATCAAAGGCAATAACAATGGCTGCTATAAGATTTCTGAAGGCTTTATGCCGTAGGAGTGTTGGAGCCCTTACCACACTCTTCAACTCAAGGTCGGAGCTCAGTGTCTGCCTTTAATCTGCAGCCATTTATTGTATGTTGGACACAGGCTGAGATAATACAGCAGAGACCAAGCCAGCCAGAGGCCCTTCCCAGAGAGTAATTATATTCTAGGTGAAGGGAGGACAATAAGTGAGTGCAAGTAAGTGTGTAAATTGTTGGACAGTGCTATGTGCTATGGACAGACAGTAAAGCCAAGCCAGGCAGAAGACAAGGAAAATCACTATTGTTATTATCACTGTAATTAAAATTATAGAAGGTTATTCACATAATCAATTATAATCAACAGAATGGGTATAGCAATACATGTGGACTTCCCTGTTACCCTAAAATCACAAAGTAGATGTAGAATTGTTCCCAAACAGGACAGTATGCAGGTAGATGGGTGATGAAGACAGAGACTGAGCTCAACCTTGAAACAAGGGAGTAGGAATTTGCTATCTAGAAAATGAAGTCGGGTTGGAGGTGTGGGATCTGAAGGGGGAGCATCTCAAGGAGGTGGCAGGGAGCTGCGTGGAAGCTGCGTGTGTCTGTGGGGCTGTGAGCAGAGGCTGCGATCTGGTGAGGAGTGGCTGAAACCCTGCCCTGGGAGAACCAGCAGTTGTTCTCACATTCACTGGACTGACATGTCCTCAGGCCCCACGCTGGGTGCACTATGCACATTAGCTCATTAAATGTGCTTCCTGACTTTACCAAGTGGGTACTGTTATCCTCATTTTCAGGCAAGTTTGATCTCTCATCTAAACATACTAAACATAAAAGTTAGCATCGATACAAAATGCCTCCTTAATAGGAAAACATATTTTTGTGCTTCGGTGTGTTTTCAGGTTCACCCAGTCTGTCCAGGTAATGGCCCTCCAAGTGGCCAGACTGATATTCCCAGGCGTTTTGTTAAGGGCTCCTTGCTGTCCCACAATGTCTGCCTTAGATAAGGCCAGGGCACATTTTTAATAATACCCCTAGGCCTCTTTGGTGCCACTTCAGACTTGCATGTGATGTCCCCTGACTCACTTCCACCCTGCACCTGCTCTTCAAAGCAGCCTCTGATGCACTGACTGCAAAGAGAATTTTAAGCGGGGAGCACAGTTGGTCTGCTGTGCTGGGCACAGGGAGGACACGTTCATGGGAGAAACAAGAAGAAAGGTGAATGGAGAAGGGCACCCTGCAGCTGGATGGAAAACAGGATATGGCATGAGAGAAATTGCATCGGTCTATTGATTTATTGATTCATGTATTTTCTTACACATTTGTGTGTTCATGTATCCAGTGTTCTTTGCTGCAGCCCCCATGGACACTGAAACAAAGGAATACAGTGTCTTTAAGAGTTCAAAGTTTACCAGAAAAACAGATGAGTAAATAGAAAATTATAAAGTCCGCTTGATAACATTTCTGCAAAATTTAACATTTATGTAAAATTTAATTATGTAAGCTTGGGAAACTTATTTAGCATCTTCATGTGTCAGTTTGCTTAACTGAAGAATTAGAAAAATAATAGTGGCCATCTGTATTAGTCCGTTATCATGCTGCTGATAAAGACATACTCAAGACTGGGAAGAAAAAGAGTTTGAATTAGACTTACAGTTCCACACGGCTGGGGACCCCTCAGAATCGTGGTAGGAGGTGAAAGGCACTTCTTACATGGTGTCGGGAAGAGAAAAATGAGGAAGAAGCAAAAGCTGAACCCTCTGATAAACCCATTAGATCTCGTGAAACTTATTCACTATCATAAGAATAGCATGGGAAAGGCTGGCCCCCATGATTCAATTACCTCCCTCTGAGTTCCTCCCACAATAAGGGGGAATTCTGGGAGATACAATTCAAGTTGAGTTTTGGGTGGGGACACAGCCAAACCATATCACTATCTCAAAGGTTTGTTTTGAATATTAAACAAGATAATGTTAATGAAGCATTGGGCTGACTTTGATATAGGAAATGCTCAAGGAATATTAGCTACAATAATTGTGTTAACATTGTTTTATTGTTTTTTGACATACACACATATATGGCAGAATTATAGAAAAAATAAAACATAGCAATTTTATAGTGACTATTTCCTCTGAGGTTAAAGGAAGGGAAATGGTGTGAGGAAGGGTACAAAGGAAAGGACACCTGTAGTATTTATTTTTTTTAGTGAAAATCTCTGAAGCAAATGAGATAGCATCTTAAAATTCATTCATCTGACAGGAGTGCAAGGGTATTAATTGTAGTATTAGATATTTACTCTCTTGTGTGTTTAACTGTTTTCCAAAATTAGTTTTTAGAAAAGAACTCACAAAACAATGAAAATAGAATGATGTAAGTGAAGTGATACATAACAATATCAGCTTGGATTAAAGCAGGGTTTGAAGATGTGGAGCTGGGATCAGGCAGAGAAATGGCATAGAAGTCCTCCTAGATATGTTCAGAAATACAAAATATTGGATCTGGAAGAGGAATGGAAAATCACAGTTTTAACACCTAGTCCATACAAAGTACTACACTAGATATTTTTTGTTTGAACTTACTTTAATGAGAAATATAGCAAATGTGCAGAAATGTGCATAGCATAAATGTATGCATCACCAATTCTGGTTGTGTAAACTTCATAGCTAACCAGTGGTTATCAACTAGTGGGGGAATTTGCACCCTAAGTGACATTTGTCAGTCTAGATACATTTTTGTTTTCACAACTGCATGAGAGAGTATTTCTGGTACCCAGTTAGAGGAGGCCATGAATGCTGGTCAACATCCTAGCTGCAGAAGACAGATCTCACAACCAAGAATTATCCAGGCCAAAGAGTCAACAGTGCTGAAGGTGAGAAGCCCTGATGTAAGCATCACCCCATCAAGAAGTGGGATCTTCTGAACTTTGTAACAGCCCACGTTCCTCTTTCCAATCAAAACCTTTTCTTAGTACCCTCCTCAACCCTGTCCTAACCTAACTTTTATGATAATCACATTTTTTTTTTTTGAGACTGAGTCTCGTTCTGTCACCAAACTGGAGTGCAGTGGCACGATCTTGGCTCACTGCAATTTCCGCCTCCCGGTTTCAAGCGATTCCTCTGCCTCAGCCTCCCAGATAGCTGGGATTACAGTACAGGCATGCAGCACCACACCCAGCTTATTTTTGTATTTTTAGTAGAGACAGGGTTTCCATGTTGGCCAGAATGGTCTTGATCTCTTGACGTTGTGATCTTCCCACCTCGGCCTCCCAAAGTGCTGGGATTACAGGCGTGAGCCACCACGCCCAGCTGATTAATCACATTCTTACTTTAATATTTTTCAGCTTGAGTATGTATCCCTAGATGCCTGAATTTAACCCAGGCTCTTCCATTAACATGCTGTATCATCTTGGAAAAATCCCTTCAGCTCTCTGTGTCTCATTGGCTTCATCTGTATAGTGGGGTGCTAGCAGTGCTCACTTCACAGCATGCCAGATCTCGTGACTTGGTATGTGTAAAAAGCAGCCGGAACAGAGCCAGGCACATAGGAGGTGCCCCCTGTGCATTCAACGTGAGGGTCATGTCAGGGCTATTTTATCAACAACAGAGGACTTTGAATTCTCTCTGGGCAGCTGGTCAAGGTGTACAATTTCAGTACTGAAAGAATTGAGTTTCTACACTTTCAGCAATCTGAGTTGGCAACTTCATGTGGCATTAGGAGACCCTGTCTCCATAGTTGTCACTGTGCAGTGCTGGCTATGGCTTTTATTCTCAGACCTGGCACCTCTTTCCTGCTTGTCCCCCAGTGGGTAGCTTGGCCTCTCTGATCAGCATTGTTTCTCTCTCCTATGGGATGACAAATGGGGGTGTTTTGATTCATAAGGATTTGGGGCAGGAAGAGAGTAGATAACAAGTTGGGTTCAACTGAAAAAGACTCCTCATTGTGCAAATGGTATCGACCCCTTGACACTTTCTCTGTTGCATTATCCAATTTCCTCTTGGTCTGCAGCAGCATGAATTTTTCTTATTTAACTCTCTCTCAGAGGCTGCAAAGACACAGGAGCATAGTAGGTCCTTGACACTAGAATTCCTTTTCCCTTTTCTGGTGTTTCTACTCCTCCCTTTTTCTGCCACTGGCAAGATTGCAAGGGATTTCTCTCAACTCTTCTAGGCCATCAACTTCACACAAATGAAAAACCTTTGTTAAAAGGAAATGAGGGTGACTGGTGTTACATTATACGACATGACACCCCACAGTGAAGCTCAATGTGAATGCATTATGCATCCAGCCTTTTCTCACCCTGGGGCGCTCAGTTCTCCTCTGCCCCCACCTCCCACACCTCTCATCCAACTAATGCCCATTCACTGTTTCAGATATAGATTCTACTGTAACCTCTTGAGGACTAAAACACACAGATTGTAAGGTATATCACCACAGCACTCATTCTCCCAGCTTTAGAAAGCGTCATCTACCCACAGCACACAACTGAGTCCTCTTGGCATAGGGGAGCTGCTTCTCCCAATATGATATTCGTTTTCCAGAGGCAACCCATGGCCAAGGAAAGATTGTTGTGTATGTACAAAAGCCCTTTGTCTTCAATTTTGTACAACTCCAAAGGATCACTCCCACTGCAGAATGCCAATGGCATCAACCTTGGTTTTTGCAGCCACCACCTCACAAGTCCATTCTTGCTTTCCTCCTTCCAAGTCCGTATTATAGAAAACATTTCTAAGTACATTTTCTTCATGAAAACACAGCTACTTAGGGAATTTGCAGAAGTGGTCGAAGAAAGCAGACTGGAAAATGAAACTTTGGAGTTGAATCATCTTATGGGGCTGGCACTGCAGATCCCGTCGCAGGTGATAGGGGAAGCATGGGAGCCCGAGGGATTCAGTACACTTCTGACAGCATCCATCCATAGTGAGCTGAGGCAGGGAAATACAGTACTGAATGGGAATGTACTAGCAGGTGCAATACCTCAGGCTTCAGAGAGATTTAGGAGATGTGGTGATTATAAGAGTGATGGAATTGAATAATTAAATGTCTATAGCTCAAGGCAAAAGACAATAAAAGACTGAGAGTGATTAACCACTAATTGAAAGTTAAGTTTGAAAGTCAGAAGTCCTCCTTGGAAACATATACAGATAATTTCATACACAGGTTGGATATCCCTTATCCAAAATAAGACCAGGAGTGTTTCAGGTTTTGGATTTTTTTTTTCAGATTTTGGAATATTTGCATATACGTGATGAGATCTCTTGGGGATAGGGACAAAGTCTAAACTCAAAATGTATTTATATTTCATAGCTAACTTATACACATAGCCTGAAGGTAATTTATACAGGATTTTTAATAAATATGTGCATAAAACAAAGTTTGTGTGTACTGAACCATCAAAATGCAAAACTGTCACTATCTCAGCCACCCATGTGGTATCATGTCAGTGCTCTAAAATTTTGGGGTTTTAGAGCATTTTAGATTTAGGATTTTCTCACTGGGGATAATAAACTGTACTCCAAGGCAAAGAGAAAAAAAGGTGAGGATGCCTAGGACAGTATTTTAAGGGTAATTGCCCTTCAAAGGCAGTTTAAATCTCAATTTCAGCAAGTCCACTAGGTCAAAGTGAGGGTCCTAATTGGAAGAAGGACTCTGAAATTGAGGGTGCTGACACTTAGATAAACACGTTGAAACATTTAACACATAGATTTCAATGAACACTCTTGTAGACACGGCCCACCCCTTCCTTTCTGTGGAACAGCTAGTTCTCCCTTCTTGATTGACAGCAATGCAAAAGCCTTATCTTGATGACAGTATGGGCCTCCCTCAGGATGTAGCTGAACCTCTCTTTCTGGAGGTTCAAAAGCAATGGTGGAGTCATAGCATAGCTCATCTGAGAAATTGCTGGGCCTCTTGAGGGGAAAGGAGACTAAACTTCAGAGGAGTCACAAGACAGATCCAACATGTGCTGACAGGAACTGGGAGAGTACATATGAGACTTCACCCTGAGGCTGCTGGACTGAGGTGGGGAAGAAGATAAGGTTTGATAGGGGAGGATCTGGCTATATAAAGACATTCTCTGCGGTACAGAATTCTCAGACTGCAAGGGCCCTGGGAAAGAGGATGAACAGATGTCAAAACTGCCACAGGAGAGATCACTGTTGAAACTCCAGCCTGGTACCATCCTCTGAGGACACCAACTAGCCTCTTGGTTACAAGTTGATGCCACTGACACTCTTCCACTTTGCAAGAGTGTGCTGGCTGTAGTCTCTGGGAAGCAAATGCTCAGACAGATTTGAGAGTGTCACAGGGTTTTGTGTGTTTTTGTGTGTGTGTGCGTGTGCATGTGTATGTGTGGAATAACTGAAGGAAAAGGAGAAGGAGCAGGGTTGGGCAGAGAGAGTCATCAAACTTTGATGCAGGACCAGGTGCTGAGAGTGCTGGCTGTTGACACTTACAGCTGAATCTTTCCCTGGGGATTGCCCTCAGCTGAACGTGCTGTCTTAGTCAGCTATATAGTCCTTAGAGACTGCTTATACAATATTAAATGATTGATCAGTCCATGCAACAGAATAAACCCCAGAATCTTCTTTTCTTCTTGCGACAACTTTGAAGTTTGATCCCATTTCCAGAGCTTCTTGGTGGGATGTGCTGAGGTCTGTGACCGGGTTTCAGTTCAAACTTCCCTTTTGCTGGATCCTGTTTTCTTCATTCCTTTGCAGGTGTTGATCCTGAAAACACTTCCCAGTTTACCACCTGCTCACTACTCTCCGTCTCAGAGAACTCCGACTGTATTAGTGCATTTTCACACTGCTGATAAAGACATACCTTAGACTGGGAAGAAAAAGAGGTTTAATGGGACTCACAGTTCCACATGGCTGGGGAGGCCTCACAATCATGGCAGAAGGCAAGGAGGAGCAAGTCACTTCTTACATGGGTAGTGGCAGGCAAAAAAAAAAGAGAGCTGGTGCAGGGCAACTCCCGTTTCTAAAACTATCAGATCTTGTGAGACCCATTCACTATCGCAAGAACATCACAGGAAAGACTCAGCCCCATAATTCAATGATCTTCCACCAGGTCCCTCCCACAACAAGTGGGAATTATGGGAGCTACAAGATGAGATTTGAGTGATGAGATTTGAGTGTGGACACAGAGCCAAGCCATATTTTTCCACCCTGGGCCCCTCCCAAATCTCATGTCTTCCCATTGCAAAACCAATCATGTCTTCCCAACACTGCCCAAAAGTCTCAAATTATTTCAGCATTAACTCAGAAGTCCACAGTCTAAAGTCTCATTTAAGACAGGGCAAGTCCTTCCATTTGTGAGCCCATAAAATCAAAAGCAAGTTAGTTAGTTACTTCCTATATACAATGGGAGTACAGGCATTGGGTAAATACAGCCATTCCAAGTGGGATAAACTGGTCAAATCAAAGGGGCTACTGGCCCCATGGAAGTCTGAAATCCAGCAGGGCAGTCAAATCTTAAAGCTCCAAAATGATCTCCTTTGACTCCATGTCTCACATCCAGGTCACACTGATACAAGAGGTAGGTTACTATAGTCTTGGGCAGCTTCGACCCTGTGGCTTTTCAGGGTACAGCCTTCCTCGCAGCTGCCTTCACAGTCTGGCATTGAGTGTCTGTGCACAGTGCAAGCTGTCAGTGGGTGTATCATTCTGGGATCTGGAGGATGGTGGAGCTCCCACCCCACATTTCCTTTCTGCATTGCCCTAGCAGAGGTTCTCCATGAGGACCCCAACCCTACAGCAAACTTCTGCTTGGGCATCCAGGCATTTCCATACATCTTCTGAAATCTAGGCAGAGGTTCCCAAATCTCAATACTTCTGTGCACTCACAGGCTCAACACCACATGGAAACTGCCAAGGCTAGAGGCTTGTACTCTCTGAAGCCACGGCCCAAGCTCTATGTTGGCCCCTTGCAGCCACAGCTGGAGTGGCTGGGACGCAGGGCACCACATCCGTAGGCTGCACACAGCATGGACACCCTGGGCCCAGCCCACGAAACCAGTTTTTCCTCCTAAGCCTCTGGGCCTGTGATGGGAGGGGCTGCTGCAAAGGTCTCTGACATGCCCTGGAGTCATTTTCCTCATTGTCTTGGTGATTAACATTCAGCTCCTCATTACTTATGCAAATTTCTGCAGCCAGCTTGTGTTTCTCCTGAGAAAATGGGATTTTCTTTTCTATGGCATTGTCAGGCTGTACATTTTCTAAACTTTTATACTCCGCTTCCCTTATAAAACTGAATGCCTGTAACAGCATCCAAGTCATACTGTGAAGGCTTTGCTGCTTAGAAATTTCTTCTACCAGATACTCTAAATCATCTCTCTTTACTTCAAAGTTTCACAGATTTCTACTGCAGGGGTAAAATGCCACCAGTCTCTGCTAAAACATAACAACAGTCACTTTGCCCCAGTTCCTAAAAATTTCCTCATTTCACTCTGAGACCACCTCAGCTGGGACTTTATTGTTTACATCTCTATCAGCACTTTGAGCAAAGCCATTCAACAAGTCTCTAGGAAGTTCCAAACTTTCCCACATTTTCCTGTTTTCTTCTGAGCTCTCCAAACTGTTGCAACCCCTTCATGTTACCCAGTTCCAAAGTCTCTTCTATATTTTCAGGTATCTACAGCAGTGCCCCACTCCCAGTACCAACTTACTGTATTAGCCTGTTTTCATGTTGCTGATAAAGACATAACCTAGACTGGGAAGAAAAAGAGGGTTAATGGACTTATAATTCCACACGGCTGGGAGGCCTCACAATCATGGCAGAAGGCAAGGAGGAGTAAGTCACATCTTACATGGATGGCAGCAGGCACAAAAAAAGTTTGTGCAGGGCAACTCCCACTTTAAAACCATCAGATCTTGTGAGCCCCATTCACTATCAGGAGAACAAGACCCACCCCCATAATTCAGTCATTGTCCACTAGGTCCCTCCCACAATGCGTGGGAATTATGGGAGCTACAAGATGAGATTTGGGTGTGGACACAGAGCCAAAGCATGTCACTGACCTAGAAGTTTGGTTAAGCTTACGGAATCTAGACCCAGCCTGTGTGAGTCCACATTTGGCTCTGCCATCTACTATCTACCAGACTTTGAGCAAGCTATGTAACTCTGGATGTCTCATTTTCCTCATCTACTAAATGGAGATAATAACACTGACTTCACCAGATTATTAGGAAAATTAAGTGAGATATAAGTTAGAAGATAGAACAGTGTTTGCCACACACTAAGCAAGATGCAACTGTCCTCTGTTGTTCTTGTTCTTCTTTTTATTATCATGGCTGTAGAGTATATTTGTTAAGAATGAAACTTAGCAGTCAGACTGGTTCTGTCTGCTACTTATGAGCTTCAAGAACTTGGCCCTACCTAGCCACACTGTGTCATAATTTCCTCCAACATAAAATGGTAATAATTACAGTTCTCATAGGGTAGAGGGGTTATGGTGACAATTCATCAAGGAGGCTTGTTTGTTTTTAGTAAAATAAATTACGTGACTAATTGCCTAACTCACATTAAGTTCTCAATGAATGCTGGCTATGACTAGAAAAATGGTAAAAAATAATATACATTGAGCAGTTACTAAATGCCAGACAGCGGGTATCTCATTTAATTTTTATAACATCCTTATTTGAAATAAATTTGCATCCCAGAGTCTCTAATGTATATACATGAGACTAAAGCCCAGACAGCTTAAGGCTGCAGTTACATTATTGTTGCTATATTATCCTGCTTCAAGAAAGTCTTCTTTGAAAGGTACCCCACTTTCCCTTCTACCCACTCTCACTTCACATACTGGGTTAGTTTTTCCCTATCTTCCTGCTGCTTTCATAAATCCTTAGATAGCCCACATCATGAAGCTTCTCTCTCTTCATTTTCATGAGGACTTTATCCTGTTGTCTCTTCAAAGGCAGGTGTTCTTTCATATTTACCCTTGGATCCCCAGTTCTGGGCCTAGAACCTGGTATAAAGTAAATATTCTATAATTTGTGTTGATTCACTATAAATTCAATGGAACTGCATTTTTGCACCCAGATGTAAACCTAATTTTTGCTTTGTGCATTTTTGGGTTTGCTTTAGAGCATTGTGTTGAGCTGTCTCCCTTGTGAGAGGGTCATACATGGTGGCACCCTTCCATTATTAAGATTTGCTATGTGGGGGCCAGGCGTGATGGCTCACGCCTGTAATCATAGCATTTTGGGAGGCTGACGCGGGTGAATCACTTGAGGTCAGGAGTTTGAGACCAGCCTGGCCAACATGGGGAAGCCCCATATCTACTAAAAATACAAAAATTAGCCAGGCATGTTGGTGGGCACCTATAATCCCAGCTACTTGGGAGGCTGAGGCAGGAGAATCGGTTGAACCCAGGAGGCGGAGGTTGCGGTGAGCCGAGAATGTACCACTGCACTGCAGCCTAGGCAGTAGAGTGAGGCTCAATCTCAAGAAACAAGAAAAAAAAAAGATTTGCCACATGCATTTTGAGAGACTTGTGTCACTGTCAAGTCCCTCCTGGAATAAACCACTATCACAGAAGCTTATCCTTTGAACTCTCGGAAGATAGACTTTCCTCAGTGTACCATCCAGAGGGTTTCCATAGTGGTTACTGACACTTAAAATGTGCCAGAATGTCCCCCTCCAACATCTGACTTTCTCCCTCCCTACATGTCATTCATGTGACATGAAGCAGGTGGAATGAGCCTCAGGTCATCTTACCAAATGTTTTACAGCTGGCAGAAGCAGGTGCATCTATTAAGTAAATTACTCAAGCTGCATAGAGGCTGGCACTTAATCTCTCTGAAACCCCAAAGACAGGCCTGCTTTCATCAGCTCTACCATCCGTGTGGAACCCCTGAGCTCAATGAACGAGCTTGTGTCCAGGGGTGTGGCACGTGGCTGGTATTTTGTAAATATCCATAAATATCAGGTGTATATATAGAGAACCAGTGGGTGTCCAAATATATGATTTCACCCAGCCAGAATCAGTAAAGATGCTTATGTAACACACACAAAGCACAGACACATGAGTGACACCAGACACCACTGGATTAACTGCTAAGGCTATTGATAGACACATCAGTGATAATATATTACACAATTAAAATTTTTATTTTCTATTTACTAATTTTTAGCTCCTTTAGGATACATTCTATATATAATTAAATGATTGTACTTTAAATGAGAAGGATAACAACATGAGATATAACATCACTTTCTTGTATTCACAAGATTGAGATTGTAAGGTAAATGTTTCTCTTATAACCTGTTGGAGATGTAAAGTGACTTGATAATACCTAGTTTTGAATATATTTAATGTTTTATTCTAAAATTTTACATCTAGGAATATAATATACCCACATTATTTATAATATCAGACACTAAGGACCCTCCAAGCCAAATGGTTTATTATAACAATTTATTATTGCTTACATGTCCATGGATAGTATAAGCAGTTTGTCCAATGTTGTCTGGTGTGACTCGTGTGTGTGCTTTGTGTGGGTTAAATATGCACCTTTGCTAATTCTGGCTGGGTGGGATCATATACTTGTACACCTGCTGACTATAAGCTAGTCTATGATAATTTTGATTATTCCTGTCACCTTCCACAGGCCCCCTGCATGCTACCCTAGGCTTGTTCTCAATCAGTGTTTTGGGTCCACAAGACAGGAAGCGTGAGAGGAAGTAGACATGCACAATCACGTTTTCAAGTTTGCTGTAAGTCATGAGACCAAGTCCAAAGTCAGTGCAGTAGGTGCTATCAAAGGGCACGAGCACAAAGAGGTATGAGCACTTAACGATGTTTTTGAAACCATATGGTTTTTCATATAAATGCATCATGTCCCAAAAACTTTGTACACACCGATTACTTAAAGTTTGTTGAAACTTGCTTTGTTTAGAATGTGGTAAGATTTTGTTTTGTTTTGTTTTAAATTTCATATGTACCTGAGAATAATTTTTTTAAATCTCAAATGGTTAGGTCAGGGTTCTGTGATTAGCCTTTGTTAGTGTATGATTCAAATTTTATCAATCTTCATTAACTTATTTGTTTGCTTGACACAGTAAATAATTGAGAGATATCATCTCATGCCAATCAGAATGGCAATTATTACAAAGTCAAGAAACAACAGATGCTGGTGAGGTTGCAGAGAAATAGGAACACTTTTACACTGTTGGTAGGAACGTAAATTAATTCAAACATTGTGGAAGACGGTGTAGCGATTCCTCAAAGATCTTGAAACAGAAATACCATTTGACCCAGCAATCCCGTTACTGGATATATACTCAAAGAAATATAAGTCATTCTATTACAAAGATACATGCACATGTATGTGCATGTATGTTCATTGCAGCAGTAGTCACAATAGAAAAAAAATCGAATCAACCCAAAGGTCTATCAAGGATAGACTGGATAAAGAAAATGTGGGACATATACACCATGAAATTCTGTGTAGCCAAGATAAGGAATGAGATGATGTCCTTTGCAAAGACATGGATGAAGCTGGAAGCCATTATCCTCAGCAAACCAACGCAGGAACAGAAAACCAATCACTACATGTTCTTACTTATAAGTGGGAGCTGAGCAATGAGAACACCTGGACACAGGGAGGGGAACAGCACACACTGGGGCCTGTCAGGGTGTGGGGTGGGGTGAGAGAGCATTAGGAAAAATAGCTAATGCATGCTGGGCTTAATACCTAGGTGATGGGTTGATAGGTGCAGCAAACCACCATGGCATACCTTTACCTATATAACAAACCCATATATCCTGCGGGTTTTTTTTTTTTTTTTTTTTTTTTGATGGAGTCTCACTCTGTCGCCCAGGCTGGAGTGCAGTGGCGCGATCTCAGCTCACTGCAACCTCTACCTCCCAGGTTCTGGTGATTCTACTGCCACAGCCTCCCAAGTAGCTGGGACTACAGGCGCATGCCACCACACCCAGCTAATTTTTGTATTTTTTAGTAGAGACGGGGTTTCACCATGTTAGCCAGGATGGTCTCGAACTCCTGACCTCGTGATCCACCTGCCTCAGCCTCCCAAAGTGCTGGGATTACAGGCATGAGCCACTGTGCCCAGCCTCTGTGGGTTTTTAAATAAAATTAAAAAAAGAAAGATATGTTAAAATTTCCCACAATGATGGAGATTTCTTAATTTTGTCAATTTCTATTCTCTATATACTTTGAAGCTATTTTCATAGAAGCTTTAGGTATGAAAGTATTTAACCATCTGTATTTAACCATCTGTAAAGTATGGAAAGTATTTAACCATCTGTAAACAGTTCTTTTGCTCTTAAAGACTAATTTACATGACATTTAAAAGCTAAGCCAGCCACATTTTGGTTATTATTTTTCTGGTATATCTTTTTCCATATTTCTATTATTTTTTATTATTTTTGAGACAGAGTCTGGCTGTGTCACCCAGGCTGGAGTGCAGTGGCACAATCTCGGCTCACTACAACCTCTGCCTTCTGGGTTTGAGCAATTCTCCTGCCTCAGGCTGCCGAGTAGCTGGGACTACAGGTGTGTGCCACCATGCCTGGCTAATTTTTGTATTTTTTAGTAGAGACAGGGTTTTGCCATGTTGGCCAGGCTCGTCTCAAACTCCTGACCTCAGGTGATCCACCCACCTTGGCCTCCCAAAGTGCTGGGGTTATAGGCACGAGCCACCAATGCCTGGCCACCTTTTTCCATATTTTTAATTTCAATATGTCTGTGTTAGATCTCTTACAAAAAGAACATAGCTGTCGTTTAAAAATCTCATTTTAATGTATTTTAAATAAATAGTTTGGTCTATTTATATTACTTAGAATATTGGACTTATTTTAGGAATTTTTAATTTATTATAATCTTCCACTTTTTGTTAAGCTTCATTGTCCCCTACCTTTACTTTCCTTCTTTTGAACTAATTACTTTTACTCTATTTTTTTAAATTTTGTTTATCTCACTTTATTCTACTGGACTTTATTTTATACTCTTCATTTATATTCTTTCAATTGTTGCCATTGGATTTTTACACTGGGTAATTTATCTTGCTTACTCACTCTTCCTAACAAGATAGGATTTTATTACTCTTATGATTTACAAATGATTGTTTTCAAAGTTTTTGTTTTGACTTATTTTATAAACCACAGATTTGACAATATTATGATTATTATTATGATTATTTTCTTCAGGCACTGTCTGTTTGTATTTACTCATGTTTATACACTTTTCGGATTGTTTATCCTTATTGTTTTAAGATCTTCCTTCTGTAGTTGTTTTATTTTTCCAAAAGAAATGCTCTATTATAAAATCGAAATAAACAAATAAATCTGAAATAAATACTCTACTATTTCCTGAAATAAATAACTCTATTAAGGTTATACATTCTGATTTTTGTTTGTGTATTTGAAAGCGTGTTTATTCTTGAGACTGAGTTTTGTGAATACCCAATTCTTCACTGGTAGTTATTTTATCTTAGTTCTTTGACAATATTGTTTCATGATTTTTTTTGTTTTTGTTTTTGGGACATTACTCTTGTCTAATTATCATCCTTTAATAAATGGTACGACTTTTCTCTCTGGCTGCTTGTAAGGTTGTCATTATGTTTTTGGTATTCAGCTATTTCAAGACAATGTGTCCGGGGTTGAATTTCTTTTTATTTATCCTGCTTTGCATGCCTGTGTTTCTTATATTTGTGATTCATGTTTCTCACAGGATTTAACAATTATCAGAAATT
Source organism: Homo sapiens (assembly GCF_000001405.40). Classification (NCBI taxonomy): domain Eukaryota; kingdom Metazoa; phylum Chordata; class Mammalia; order Primates; family Hominidae; genus Homo; species Homo sapiens. Next base: position 137,875,808 of record NC_000008.11, on the reverse strand, counting down.
ATAACTTTAAATAATACACATTTTCTGTTCTCCCTGCTTCTAGCATGCAAATAGATATAAACTTAGATACTCATATTCTCCTCTCAACATCCTTAAATCTGTTTATATTTCCCATCTCCTCAAATCAATAAGCATTCTGAGCTCTTCTTCAGTCTGTGTTCTGTTCTGCACACTAGTTCTGCCTTCTCCTGTGCTTAACCCATTCCTCAGCCTCCCTCCGCTGCGTACGCTGGGTTGACTCACTCATTTCACATTCAAGCTATTTTCTGGGTAGGAACCTTAAAATAGGAAATGACTATATTTTAAAGACTCTATTAAAACTAGGGTCCTAGATGTTTTTGCATGAGATTTGAAATGTAGAATTGAGGTGGGGACCTGGTTATTGCTGCAGGCTAGTAGGGTCCCAGGAATGCAAGGATCACCTGTGACATGGCATTGTCCCCTCTCCAGCTCCCTCCGTCCTGACACTCAATGGCAATGGTAGTAATAGTGGATCTGTCTTCCTGATCTGCCACCTTCATCCTTACATCAGAGCTTTCTTCATTCTCTGGCGTTCTGAAAATGAGCAGCGTGTATCGTGGTGGCCATGGAAGTAATGTATTGATTCTGGCTTAGCACTAATGGTGGTCGCTCAGTGCGGAGTGGTTTGGGAGCCATTTCAGGAAACAAAAATGATTCAACAATCAACCGATTCTCTCGAATTAAATCCTTCCTGTCTGCTCCTAAAAGTGTTGGTTTCTAACTCATGCACATAACCCTGGCTGATACTCTATTTGCTGTGTTTTAAATCTGAACAATTCCATTACTATTCCCCAAAGTTACATTTATTTATTTTAAAATAAATTTCCTGTTGCTTGGATAGTGGATTCCTGTGCTCATGATGCTGTAACAGTGTCACCAAATAGAAATTTATTGCCTCACAGTGGTTGAGGGGAGGATGGCAAGTTCTAGATTTTGGCAGGTTTGGTCCCTTCTGAGGCCCTGGGGGAACATTTGCTTTATGCCTCTTTTCCTACCTTCTAGTGGTTTTCTGGTCATCTTTGGGATCTCTTCACCTGCGTATGCATCACCCCAGTCTCTGCCTTCATGTTCACACAGTGTTTTTTGTGCACGTATGTCTATTTCTAAATTCCCACTTTTTATAACAACAGCAGTCAAATTGGATTAATTGCTGCATATTAGTCTAGGTTCTCCAGAGAATCAGAACCAATAGAACATGTGTGTGTGTGTATGTGCATATGTGCATGTGTTTATGTGTGTGTGTGTGCATATGTGCATGTGTTTATGTGTGTGTGTGTAATTGTCTCAGATGGATATGAGGCTGAGACTCCCCAAGATCTGCAGTTGGCAAGCAGGAGACCCCACAGAGCTAACAATACAGTTCTAGTCCTAGATAGAAGACCTTAGAACAGGAGAGCTGATAGTGTAAGATTCTACTCTGAGTCCTAAGGCAGAAGTAGACCAGTGTCCCAGCTCAAAGACAGCCATGCAAAGGGAGCATATTCTTCCTAATTCTATTCAAGTCTTCAACAGATTGGATAAGGCCCACCTTCATTGGGTAGGGCAATCTGTTTTGCTTAGTCTCCTAATTCAAAAGTTAATCTCATCTGGGAACACCCTCACAGACACATGCAGGATAATGTTTAATTAAATATCTGGGCACCCTGTGGCCCGGTCAAATTGACACATAAAATTAACCATCACAGCCTCACATTATTCCAGTATTACCTCATCTTAACTAATTACACCTGCAACCCTATTTCCAAAGAAGGTCACATGCTGATGTACTGGGGATTAGGACTCCTGAATATGAAATTTTCTGAGGAGGAATACAGTCAGCCTATAACAGATAGTGACTTGCTCCTTGCTAGTTTTTAATAGTCATTTATTTCTTCAAAGATCTCATAAGTTATTTTGCATTCTGCATCTCTTATTTCCAGTATCTGAAATCATTGAGTGGGTGCAGTGGGTAGAGTGTTTTTATATTGCTTTTGTTTCTGCTAACAATTTTCTTGCATATTTTGTAATTTTTGTTTATAAAATCATACTTTTAAAAATTTAATCTGTAGAAGTTCCAAGGGGCTGCATTTGGGACATTTTTTTCCAGACAGAATTTACATTTGCTTTTACCAGGACCTACTTTCTGGGAGCTTATTAAAATCACTTTAATCTCATCCATGAGTCTGCAGGAAATGCCACAGTCAGCCTCAATGCTCTCTTCTATTGCAGGCTCCAAGCGGAATTCCAGTCAAGTATCTGTTTATTCCAGATTCTCAGAGGTCCAGCCTTTCTTATGCAATGCAAGGTTGGAGTACTTGGTGAATTATTGTATGAGTTTGCTCCTGACTGTGGCCTTCTGTTTGAAGCTTCAAAAATAACTCTTAGCAGAGTGTTTTCTCATTCTCCCATCACCCACATTTTCCTTTGGATATTTCATATCCTTTGTTGGAAGTGAAATTAGGGGTAAGGCACCAATAATAGCTTCTGTTTAGGGAAATGGACTTCAGCTGGGACATCGCCATCTTTTTTTCTTTTTTTCCTGTTTTTAGGAAACCGCCTGTACCTTCAGACCTCACTCTTCAAAGACAAAATGTCTGAGATGTGCTCTCAAGGCTTTCTCAAACAGTAGAGTGCAACATACTTCAGTAAAGTGGGTTTACACCTACTTATTTATTCCTTAATTGAGTAATTATTGGTTGAGTTACATATCACTCACAAATACTCTTTCAAGTTGAAGCAAATTGTATTTTTATAAAAATCATTCCTGACTTTTGAAGCTTGTAATGTGGTATTTGTATTATAATACAGATGCTTTCTTGTCTAATTTTATTTCCTTTTTATTTCAATAAGTTGGAGAGGGCATAATTGGAAACATGATTGGTTGTGCGTAAGAAAAGGCTGACAGCTATTGAAATCACCCCAGAGAGAAACTTACATTGTAAGGGGAACAATACCAGGGAGAGAGAATGGAGGAGGACAACAGAAATCAGAAGATGATGAGAAACGTTTGCTGATCCTTGTACAAAAATAACTCTGAAAATTCATCTATTTCACAAAATTTATTTGGATGAATTCTGGGAAACATGTATAAAGTGCACACATCTTGTTACTTCTTAGACTACTAGATGCAGAATATCATCTACAATGCCAATGTGTATAGAGCTAATGGATATGATAATGCTTACATCTCCTTAGAAGTCCACCATTCCCACGAAAGAAGAATTGATCATTTGATATTGACTCCTAATATGATTCTATGAATCAAGCAATTGCCACCGGTAGCATCAAGGCTGTAGTCACTGAGTTTAGGGAGCCAGGAGTTCTATAGTGGTCATCACCTGGATTAAAGATGACCTCAATGTCATATGCTAATAGGTGCCTTCAATTAAAATAGAAAAATTATTAAGATAATCATGAATGTCATTTGTTACAAATTGTAATTCCAACCCAGATAGATAATATACAGAATTTAGAGAAAGAATAAGGACTATAAATACATAGACTCCTCTCTCACTAAAAATTATAAATCATCACTTAATCAAACTCTAGTTTTCTACAAGTTAATTCTATCCTGAATCTCTTAACCTGGATGTAGAGTATCCTAGCTCACCCAGCCATATAAATCAGAGGCTTAAGAAATTAAAGCTACTTTTACTTGCCTGCTATTATATAGTAAGGACAACTCTAGATTTAGAACATAAAGCTATGTTTCTTCAAAATCAACTGAATAGCAAGGTGCTCCCTCCTCTTTGCAGTAAATGTGTTTTGTTTCTTCTAGTGGAAATACAGTAGAAAGATTACTGAATTGGGCCCTGAGAGCATGAATACAAAAACACCTGTTTTATTTTACAGCCTCCCAAACCTCTGCCTTAAACCTAGGTCACTCCACTTCTCTTTCCATCTGTGATAGCTCATTATATTTGCTCTATTCCTATAATTTTCATTTGTTAGAACAAGGTACAGCTGGTTCAGAAAAAAATGTTTTGAGAAAATAGCTTGCCTATAAATCCATTGGCTTCACAGTAATTAATTTGAACAAACTCCAAAAATATGCTTTAATAACTTTTCAGATCCCAATTAGGGCCAAATAAATGGCTTCCATTTATGGCAGAACCAATCTGATTAGGTTTCTTGTTCGGTACACTACAAGCATGCAAAATATCCACCCTAAGGGCACCAAGCCAAATTCAAAACTTCGGATTTATTTAACCACAAATGCATATTTATAAATTGCAACAGACTTTTCTAATTAATTTTTCATCATGCTAATGATTTTGCTTTGTAACAACTGGTTATATTAGGAGGAGTCACAGCCAGATCTAGAGGCATTTGCAGTCACTGTTAGTATGGAAAGAAATGAAAGGAAATAATAAAAAAAACAACGTTCCAGGATACGGCTCTTGAGAGGTAATTACTGATTCCACCTAATGCCTATGGAAACAATCCAATTTTAACCATCATTTAGCAAGACCCACTATATTTGCCTTTTTTTGCAGCCAGATTTACATGCAACTAAATGTTTTCTACTGAAGAAAATGATTTTCCTCCAGTCTCTGTCAATGTAGGGCATGGAAGACTACCAAATGGCTTTAGAATCTGAGAAGGAAAAGCAATGATGATAGATGACCAGGCAGGTATATGATGCCATGGAACACAAGGAAGACTCACTGGACCATGAGGGAAAATACCTGAGTCCTTGTACACTCTGTTTCTTGCTAGGAGTAATTTTGAGTTGGCCAACTGAAGGAATTTCTGTAAGTTAAAAAAAAAAAAAAGGTGGGGGGTGCAGCTTGAATGAGAGAAGAGAAAAAAATAAATTTTGAAAAAAAATGAAAGAGAAAAATTGGCAGAAGTGATGATGGGCCCCAGAAAACGTAGAGCGGAGTCGATAAAGAGGGTTAAGGCAGAATACAATAGTACGAAACTGAATCTCTGTTGGAAAAGAGAGAGTGGAGATGTGAATGGAGTAGGTAGTGCCCATTCTGGGTGTCCTAGTAGTCTATTATAATGGAGTCATAATTTTGTATAAGAATGCGAGCTTCCAGAAGCTCCTGAAAGGCCTGAAGTTTATCTTTTAGTTGAGTTACAGAGGTAAATAAATGGTAACCAAACTATTTTCTTTTTTTTTTTTTTTGAGATGGAGTCTCATTCTGTCCCCCAGGTTGGAGTGCAGTGGTGCAATCTTGGCTCACTGCAACCTCCACTTTGCGGGTTCAAGCAATTCCCTGCCTCAGCCTCCCAAGTAGCTGGGATTACAGGCACCCACCATCACCCCTGGCTAATTTTTGTATTTTTAGTAGAGATGGAGTTTCACCATCTTGGCCAGGCTGGTCTTGAACTCCTGACCTCATGATCCACCCACCTCCGCCTCCCAAAGTGCTGGGATTACAGGCGTGAGCCACCGCGCCCAGCCACCAAACTATTTCTAATTGAAAATCTCCACGTCTTCATGTATTGATAGCTGAGACAAAGCCAAGGCCAAGAGCTCACAGAAGGGAGGTTAAATTCTTGGACCATGATTTCTCAGACTCAATGTTGGGTCTTCTACTGAAAATCACTTGTGTGTTCCACTGTTCTAGAAGATAGGGAAATACTCTCTAACAGGGAAAAATATTTTTAAAAAATTCTGTCTAGTTAATGACAAATTATTTTTCTTTCTCTCATTCAAGTTACACCCTTTATTTATTTTATTTTTTTATTTTTTTTGAGATGAAGCCTTGCTCTTATCACCCAGGCTGTAGTGCAATGGCACAATCTCAGCTCACTGCAACCTCTGCCTCCCAGGTTCAAGCAATCCTCCTGCCTCAGCCTCCACAGTAGCTGGGATTGCAGGCACCTGCCCTACCACGCCTGGCTAATTTTTGTTATTTTTAGTAGAAACTGGGTTTAACCATGTTGGCCAGGCTGGTCTCGAACTCCTGACCTCAGGAGATCTGCTCACCTCAGCCTCTCAAAGTGCTGGGATTACAGGCGTGAGCCACTGCACCTGGCCCCACCCTTTATTTTTTTAAACTTATAGACCTAAAATTTTTTTAACTTATAGACCTAAAATAATTTTAGGTTTAAGTTGTGTTTTCAAACCTTTTTTTTTGACCAAATGCTAGCCCCTGGGAAAAAGCTTTACAATCAGAAATTTCACAACTGTTTCTCAAGATGGTGTTGCAGAGGATAATTTGAGGATTTAAGTCAATAAATCACACTCGATAATGGATAAAAATGATTCAAAAAACCATTTGTTTATTTGGACCCAGTCTGATCAACAGAATTTTAAATTAAGGTTTGTGGTAACCAAGAAATAGAAAAAAGAAAAAAAAATGCTTTAAGTTGTATTTGGTGAGGTTTTAAGTTAATATTTGTTGGACACAGGCCTTAAAAACCTATTTCACTTTGTTTAAGAAAAATAAGAATTGATTCCATTGTTGAAAATGGAATCACAGCTTCCAAGGGTAGGGCTACAGCTGACCCTTGAGCACAGACTACAATAGAGAACCGGTCCACTCTACCAGGGAGTCCTCTCTCAGATCAGCATATCAACTGCCACTGTTTTCCAGTCAGTATGGCAGGAAGTAGCTATCAGTAAGTCATCAACTACCAATATTCACTCAATAGTGCCGTCAGACTATCTGAAGTCTTTTAGTCCCAATTTCTGATTGGTTGGATTAGGATCCTGTTCCTGGTTCATCAGCTGCAGGGCATGGAGAGAAGGCAAGGTCATGGCATGTTTTTCCATGGCTTTTTCCACTGTAACCACATGGACTTAGTGCTCAGAGAGTGAGCACTAAGGGGCTATGGGTTGTGGGGCAGCCCTATAGAACAATTGGTGTTCACTGCAAAGAGTCAATAACACTGGAAGAGGGGCTTGGCAATCCAGAAAAGTAGGTATTAGTCAAAGGGTACAAAGTTTCAGTTATGTAAGGTAAGTCCTAGAGATCTTAAGTCCAGCACGATGCTTATAGTTAAAAATACTGTTGTATTAGTCTGTTTCCACACTGCTGATAAAGACATACCAGAGACTGGGCAATTTACGAAAGAAAAAAATTGAATGCACTTACAGTTCCATGTGGCTGGGGAGGCCTCACAATCATGGTGGAAGGTGGAAGGCACATCTCACATGGTGACAGAAAAGAGAGAGTGCTTGTGCAGGGAAACTCTCCTCTTTAAAACCATCAGCTCTCATGAGACTTATTTACTATCAGTATAATGAGAACAGCACAGGAAAGACCTGCCCCCATGATTCAGTTACCTCCCACCAGGTCCCTCATACAACATGTGGGAATTCAAGATGAGATTTGGGTGGGGGAAAACCATATAATTTCACCCATGGCCCCTCTCAAATCTCATGTCCTCACATTTCAAAACCAATCATGCCTTCCCAACAGTTCCCCAAAGTCTTAACTCATTTCAGCATTAACTCAAAAGTCCACAGTCCAAAGTCCAAAGTCTCATCCAAGACAAGGCAATTCCCTTCTGCCTATGAGCGTATAAATCAAAAGCAGGTTAGTTACTTCCTAGATACAATGAGGGTACAGGAATTGGGTAAATACAGCTATCTCAAATGGGAGAAATTGGCCAAAACAAAGGGGCTACAGGCCCCCTGCAAGTCCAAAATCCAGTGGGGCAGTCAAATCTTAAAGCTCCAAAATGATCTCCTTTGACTCCATGTCGCACATCCAGGTAACGCTGATACAAGAGGTGGGTTCCCATGGTCTTGGGCAGTTCTGCCCCTGTGGATTTGCAAGGTATAGCCCCCACTCCTGGCTAATTTCACGGGTTGTTGTTGAGTGTTTGTGGCTTTTCCAGGGGCATGGTGCAAGCTGTCAGTGGATCTACTCTTCTGGGGTCTGGAGGACAGTGGCCTTCTTCTCACAGCTCCACTAAGCAGTGCCCCAGCAATGACTCTGTGTGGGGGCTTTCACCCCACATTTTCCTTCCACATTGCCCTAGCAGAGTTCCCCATGAGAGCCCCACCCTTGCAGTAAACTTCTGCCTGGACATCCAGGCATTTCCATACATCTTCTGAAATCTAGGTGGAGGTTCCCAAACCTCAATTCTTGACTTCTGTGCAACCACAGGCTCAACACCATGTGGAAGCTGCCAAGGCTTGGTGCTTGCACCCTCTGAAGCCATGGCCTGAGCTCTGCATTGGCCCCTTGCGGTCACGGCTGGAGTGACTGGGATGCAGGGCATCAAGTCCCCAGGCTACACACAACACAGAGACACTGGGCCCTGCCCATTAAACCATGTTTTCCTCCTAGGCCTCTGGGCCTGTGATGGGAAGGGCTGCCGCGAAGACTTCTGACATGCCCTTAAGACATTTTCCCCATTATCTTAGGGATAAACATTTGGCTTTTCATTTCTTATACAAATTGCTATAGCCAGCTTGAATTTCTCCTCAGAAAATGGGATTTTCTTTTCTATTGCATTGTCAGAGTGCAAATTTTCTGAACTTTTATGCTCTGCTTCCCTTATAAAACTGAATGGCTTTAACAGCACCCAAGTCACCTCTTGAATCCTTTCTTGCTTAGAAATTTCTTCCCTCAGATACCCTAAATCATCTCTCTCAAGTTGAAAGTTCCACAAATCTCTAGGGCAGGAGCAAAATGACACCAGTCTCTTTGCTAAACCATAAGAAAAGTCACCTTTGCTGCATTTCCCAACAAGTTACTCATCTCCATCTGAGACCACTGTGGCTGGGGAAGCCTCAGAATCATGGCAGAAGGCAAGGAGGAGCAACTCTCATCTTACATGGATGGCAGCAGGCAAAGAGAGAGATAGATTGTGCAGGTGAACTCCTTTTTTTGAAACCATCAGCTCTTGTGAGACTTATTAACTATAATGAGAACAGAACGGGAAAAACTTGCCCCCATGATTGAATTACCACCCACCTGGTCCCTCCCACAACATGTGGGAATTCAAGATGAGATTTGGGTGGGGACACAGCCAAACCACCTCAACTGTAGAGTACACTTAAAACTTTGGTAAGAAGGTAAATCTTACATTAAGTATTATATCACTCACACACACAAAAAAAAGAGGAGGGGTAAACTTCTAGAGGTGATGGATAATTCATGTCAATGACTGTGATGATAGTCTCATGGGTGTCTACTTATCCACAAATTCATCATGCTCTGCATTCAATAGGTACAGCTTTTTGTATGTCAATCACACCTCAATAAAGTCATTTAAAAATTGACACAGGTGGGGCGCAGTGGCTGATGCCTGTAATCCCAGCACTTTGGGAGGCTGAGGCAGGCAAATCATCTGAGGTCGGGAGTTTGAAAACAGCCTGACCAACATGGAGAAACCCATCTCTACTAAAAATACAAAATTAGCCAAGCATGGTGGCACATGCCTGTAATCCCAGCTACTAGGGAGGCTGAGGCAGGAGAATCACTTGAACCTGGGAGGCGGAGGTTGCGGTGAGCTGAGATTACGCCATTGCACTCCAACTTGGGCAACAAGAGCTAAACTCCGTCTCAAAAAAAAAAAATTGACACAAGGCATAACCGATAATATTTGAAGAGAAAACCTAGTTGACTCTGGAAGAGTGAATTGTGAACACTGAGGGGAGTAGCTGTGTGTCCACTGCTGCCTTCCCAGCACTCAACAAAGCTCCAGTGGGACTATTTGGGGCCTACGGAAGATATGTGGCATGAATACATGAATTATTAGAAAGTGGAGATAGCTGAGACTGCTTTGAAAAGGAAAATCCTTGAAAGATAAAGCATTATTTTATTTATAGAGAAGAGAGCTTCATTGGGGCTAAATGTGTAGCAGCCATTGCCGAATGCCATATACCTTGACTCATCATGAAGCCCACCAATTGCTCTACTAAAGAAGCAGAGGAACTTTGGATGCCTGAAGCGTGAATCAGCACCCAACCTGATGCCAGCTATAAAAGTTTAATTTTTATTTGTCATATTGGAAGACCCATCTGGGAACAAGATTCATTTCCCTCCCCAAGACACATCCTCACCATTAAATTCCTTTGTTTAAATGCATTTTCTCTGAGTCCAATTTTGCTTTGTCAGATCAATGCATTTTACACCACATCCATTGTCCGCAATTACCATCTGGTGATTACTAGGATGGCTGTGGGTAAGCTGCCTGCTCATTTATTTATTTATTTTTAAAATTTATTTTTACCACTTTGTGTGTTTTTAACCCTGCTCAGCATTCCTGGATCGTGCATCCTTAAAAGGATTATACATTATTGGATAATCCTTAAAAGGATTATACATTATACATTCTGAATGTAAAACATACCCACCAGATATCAAGGAGGTAGGGACTAGGGAAGGAAGACACGGATAGGGTAACTGATGATCAATTCCCTGAGACCCCATGCTGTCCACTCAGAACTATTTCTTGATTCATAGTTGTGAGGGCACATCTCTCTTGCAAGCTGTTTTAAATTTTAGTCTAAATTTTTAAGCATTGAATAAGTGTCCTCTTTGAGCCCCCACTAGATACCAGACACCATTTATTATCATGTGCTATTCACCGTGGTTTTTGGGGTGAGTTGTAAATATCATCTTCCCTTGGTAGATAAGCAAGTGAAAACTCAGAGTTAAGTAACCTATTCAAGGTCATCCATCTAATGTAAAGAAATTCTGTTGGAAATAATAATTTTGGAAAATAATCCTATTTAACTCTATCCATGTATTCTGGACTAGTTCTTTAAGTGAATACACACCATCTGTGAAGTGATTCCCAGAACTAGTCTCTTTTTAGAAGCTTCACTTTGCTGAACGGCCTGTGTATCTTCTTGCTCCCACTGCAACCTGACTCTCAGCATTGGATTCTCTGCCACAGCATCTCAAGGGGACTCTGTTCGCTTCTTTTGCACATTATACTCATCAGGGCTTACAGCGAGTGGGTGCCCTCCCCTTGTCCCGTCGCTGCTCCCTAATGACTTTAATTTCTTCCTCTCTCAAACTAATCAATCAAACAAACAAACAAACAAACAAAAAAGACACTTTCTAGAAGAGATAGTAACGATATCCACCTCATGAATTAAATTACTTGGTGTGAATTAAGTGCTTACTAGGGATTACCACATCATTAACTATTATTAGTAATCTTACAGTCATTATTATCAAATATGTCTCAGAATTAATGCAACCTGTCAGTCTAGTCACATCAAAAGTGCCACAGTGCTTTTTGGAAATTAAACAAAACAATTGCTTAAATGTGCATCATACATTCAGAGTAATTCTTATTCAAGCAAGCTGGTTTTATATTCATGACAAGCATTTTCAATTTTAATATGTTTGCTTACATGAGATGCAGATTGTAATTTAATGGCAGGCTGTTTAATTATGCCTTCATTTGTATAAACTGTAATGTTGCTGCTGAATAAATGAAATAAAAATCTCTTTAATTTCCTTCTCAATATTTAATTTAAATCAATGATAAACAGCGGCTGTCTCTTTGAAACAATGTTAATTAATATTCAGAAGGCTAAATTTGTTTTTGGATGTATGGTATGTTTGGCATGTTGGTTTCACAATTAAACTGAAAATAAGATTGATAGAGTTAAATAACCTCTAAAGAGGGAAAAAAACACTGTACAATTCTACTCAATATATTTCTGGCAATAGAAAAATGTACAATATGGGCTTTATATTTTCAAACTGCTCATATAATTGCTATCCAATCTATAACTCAGTGTTTAGGTTTAGAAATATTTTATACTTATACCACCTAATTATTTAAATTCTTGAAGCACTCATTTTTCTTTCACATTGATCTGGCCCATTTGCACATCCTATTAAAGAATTAATAAGGTGAAGAGGGGAGTGAGGACAATAATTTTGCTAAAGCTCTCTCTAGCAGGTACTATACCTAGTGCCAGGAATGTAAGGATAAATAAAACAAGACTGTGGCCCTCAGGGAATTCATAATATGCAGGTCCAGAAAAAAATAGACAGTTTTAATACTTACAAGATAGTAAGTGCCTTCCTAGAGGATAATGCAAAGTTACAGGCATGGGGGAAACGTGGGCAGGATTGACATTGTCAGGGTTCATCTCATCAGTGCCATCAGTGTCATCTTCTTCCTTGCTAATATTCCTAGAGTTCCGGATTCCACTATGCGGCAGACAATGTTTTAGATGATTTATATTAACTCATTCAGTTCTTATATTATCCCTGTATGTAAACCATGGTCCAGAGATGTTCAATAATTTATCTAAGAAGACAGAGCTAGTGGGCAGCAAACACAGACGTCAAATCTGGACACTGTGGCCTCAAGTTCTTATGATCAACTCTCCCATTATACCACAAACTTCAAAAATACGTGCATGGAAATGGTAAGATGACCAGGACAGTTAAGCCGTTGAGTTTGAAGAGGCCTTAGATTACAGGAGCTTGTCACTGAGCCTCATGCTGGTAAAGGCAACTGGACAGGTTAAAACAGGAACCAAAGGGAATAACTACCAGCATGGTTCAGATGTTACCAGTACCATGACATTTTAATCCATGGGCAGCCCAGGAAATGAGGGAGATGAGGAATGACTCCAATATGAAGCTGTGCAATTTGAAGACATCAAAGGCCATTAGGCACTGGAAGAATCTGCCCAATATGAGAGTAAACCTCACTGATACACTGAGAAGGAAGGCATCAAAGCCTCATTTACTGGGAGATGGAAGAGATCAGAGTCCCACCGTGGGGGGTGGGTGGGTTATATAAAGGAATCAGAGACCCAGCTGGGGAGTGGAGAAGGAAGGGATCAGAGCCCCACCTGGAGGGGCAGAGGGAAAAAAATCAGAGCCCTCCTGGTGGGGGGAGGGGGAAAGGATCAGAGGCCCACTTGGGTGGGAGAGGGAAGGGATCAGAGGCCCACCTAGGGCGGAAGAAGAAAGGGATCAGAGCCCCACCTGCGGGGGGAGAGGGAAGGGATCAGCATCCCACTTGGTGGGGAGAGGGGAAAAATCAGAGCCCCACCTGGTGGAGGGGAGCTGGCACATCCCTAGTCACTGTGGGGTGGTTGAGTCAGCAAAGAAGTCCTTAGCAGGGGATTGGTTCAAGCAATATTGATGGTGATCAAAGCAAACCTAGGCCACAGGTAGGCTGTGCCCATAAGCAAGGTGGCAGAGGCATTGGAAGTGTGTTCAGTTATCATTGTGCATTAAACCAGGTTCTTGTCAGCTGAAGAGACTTAAGTGGGTGTATGTGACCCGGCATCTGTGGTTCAGGCATTCTCAGCATCAGAGAATTGTGACTGTGACTTTAGGTTAGAGAATTCCAAGACCATCTCAGAAGCGAGGTCAGGCCCTTCTGTAACTAAGTACCAGGCCGTGCCTCTTGTAGTGATTCCAGCTCCAGAGCACATCATCACCAGGAGAATGGCTCCACCACAGTGCCTTGGAAACATTGCACAAACTCACATGGGCAAAAGCTTGAATTGCAGTGAATATAATTCTTGAAGAGCACCATGTGCCCCCAGGACGAGAGAAGGCAGGAGGCTTGTAACGAGGCCACGAGCTATCTCCCACTCCCCTCCCTCTCTCCCCAAGAGGCTACCATGAACCTTTCTCATCGCCCCCTGGATCCTTGTGAAGTACAGGATAGAAGAATAGAGCTGCAGCCACAGCTCAGAATTGGCTCCTTAGAAATGGGGTGCACTAGCTTCCTAGTGCTGCTATACAAGTTACTATGCATTTGGTGGCTTGAGACAAGATAAATTTATTCTTTTGAAGTTGTGGAGGCCAACATTCCTAAAGTAAATGGATGGAATTTAATGTAGCCATTTCTTTCCATTCATAAGCTACACCTTGCCCTAACATCACCTGGGCTATGGCTCAGCATAGTGAGAGTGTAATCCCAGTTTTGGTCTCAGCATTGTTTCTCAGAATATTAAAGTCATTAAAGTCACTCTCATAGCTTATTTTTATTTTAGCTGCAGCTTTTTACAGTTTAGCTAAAGCTTAGCTTTATTGAAGTAAGAATCTTAAACACACTTTACACCAGGTTTTATTAATTTGGGTTAATTGAATGACATTGGTAGCTGGTATGAAATTTACCAACCCTAAGGAAAATTAGTATAATTTTCCTTAAATTCGTTGGCATGGCTACCATCACTGTGAAGGTTCTTGAGAAGGCTCTCTCTTGTCTCTTACAGCATTGTTGGATCCTGGTATTTTTTGGCTGGTGCAAGCATCATTCCACTTTCTGTCTCTGTCTTCACGTTGCCTTTCTGTCTTTGTTTTCTTTTCTTTTTTTTTTTTTTTGAGACGAAGTCTTGCTCTGTCACCCAGGCTGGAGTGCAGTGGCGTGATCTCGGGTCACTGCAACCTCTGCTTCCTGGGTTCAAGCGATTCTTTTGCCTCAGCCTCCCAAGTAGCTGGGACTACACGTGCGAGCCATAACACTCAGCTAATTTCTGTATTTTTAATGGAGATGGCATTTTACCATGTTGGCCACGATGGTCTCAGACTTCTGACCTCAAGTGATCTGCCCACCTCAGCCTTCCAAAGTGCTAGTATTATAAGCCTGAGCCACTGTGCCCAGGCTTTCTCTTTTTATAAAAACACTGATCATTGGAATTAGGGACTGCCTGAAATCTATAATGATATCACTTCAAGGTTCTTTTTGATTATTACATCAGCAAAAATCCACTTCTGAGTAAGGCCACAGTTTTCAGATTCTAGATAGACATGACTTTTGGGGGATACTATTCCACCTACTACACTAGGCATCCCATAACTTGGACTGCAGTCAGGTTGCCCCTATTGTGGCAACATCCTTGTGTAGGTCAAGGATGGTGGGGAGCTGGCACTTTTGCTTGGATTTCCTTTCACTATGTAGGTCATAAATAATCCAGTCTTTGAGTGCCTAGATGTGTTTTCACTGCCCATTCCAGGTGGGTGCTCTCCTTGCCCTTACCTTGTCTTTTGTGTGTGCTTGACAGTCATCCATTCTGAAATGCAAACTCACACTCAAAGCCAACCAACTCTCCTCCCTTCCTCCAGCACCTTGTCTCCAACCATCGCTTTATCCTGCTGGTTCTGTCACGTTTCCAGCTCTTGAACTGAGCACCTGCTCTTAATCTCCACTGCTCTCTCATCACCTTCCACCATTTCCTGCCTAGATTCCTGCTGCTGCTTCCTGGCTGTTTTTTCTGCCTCCTGTCTTACGCCATTCTAATGCATCCTGTAAGTTGTTGCTAGATTGATCCTCCAGAATTTTAAAAAAGCATGACTGCATTCCCAGGTTTAAAACTTTTAATGACATTTCATTGCTTGCAGATTAAGACTGGATTACTTAGGGCACAAATCACAGGCCCCTTTGGGAGCTAGCACCTACATATAGATCATGGCAGCATCCCCTCCACACCCACAACAGACCCTTTGCCTGAGGTTCAGCTGGCCTGTAGAAGTATTTATTTGATATATGCAGTCAGCCGGCATAGCAGTTGATGTATCTTGTAACTCATATCCTTTTTGCATGTTTTTGTACCCTCACAGAGTGCTGACAATCATATCTCCCTGACAAGATTTTGTAAGGGTTCAATGTGATAATGTGTTGGGCACATAAAAGGCACTCAAAAAATGCTGCTTTCTTTCTTGTCACTGTATCGGACCTGGCCATACATCTTGCACATAATTGATGTTCATTATGTTTGTAGACCAGTCATTGAAACAATCAAGCCTCCATATCTTTTTGGAAGCAATCACCACAAATTAGCTGCATGCTTCTCAAAATAGCTAAATGTCAAATACAAGTTTATTCCATTTTTTCTCCTCTAGTTACCCCTTAACTTCCTTCTATTTGAGAGCACCTTCCTCCATTTTTCTCCTCCTTGGAATAGGTAACCTGCTGCATTTCCCAGAGCTGCCTCCTAGTTTTACCCCTCCTCCTGCTCCTCCTCCTTTTCTCCTCTTTCCTTTTCCCATTTGTAGAGTGAGAGTCACTAAGGACCCACTGGGCCATCAAATACCACCTCCCACTCAGAGTAGGAGCCCCCTCACTAGAATGCATGGCGTTGCCTCATTTTGAACACATCGCTGTTTCACTTTACAAGGACTTGTGCAGAGCTCTCAGATGGTCAGACACTCAGCAGTATGTTCTGCATACAGAAATGAGTGGCAGGATTTTCGTGACCTGTGTGACCTGGTTCTGCCCTAGGCCTTTACTCCTGCCATTTGCATCCTCACATATGCCTTCATAAACCACATTAACCATTCTGGAATTTTCTCTTTTCTGCTTGTAGAATGATTTAATCTCCTAAGATCCAACTTAAATGCCAGTTGCATCTGATGCTTCCTGGCAGAATAAACCACCTCTGGCTGTGTGTCCCACTGGACGTCTTGGACACATCTGTTTTGGAGAGCATCCACTGCAATTAGTCATGTTCCCTATGTCTATATCTAGCCCATTGCCTGTGAGTCCCCTGAGGGCACATGTCCCACTTCCAATAATAATTTGTGATTTCCTTCTCTTATCAGAGCAGTTCATAGAGTGCAACCTTAGACTTTAAGGAGCCCTTCATTCATTTCTTTGCTGGTCTGGCAAAAAAAAAAAAAAAATGAGCAAGAACTGTCAATGGAGCTGCAAGACCCTCAGAAACTTCTTGCTTGAGAGATACCTGCCCCCAAAGGAGAATATCATTCTGCTTTGGAATGAATCATTCAATTTCTTGGACCTCTTAAACACTCTTGTGATAAAAACACTGTGATCTATTCTTGAAACATAGTCTGATGTCAGGGTCACAGAGAAGAAATAGAATTGTGCAGAGCTTGGGCTTTCAGGATGGAGAAAGAACAACATCTCTAACACAAGCTTTTGTAAGGCACTTTGGGGAATTCCTGTATGGTTTGGCTGGTATTACATTGCTAGTACCCACAGTAACGTTCTGTAAACCAAGTCTTATTGTTTCTGTTATGTAGACAATGAGGCTCCAAAGAGAGTCAATGACTTGCCCAAGGTCACATAGTACATGTCCTTGAACTAGGATCTATCTGACAACAGATTCAAGACAACACCTGGAAGAACCAGACTTCTCAGTTAAGAACAATCTTATTTCAGGTAATTCCTTCTGGGTTTTCAATATCTATTGATTTGATTGGTAATTCAAAGTGGCAGGGACAGCTCTTGCCTTAACTGTGGCCTTCGAATAGAAGATGATTCTTTACATACCTGCAGCTCCTTTTCCTTCCTAAAAATCCCAGAGCCCTGCATTTCAGGTCTGTGGCCCAGGAACAACATCTACACACAGAAACCCAACCTGTTCTCTAAATCTCTTCCCTTTCTGAAAGCCAAGGTGGAAAAGAGAAGCCTGGTAGGAGATGATTGGATCGTGGGGATGGATTTCTTGTGAATGGTTTAGTACCATCTCCTTGTTTCTGTCCCTGCAATAGTGAGTTATTGCAAGATCTGATTGTTTAAAAGTGTGTGGCACTCTTCCCTCTCTCTCTCTCTTGCTTTTGCTTTTACCATGTGACGTGCCTGCTTCCACGCTGACCTCAGCCATGACTGTAAGCTCCCTGAGGCCTCCGCAGAAGCAGATACTGCTATGCTTCTGGTACAGCCTGCAGAACCGTGAAATGATTAAACCTCTTTTCTTATAAATTACCCAGTCTTAGGTATTTTTTTATAGCAATGCAAGAACGGTCTAATACAGAATTTCTGGAAGTGTGTCGTGGAGTCAACAGAAGCAACGTCAAGAACCAGGCTTGTATGAAGGACTAGACCTTTCAGTGTTTAGGAAACTGAGAACATAGCCAGGGTTCAAAGCCAGGGATGGTCTAGTTAGAACATTGCTGTCGACGAACTTTCCCACTGTGCCATGAATTATCTCTTACTCTCTGTTCTATTTGTCTCATTCTTTACAAATTCAAGGTAGAGAGAGAACCTTGGTCATGTATCTGAGCCATAGCTTCCGGCAGAGAGAGAGAAGAAACATCTGGTCTTTTGTGGTGGAATCCCTGCCACCCACTAGGACTCAGACCCTAATAAAGTAAAGAGTTTCCATGCTGAGCATAAAATATTTAACAGGGAACAATAAAATAGCCTCCATTCTACCTGGTTCAGTTATATCCCCTTTATTTTTCCAGTTCAGTCTCAGAGAACAAAGCAGATACCTGTGTGGATTGGTACACACTCTTCTTACATGAGAGATTGACACTATCAGGGAGATTAGGTTTATTCTGTGTGGCCATAAATAGTAGAATTTTAAAAATCATATGCAAGTTATTGGAAAATGTTTCTCAATAAAACATGTCTCAATGAAAACATTTCTCCATGAAGATGTTCAAATAGCAAGAGCTGCCCAAAGATGTAATGGAACGCTGGGGAGGGCTTGAGTTTCTTAGCACTGAATCATTCCAGCTGAGACTAGGAAATTGCTCAGCAGGGAACTTTTTGACCTTCACTCTCCAATGTAGGGGCTCAAATTTATATTTTATTTTGTTTATTTTATTTTATTTTAGACAAAGTCTTGCTCTGTCACCAGGCTGGAGTGGAGTGGTGCGAGATCAAAGCTCACTGCAGCCTCAAACTCCTGGGCTCAAGTGATCCTCCTGTGAGCTACCATGCCTGGCTAGGAGTTCAAATTTAAATTTAAATTTAAATTAGCATAAATTTCAAAATTGAATTCCTCAATCACACTGGCCACATGTCAATGGCTCAGTAGCTGCGTATCACCATGTGTACCATATTTGGCAACACAGCTATAGGATACTTACATCATCCAGTAGAAAGTTCTACTGTTCAGGGTTGTTACAGAGGGTTTCAAGCATCAAGCACAACTGGAAGAGATGAAATTAAAGCCTTTCAGTCCTAGCAGTATAAATAAAATGGTAGATAATAGTTTAGATAGTGTAGGTGCTATACTATTTATATTCAGAGGAGGGAAAAGAAACAAAGCAAGAAATATTAAACAAGGCTTCATGCAGGAGATAGCAACTAGGCTGCACCTCAAAACAGGAAACAAACTAAAGAGATAGATAAGAAATATTTTAGAACTTTGTGATCCACATGGTCTCTGTTGCAACTACTCAGTTCTTCTGATGTAGCACTCAGTTGTTCTGTGCTTCTAATGTAGCACAGTTCTTCTGATGTGGCTACAGACAACACAAAAATAAATGTGTGGCTGTGTCCCAGTAAAACTTTGTTTATGCATACTGATAGAGGAATTTCATATAGTTTTCATGTATCATAAAATATTATTCTTTTGTTTCTCAACCACTTAAAATGTTAATAATCATAATTTGCCGGCCCCTTTCCTAAAGGATCTCTTATGTTTGGAATGGCTAAGAGAGGGTAGTAATCTGACCAAACCTCTCCAGTTCTTAAAATTGTTGAAGCATCCAGATTGTAAGAGGCCGTTCTTGCAGAAATGCTAAGTATTGATGTAATGACCGCTCCTGCCCTGCTCCATGTTCCACTCTTGATTGGCCTGAAAATCAGCAGATCTTACTAATTACCAGTACAGACTGAGCAACTAAACAGAGCCACTAATGCCAGCCAGCTTTACTACTTACTAATTATGCAAATGTGAACCATTTACGGACTCATCCTAAACTTCTGCTTTGTTGTTGTTATTGCTATTTTTAATTGTAAATGTGGTACCATCAAAAAAAAAAAATAACTCCTGGGATTACTTTGAGAATTAAATGTGATAATATGAGTAAAGCCTTTGGAAAGGATATGTCAAGTCCGTATTTTAAATAAAAAATGGAAGCCACTGCTATCCATGTTCACAGGATACAATAATCAGACAGAAAATGGTTGAATTGACATCAAAGTTTGCCAATATTATAAAGTAAGATTGGGAGACGCTGGGCAGAAAACAAGTAAGTTTTTATTAAAACTAAGCATGAGTTAGAATTGTATTCCTAATGCAATAATTCTTTCCCAAAAGGGATAATTTTGAGGTTGATGCCAACGGCTAAATGTCACATAACTCCAGGAAACTTAACTCATAGGGGAAGGGGAATTATGCATTTGATTGGAGTAGCATTTCCTCCAATTTGCAGCTAACTATGATTAGTTCCTGCAAATGAGGCTTTAATTAGACCCACTTTGAACTGATGAGCTCATCATGGAAATGTTTCTTATGTCTCACAGGTGGATTCGGTCACACTTGGGTAAAGAGTAGAGGTTAGTCTATGACCCAGCTGTGCCCCAGCTTTTTCCTAATGACATATTATCTCAGGATGGAGAGTCTGGAGGGAAGGGTGTTTATTATTTCCTAATATAAGGGTAAAAACTGCTCAAATCATACAAATTATAAAAGACATGTTCTTAGTTGGTCTTTTATTTATTTTTCATCTCCTTATAAATGATATAAAGTGTCAGTTTCTGCTTTCAATAAATGATTTCCTTTTAAGCACACAATTTAAAATATTTTCTAAAAGTCTAAACCATATGGTAGAATTTATTAGAATAAATAACGTAATAGTAGTAACACAATATTAATTGTTCTAATTAACATAATAAAATTAATGAGAAACATGATTCTGAAGATAATTATTCACTTTAACAAGCAGTTATGGAGCCTAAAGTCCAGACACTGTGATTCACATACATGATCCCTAAAATAAATAAGGCAAGCTTCTATTCTCAGAAAGTTCACAATCTAGTGGGAAAGATACAAACAAAATGATTTCAAAAACTAGGATAAGTGCAGCACCATGTTACAGAGCCTTGTGGTGTCTAAGTAATATTTGACTGCTCATCTAGTTTGTTTCCTGGTTCAGAATCCCAGCCCATGGGTAACTGTGGGATACAGTGCAGCCCCTGCAGCCCAGGCCATATCATGCATGGGTCTTGGCACCAGTTACATCTCCCAGGAGGAAGGCTCATCTCTTTTTATTTTGTAAGTGGCTCAGTGTATTTATCTAGGCTTTTGTTTATTGCGGAGAAAAGAAAAAAGAAGAGGGAAGAAAGGAAAGGATAAAAAAAAAAAAAAAACCGAGGGCAGGAGGGAGGAGGGGGGATTGTAAAGACGGGAACAAAACAAAAAGAAGAGATAGGGAAGAATTCTCACCTATGCGAGAGCTGGCAAAGTCCTTACCAATCCAATGTTGGCAAACTTTTCTGTAAAAGACCAGATAGTGGGCTGGTCGTGGTGGCTCAAGCCTGTAATCCCAGCACTTTGGGAGGCCGAGGAGGGCAGATCACGAGGCCAGGAGATCGAGACCATCCTGGCGAACACGGTGAAACCCCGTCTCTACTAAAAATACAAAAAATTAGCTGGGCGCGGTGGCAGGCACCCGTAGTCCCAGCTACTCGGGAGGCTGAGGCAGGAGAATGGCGTGAACCTGGGAGGCGGAGCTTGCAGTGAGCCGAGATCGCACCACTGCACTCCAGCCTGGGTGACAGAGCGAGACTCTGTCTCAGAAAAAAAAAAAAAAAAAAAAAAAAAAAAAAAAAAAAAAAAAAGACCAGATAGTGAATATCTTTGGTTCTAAAGCAACTGCACAGTGCTGTGGCTTCTGTGGACAATATGTAAGTGAACGGGTATGAGTCCACTCCAATTACATTTTATTTACAAAAACAGGCAGCTGGTCTGCAGGCTATAGTTTGCTGACCGGTAAATTCTAATTCGTTGTTATCAGCCATGTAGCTGGGCGTCGTGGCACCTTTTCAGCCCTTCACCAGCATCTTGGTACTTTCGCATACATCATCTCATTTAATTCTCACCAATAGCCCTGTGAAAAAGGACTTGTTCTGGTGTTTTGTTTTGTTTTGTTTGTTTCATTTTATCAGTCAAGAAACTGAGATTCAGAGACATTAAGCTTGAACAAGGTCCCTCAGTAAAAGTGACGGGTCTTGGAGATGCTTCATTTCATTTTCAGGCAACATTCTGTTTCTCAACTTTCTGAAACATGTAACAGGTGCTCAATGCTGCAGCATAGACAATGGGTGTATCAGTGAAATTAAGCAACTTACTCAAGTTCTGTCAGTAAACAGGGACCAGAGTTGGGACTAGAACACAGGGTCCTGAATCCTATTCCCCATTCCTTGCCCAAGACCCTTGACAGGCCCACCTTGCTCAGGCTCTGGCATGTGCCTCAGTGTGTCCGGGTGGAAACCTTTCCCAGACAGGTTGCCTTAGTGAATTTGGCTCATCCTGACATTATTTCAAATATGAAGTTTTAATCTATCTTTTTAAGCTATGTCAAACATGTTTTTCCTGAGCCGTTGAAATAAAATGACTGCTTTGAATATTGCGAGAATCTGGATGAATGCCAGAGAAAACAATGCAATTCTAATTTGGTGGCTTTTCAAGTTTTCTTATAGAGATCACTGGGGGAAAGATGTTGTAGTTTTCTCCTTTTTTTTCAAGAATGAACTGAATATTTGCCACCTGAGTTGACAGTTTCAGCAATTTGAGATGAATTCATCACCAAATACACCTAATTTTCAGTCTCATCCAACAGCCACAATTCATTCGCTCTGACCATTAAAACAAATGCCAAAGAAAAATGAGCTTAGCAGCTCAGTAATATAGGCAACTGTTGGCACCGTCCGGAGGGGCACTGCTCCCCGGGGCCTGGGACTCCCCTCTTCACTTTGTGAGAATGTTTAGGCATGGGAGGGAATCCGACCAAGTAAATAAAGACAGGCATAAGGACTCCCAGATCCAATTGAGAAACAGACAAACTTGGCCTTCAGTACAGCCGGCTTTTTCATCCAATTCCATGCAATTCACTTCAGCTCAATCCCTTATATTAAATTCAGTGTTGTTCCAAAGTAGACCTGATGTGGGGAAACAGAAGGAAGCAGTAGACACTGGCTTTGATGTCAGACCTGGATTTATTCTCAACTTAGCCATATGTAAGTGGTGCAACCCTAACTTATATAATCTCACTCAACTTCAATGTCTCCATCTGTGAAATGGGAAAAATGATCCTTGAAGTACTGAAGCAGAATTTCAAGCAGGTAATGTGTATAAACATGAGTGGTGAACAGTCAACATATTAAATATCATTTTCAACCCCTTCCTCTCACTATCAAAGAAATAGACTGTAAAGAGACACCTTCACTGCTTCAAAACAGAACCAAACACAGCTCAGTGTTCAATCGAGGGAAACCTGTGAGAGCAGTGAGGAAGGACTGAGTTTTTTTCCTGGAATGATCAGGGAAAGTTTCACATAGAAAATAAATAGCATCATAAAATAAAATAAAAAATAAAAATAAAATAATAAAATACATATTATTTAAGATAATGTTATTATATTATAATAAATATATAATTTAATTATAAATATATAAATATATAAGTTTATAAATATATAAATATTTAAAATATGTAAATATGTAAATATACATAAATATATGATTTATAAAATAATAAAAATAAAAATAAAAATAAAATAAAAAATAGAAATAAAAAATAAAATACATAGCATCTTACCTGGGCAAAGCAAGGCATGAGTAGGACAGAAATTATTGTGTAAACGGAGGGGCTAGTTCGGGCTAAAGGAGCAGCCTAAGAAGCTTGCAGCTGTGTGGCTGGAGGAAAGATTGTGAGCAGGAGAGAGTGAGGAAGGAGGCTTCAGAGGCAGATGCAGGCTGGGATCTGGGGAGTACTGGATTCCAGAGCAAGAGATTTGTCTTCGTTTTCTTGATTTTTGTGGTGCACTGTAGAACCTTGAATGGGGCAGTGCAGGGGGATTTGAAAGCCAACAGACAGAGGCAGAAGATTGTATGGTTGCGGCTGCAGTAGTATAAGAGAAATTCACTTTTAAAAATGTATCCAACATATATTCTTTGCAAACCTATGATTTGTTCTGCTTGCTAGTGTTGAAAAGGACACATAGGTGCCTTCTTTCATGGAGTCTAAATTTTGCCAGGGCAACAGACAAGCAAGAGGTGAATAAACAAGAATAAAGAGGTGAATAAACAAGAAAGACTTCCAGGTAGCAAAAATGCCATGCAGTCAGTAGGTATTATAGGTGTGAGTGAAGTGTGTGTGGGTCTCTTATTTAGATCCAGGAGATAGGCAGGTCCTGATGAAGAGGGGCCTTTTGAGCTGAGACCTGAATGCTAAGAAGGGAACATCTCATGGAGAGTTGAGGTTGGGGTACTCCAGGCAGAGTGCCTGGGCTCTAGGGCTCAGAGAGACTGGCTGTGATGGAAGAGCCGGAAGAAGCTCTGTGTGCCTGCAAGGCTGGAGTGTTGGACCTGAAACGCAGTGGTAGGTAAGAGCTGGGTCTCCTTGTCCATTGAGGGCTACCACAAGGAGTCTGGATTTTCATTGTTAGCGTAATAGAGAGCAGAGCTGATTTTAAAGCGATGAGTGTTGGGATCTAGGTTTTATAAGATGACGCTGGCCCCTGTGGCATGTGGACTCTAGAGGGGTGTCTGTGACAGCAGGGCAATGTGTTATCAAGGCTGATGCAGTCATCTGGTTATCAGTGGCTTGGACTAGGGTGTTAGCAGTGATCATGGAAAAAAGTGACACTTTTGGAGTTTATTATTAAACAGAGCCCACATGGCTTCTGATGTGGTGAATGGTGGCTAGGCTGGGTGTAAAAAGGAGAAATTGAGGATGGTGTTAAACAAGATGACTAAGGTATGAGAGGACCAGGATATGACACTGCCTGATACTTCTGCTATTGAGACAATTATAAATTTACTGGCACTCTGTGACTTATTCACTATTTTTCCTAAGGTTTTTACAATAGACATAGCACTCTCATATTTATTCTGTTGTATGCCTGCAAATCACTTGTGAGTAAAAGACTACTTATGCCCATTTTGCACATAAGGAAATTGAGTTTCAAAGAGTGCAAATAGCCCTGCACAGGTTCATTCTTAAGAAGTAGAAAGACCCAGGCCTCAAGGGAAGTCTACTGACACTAAGCCCATTGCTCATCTTCTTACAACACAGTGTATATTAATTAACTAGAAACTCAAGGAAACTAGAACCCATTACCTAAAATGTACTGATTTTAAAAAGGAGCTAGCATAGTGAAAACAATCAGGACTTTAAAGTTAGTGAAACCTGAGTTCAAGCTCAGATCTATTCATAACTTACTTAGGCAAATACTAGCTTAAGCAAAAATTTAGTTTCCTTTCCAATTTCATCTGCAAAGTAGGGTTTTTAATACTCAAGTTGAGGGGTGATTATGAGAATCCATGAATGAATATTAATATAAACTACCTAGAGCAGTATTTGACATATTTGACACTTATTATTTCCCTACTTCCTCTTTTTCTAGGAACCAATAAAAAGAGAGTTGTAGCTTATTAGTATTGTCTCTTTTATATGGCTGATGTCAGCACAAACTTCACTCCTCAGTTCATAAGACCAATGACTTACCATAATGATAATAATAATGTTAATGATAAGGGTAATGAAAATAATAAGATTTAATCTAAGGAGGCATGCTTATGGAATTATAAATATTTCTATTACTATAACTCAACATTCCTTTGAAAGTCTATAGGGAGTACTACTAATATTTATAGCTAAGAGCTATTAGAATTGTTTATGTGCCTAGTATTGTGCTGAACTTAGCATGTATTTCATTTCTCCCTTACAACAAAACTCCATGAATTTGATTCTAATATTTTCCCCATTTTACAGTTGATGAAATAAAGGCACAGAGAAAGAAGACAGGTTGTTCATAATCTCAGAAATACTAAGTTTAGAGTCATGATTTGATGTGAGAGCATCTGACTCCAGACCCTGTATTTTCAAGCCATCATGGTGTGCTCCAATGAGGAGGATGGCTTAGGCCTCGTCTCAATGTCCTGTATATACTGTGTCTTACGTGCAGCAAATCTTCAATTAAATGTTCTAAGCTGCCTATTTGCCACCTATTATCTTAAGAAAGAAATTCCTTCCTGAATTTGGGTTTTTGGCCCACACTCTCCAGATATTGAAGCATTAATTGAGAGAATGTATCTTATCAGTAGAGAATTCTGATTTGGTATCCTCTCTTCTGACTAAAACCAGGTATTTAAACTTTTCATATCACAATAGCTCATATATACACTAAATACAATTCTAGTCACCAATGCCTAATCATTGGTGACACCTTACATTCTTACATTCCTTTTTTTTTCCAAATGAAAGACATCTGTGGAGTAAAAATAGAAGAAACAATTAAACACTTAGCTCTGTTATAGGAAGTAGATGATATGTGGTTAGAGCTAATTTCCTTTGTTGTAATATAAATGTTGTTTAATTTGTTCAACACATATTTCATAAGCAATTAGGAGATGCAGACATTAGAGTCCAACTCAACAGCCAGTTTTGAGCGCCTTCTATTTGCCAAGGTGAGCTGAAGCTTGTAGCTAAAATTTCAGTGCTTTGTAAATGGGATAGAATACATTTCCCAAAGACCAAAATACTTTCCACTATGATTTTTGAAGTGACTCATCCCACTCAAAACATCAGAAATGGCTGCTTGGGGAATTGTCTCTATTACAAAATTAGTTTCTCTTGTTGCAAATGATGGTCCCATTTTACAGTTCATAATGAATCGTTACTGTTAATTGTACGTAGAGTTTTCCAACCTATGTCTTTTTTTCCTACCATCACTCATGTTTATCATTTTCCCAAATGGGTATGTCCTCTTTTGAGAATGTTACCCTTTTCTAATATCTTCTATTTGACATCACGATAATAAAAATACGTGTCATTTTATGAGTAGCCAGTATATGTTCAGGCAGCATTTTAGATTCTTTGCACACATTTATCTTGTTTAATCTCTGAGGCAACCCTGTAGGCAATTGTATCACTGTTTTAATAAATTGAAATGTACGCACACACAGAAAGTAAGAATTTGAGGCCCTGAAACGTTAGGTGACTTCCCCATGGCCATTTGTCCTGAAGAGTCACAGCTGAAGATCTGCGAGAGATGTTGCCTCACCCCGATGGCCCTCTCTCTCCCTCTCTCCTTTTTTTTTTTGACAGAGTCCTGCTCTTTCGCACAGGCTGGAGTGCTGTGGTGCGATCTTGGCTCACCGCAACCTCGACCTCCTGGATTCAAGCGATTCTCCTGCCTCAGCCCCTCAAGTAGCTGGGATTACAGATGCCCACCACCATGCCCGGCTAATTTTTGTATTTTTAGTAGAGACAGGGTTTCACCATGTTGGCTAGGCTGGTCTCGAACTCCTGACCTCAAGTGACCCCCGCGCCTCAGCCTCCCAAAGTGCTGGGACTACAGGCGTGAGCCAGAGCCACCACGCCCGGCCCCAATATCCTTCTCTTTTTTTTTTTTTTTTTTTTTTTTTTTTTTTTTGAGACGGAGTCTCGCTCTGTCGCCCAGGCTGGAGTGCAGTGGCCTGATCTCGGCTCACTGCAAGCTCTGCCTCCCGGGTTCACGCCATTCTCCTGCCTCAGCCTCCCGAGTAGCTGGGACTACAGGCGCCCGCCACTACGCCCGGCTAATTTTTTGTATTTTTAGTAGAGACGGGGTTTCACCGTTTTAGCCAGGATGGTCTCGATCTCCTGACCTCGTGATCCGCCCGTCTCGGCCTCCCAAAGTGCTGGGATTACAGGCGTGAGCCATCGCGCCCGGCCTATCCTTCTCTTTAAGAGCAAGCCAGTCTGTGCTGCTTATGGTAGAAATGACCTTAGGAAGCATATGCTCAATATACAGCAAATACAAGTACAGTGATTTTTAGAGATTTAAATTAAATATATTACCATAAATCAAACATCTGTTTGTTTTCTAAAGATCAAGCAGTGGAGAGTTCATGAGTTTTAGTGTCAAAGGGACCTAATTGCAAATGCTTGTTCTATTTTTTTTTTTGGTATGTAATTTTAGGCAAAATTCGTAGCTTTTTGGACTCAGTTTTTCATCTGTAAAACAAGGTAAGTGGTGCCTATCTTGGGAGATTTAAAGGAAAGTGTATTAAGTCAGCTCCTGTAAAGCTCTCAGCAGAGTGTGAGGGACAAAGTAATTCTCAGTTCCCTGAACCTGACTAATAAGGACCAATGGAAGTCCTTTTTGTTTCTCCACAAGTTCTTCAATGTGAAAAAATTGCTGGTTCTTTCTCTTTTCTCTGACTTACCATGGGCCAGGTGGTTTGTACTATACTTTTATAACACATCTTAAATTATTTTGTATTTAATTCTTCATGCGGAGAGGAATCAGGAAGCCCAGGCCAGAAGAATCATCTGGATGGCCCACACCATCTTAAGCTAAATAAAATCACTGCTTTGTAAAACACTGCTGTAGGGGGATAGTCTGTTACACAGCATAACTATTGCATCCTTGAGCGCTGGGTGTGGAGTTCAGAAAAGCTTTCAAAAGGAACCTATATCTTGAAGGATTTTTAAGCAGGACATTCCGTGATCACATTTTCTCTTTTAGTAAGATTTGCCTGTTTGAATAACAGACTACAAGGAGAGGAGTAGGTTGTCAAGGAGACAAGTTACTGCAGGGGTCCGGGCCAAAGACTCCCAGTACTCGAAGCAGTTCAGTGTAGTAGGGAGAAGGAAGGGATGTATTTGAGAAATGTTTGGAATGCAGAATTCTCTCTGGAAAATTCCCTTGATTTTTCCTACTTCAAGTTCGAATGGTTCCCTCCCTCCTCTACTGCTTCCAGGGACTTAAGGCATTGACTTCAGCTTTCTGAGCACTGCCAGGAAGTCTGTGCATGACACTCTCCCCACCACACTGGGGAGCTAGAGGACAGAGAATGTGCCTTCTGCAGGCTGTGCCCGCCCTCAGCTGTGTTCCTAGTAGTTTCATAATTTCTTACAAAATAAGTCAAAATGAGTTTAAAGTGAGTGATGCTGTCTTCAACTATTTTTTTTTGTCTTTTTTCTGTTGTGGAAGAAAAAGGATCTTCTAGCAGAAGCCCAGAGTTTGGATGCTTCCCCCCCATGGTCTTTGATTTTGGTGCTTAAACATCTCACTATTCGATTCTTTGAAATAAGTGCCCACATCTGTGTCTCCTATTTTTTTTTTTTCTTCTCATCTTCAAAATGTAGTTCCAGCGTCTGTGCTGTTTGAAGTCATGCAATTCTGTATCTGAAGGCAGGCGACGATTCTAACATATTTATTCAGGGAGACACAAGTACTTCTCTCAGTCCTCAGACTCGCTGCAGAAAATTAGACACGAACTCGATACACAGAAGTAACTGCAAGGCAAAGTGTTCTGTGGCTACACCTCTGGACAGAGCCCGGCCTCCAGCTTACATGGAGACTTGTATATATATATATATATAGACAGATCAAATCATTGCAAAGACAGCCTCTGGCCCTCAAAAACTGTCATTTTCAATCAAGAGCAGGAGCTATCCGTGAAATTAAGAAATGCTGAAGAGGGTGAAGTCTGGAAGGAAGGGAGCTATTCCAGAATTCAAAGTGCTGGGATGAGCCCTCTTGAAGTTAATAATATATTAGAATAATTGCCTAAAAAATGTGCCAGTCATCGCTCTTTCATGCCTTATGAGATGTGTCTGTGTGTTGCATATGTGTGGGAGGAGGAAAAGGAAAAGAAATAGTAGAAGGAGGAAAGGGGGAGGAGGAAGAGGGAAGGAGGGGACAGAAGGGGAAGAAAAGGAGGGAAGAAGAGGAGAGGGGAGGAAAATATAGAACGGGATGGTGGGAGGGATTTTTCCCTCCTAGGTAAAGGAGAGGATTTGCCTTACATTCTAAAGCCGTCCACCTCATAACATTTCCCAGCAGGGTGACCTTTTGCCAATTTGACCTCTTTGGTTCTCAATTAATTAATTACTTATTTATTTTTGAGACGGAGTCACTCTGTCGCTCAGGCTGGAGTGCAATGGCACAATCTCGGCTCACTGCAACCTCCGCCTCCTGAGTTCAAGCAATTCTCCTACCTCAGCCTCCCAAGCAGCTGGGATTATAGGCCCTTGCCACTACACCTGGCTAATTTTTGTATTTTCAGTGGAGACGGGGTTTCACCATGTTAGTCAGGCTGGTCTGGAACTCCTGACCTCAGGTGATCCACCCACCTTGGCCTCCCAAAGTGCTGGGATTATAGGCATGAGCCACCATGCCTGGCTCTCAGTTAAATTTTTTGTCAAGTGAGGTGATATGTGCAAGTTCTCTTTGCCCTGCTGAGTGATAGCAAGTGTCAAGTAATTGAGTGAATGAGACAGTGTCTTAGCAACTCACTATATATTGTACAGGCAGAAAAGGCGATGGTTATTTGTTGTCAGTTACTCCTCTTATCAGATGGACAATCCTGACTTCCCAAACAGGTGAACATCAGCCTCAACCTTAGTCCAAGTTTTTTCAACCTGCATCCAAGTCCTTCAATTCAATGAATGAGACCAGACTCACGAAGCAGAACATCTGAGTCTTATTTGTGCTCCCATCACTTCCCGAGTGGTTTTGGGACAATGTCACAGTTCTCTGATCTATACTATGGGTCATATGTTAATACCTGTCTCACAGGGTTACTCTAAAATTCAGATGAGATGGATGTGCAAATGGAGATGCTCTATGTAGATATTTACTGTTGCTATTGCCAGGAATAAGAAAGCAACTAAATTTCAGATGTGTTTTCTACCCTCTTGCATGACCTCTTTCCCTTATCCAAATACAAGGAAGCCCTTTCTATCGTTGGTGAAATATCTATTGGGATTCTTCCTTCCACTTGACTGTATTTTTACAATAAATGTGAAGTGTGGAAGAGGTAGTTAATGTCATAGATAAACGTAGGAAGTTATGGGGTATGTGTGAGTCTGCATGTTGGCATGGAATGTGACGCACACAGTTCTTCCACGAATCCTCAAGCTTCTCATTGTCCTTTGCTACATGTCATATTGAGAAGTCTGTGAAATACAATCTGATTTGTCATTTAGATTCTATTCTAGATGCTTGGTATCTTGGAGACAGACCTTTGTCTGTCATACTTACTCTGAAAACAGTCATGCTTCTAGTGGTTCAATTTGCTAATGCAAGGGTTGATTTTATGTGAAGCCATGCTGAGTAAGTGCCCCTGCCCCAAGTAGAATGACTTGCACTCTTTTTATGCAAGGTACAGTCCGAGTTCTTGATACGTTTTTGTTGGATGGATGGATGAATGAAAGTAAAACCTAAAGGAATTGAGCACCTACGTTAAGATTCTTTGACTTTGTGAAAATCACTTTAAAAAATACCTTTCTTTGAGCTTTTTAATATTTTTTACCCCTTTTTTTAAGGGGATTGCCTGTGACTTTCCTATTATCTCAGAAAGACAAACCCTCTGTTAATATGCCCTGGCAACACAGACAGCACCCTTTAGATTATATATTTAGATTATAGAGGACTATCCTGCACCATCTATATAAAGTTCTGCCAAAAAAGCCAACAACAATCAGCAGTTATTCAACCTTTATTTTATTAAATTATGATATATTGTATTGAATATATTGCATGAAATGTTATTTTGTTCATTATCAATGTAAGTGAACATTTTTGTCCTTTAGTTACTCTGTACACAGCATAAATTGTATTTTGTGGTATAAAGAAAGAATTCTCCAAGTTACATATGATAGAATCTCTGTATTGGGAGAATTCGTTTGGAAAAAGTAAGTTCGGGTTGTTGTGTTCCACTGCGTGATTCTGGTTGTACCAAGACCACAGGGCTCTGAGAGCTTCCTACCCAGGCCGTATCTCAGTGTTGTTTGCGCAGCTAGTAGTCTCGCTCCTCCTAGACAAATAGCCCAGTTTACCGTTTGCTAAAAAACTGGTATATTCCCCAAACCCAGTGCTGTTCAGCTGTGACGCAAACCCACCGATGTGAGGCATTTATCTGGGCCATATTATGCTTCCCTCTCCCTTGGGATTGGGAACAGTGGAAACCAAGGCTAATATGCTGATGACAATGTTGCTTGCTTTACGATGAGTAATAAGGTCCTTTGAGTTCCACCAGACGTCTTATGTCTTAGGTCAACCTTCAGGAAATGGTAACAGGTGAGCTCTTTGTAAGTAGGGTAAAATAAAATTTCAAAAATGAAGTATTCTGTTGGTATGAAATGATACAGGGTAACTTTCTGCCACTTATTTCTAAAGGGTGTGATCTACTTTCCCACAGGCTTTGGCATGGAGTGGGGCAAAATTAGGATCTAAATTGGAGGGCATGGTTCTGCTAACAGGTCCTGCTTCACCATTGTAAAAAGCTGATGAGAGAACTGTAGGCTGATTGAAGAAAAGTGCCTAGGAATTTTTTGTCCCAAATAGACCATGATCTTTAAATATTTTTACTTTGAATACTACTAACACATCCTATAATTGAATATCTTACTATATTCAATGAATACTAGTATATTGTAAACCAAAGACAGCAACTATAAAACCTATGTAAAGTTTGTAACTTCCTCATGCTTTTTAGTTTTTGTTGACTGCTTTCTCATTGAAAAAGCAGTAAAGTCTTGAAAACACAGGAGACCTGTGTATTTTGGAAGGAGGCCTAGGGAAGTTTCAGGGAAGTGCCCAGCTGGAGGCAGAGGTCGAGGAGGGCGCTAGAGGGCGCTAGAGGGCCGTGCTCTACTTCAGGTTCTGGCTTGCCGTGATGGCCCTGACCTGGGGGAGGGCTCCAGATTAGCCACCCGTGCCTCAGCAGGACAGACCCACTGGCCACAGCATTGTCTCTGGTGATGGCTTCAGCTTTTTCTTCTCATATCCTCTCCACAGATAATCTTCGTTATCACACTTTCTTATCTATGTAAAGCTTAAGGAATCCAGTGATAGAAACTTTGATTTTGACTTAATCCTGTCACATGACAGCTGTTGCCTCTGGAACTGACATCTCATCCCTCTACGACAACTTTCTTATCTGTAAATGAGAAAAACATTTCTTGCTCAAAGGGTGCTTCGGAAGCCTAGAGGTTATGCAGGAAAAATCCTATCAAGGATATGCTCCAAGCAGATGATGCGTTGGCGTTGGTGGTGGTGTTTTTATGAGATGATTTTGTTGCAGAGGTTATGCTTGTCCTGCCCTTATTCCCCAGACCTTATCACTTCAGTGTACTCTTATTGACTGACTTCCAACTACCAGCACCTTAATTGCTTTGACAGGGATTTCTACAGAGCTGCAGGCCCAGTAGAATGGCAGGCCCCACAGCCGCCCTCAAGCAAGGGATGGTTTGAGTTTTTATATAAAGACATATTTCTTGAAAAATGCTAAGAGAGGGATGTTAAGTGTTCTCACCACAAAAATGATGGCTGTGCAAGTTAATGCACATGTGAATTAGTAAGATTTAACCAGTCCACAATGTAATATAGACTTCAAAACATCATGTTGTACATGATACTTAAAATTTTACCTGTAAAATTAAAAAATGGATACATTTGGAAGAACAAAAGAAGAAAAATGAATTTAGAGTTGCTTGGCCCTCAGATGAAATAGTTTCTCCACGGGACTAAGCACCAGTTGTCCAGAGCGACTTGCTAACTCATCCTTCACTGTCTCCTCCTGTTCACCCTGCCCTGTCCTGGCTCTCTACAGCTTCCAAATAACAACTTGCATTTGCATCCTTGATTTGAAGTGTACTCCCGGGAGAATCCAAACCCTCACTCTTCTTTAGAATGCACATCTGTTATAAACCCTTGTTAAATTCAAGAGAAGAAACAGCTTTTAAACATTGAAAGTAAGATGTGAAAGAGAATTTATGGACTGGGTTTCAATTATATTAATCCACTCTCCGTGTGTCTTAAGTTGTTTCCTTAATGTAAGGAAGGGAACTTTATCAAGAAATCTTAATGCATTGCTTCTGCTGTTCCTGCCCCTTCCCTTTCTTTAAGGTTTTGGCATCAGAAAGTATGGTGTTTTAAATACAATACAGAGTTTACTTATAAAGAGGCTGAGGATTCTAGTGATTTAAGAAAATATTAGAGTACTAGGAGCCAAAGCAAAAACTATTGATGGGGCTCAATAAGGGAAGCTATCAATATCAGCATTAGAAACCTGGACTAATTTAGAAAATAGTGATCTTTTGTGGCTGCATGTGGTGGGTCATGTTTGTAATCCCAACACTTTAGGAGACCAAGGTGGGAGGATCCCTTGAGCCCAGGAGTTCAAGACCACCCTGGACAAGATGGTAGGACTCTGTCTTTACAAAGAATTTTGTTTAAAAATGTAGTTGTGTGGTGGTGCCACATACCTATAGCTCTAGCTATTTGGGAGGCTGAGGCAGAAGGCTCCCTTGAGCCAAGGAGTTTGAGACTGCAGTGAGCTATGATGATGCCACTGTACTCCAGCCTGGGCAACAGAGCAAGGCTCTGTCTCTTAAAAGAGAGAGAGAGAGAGAAGAAAATAATGATCATTTAATGTGAAGAATCCTAAATGTTTTATTAATCTCTTATCTACTGTGACTACATTTTGGGAATCAATTTTTGGAATCAAGAATTAATTGGAGGGACTCATTTTCACAAACATTTTGTAATTCTTGATATGACCATATGCTCCTCAATTATTTTTAATTTCAATACCATCACATATCAATTGAAAACCATATGATGTGTTCGACGTTCATCTTCTCAAGTGGCATTCTCTCTCTCTGTCTCTCTTTCTCTCTTTTCTTTTAGAAACGTGGTCTCGCTATGTTGTCTAAATTGGTCTGGAACTGTAACTCCTGGGCTCTAGTGATCTTTCCACCTCAGCCTCCCAAGTAGATGGGATGACAGGTGGGAGCCACAGCTCATTTGCTTTTTTGATAGATGGTTCATTATTTAAAAAGCACCGTGACCAGATTCCTATGCCATGCTTCAAGCCTCCTAAAACACCTAGATACTATTTATCTCTGCTCTTCTAGATTTCTCCATCCACATATCTTTACTCATAATGGGCTGTAACTGACCTTCAGCAAAGGTGACCCTGGACTTCAGCAGATGTGTTCTAATGCAACCAAGATCAACAGAAACACCATCTACAGTATGAGAACCTCATAGCTCTCTATGTTCACTCATTCATATTTCACTCTTGTGTCAGAATTTCCCATTTTTTCCTTTTATTTACCCAGTGGTTAGATTCTTGAAAACTGGTGGGTATCTAGCAACACTTCATTTAAAATAGATAAACGGATGTCCTCATCAGAAACACAGATAAATCAGAAAATATATTCTGGTGGTTTATTTTTGTTTAAAGCCAGTGCTATCCTTTACTGGTTGCTATTGTAACTCATTCTCAAGCTGACGTCATTGCTATCCCCTGGCTTTAAAAAGTAATAAAGCCCAGTGATCTCAACTTTACTTCTCTATCCCCTACTTTGGTCTTTAATTTCACCGCAGAATAGATACTCAAAAAATAATTATTGAGTAAGTGGATAAATGGATGAATGTGAACAGTGAACAATTTAGGGAAAATAAATTTTAAAAATGTTTATTGAGAAACAACCAAAATTGCTAGCAATGTATGACAAAGACAGACACATCTGACCACTCCACTCCTGGTACAACTATTCTCCATTGCTGGTCTTTCAGGACAGTCTTGGGGAAATGCAGAGATATTCCAGAGTAGCACATTGATCTCCATGTCTTTGTCACATGTTTCTCTGATGGTGCTTT
This sequence comes from Homo sapiens, assembly GCF_000001405.40. Lineage (NCBI taxonomy): Eukaryota > Metazoa > Chordata > Mammalia > Primates > Hominidae > Homo > Homo sapiens. The sequence continues at coordinate 137,840,370 of NC_000008.11, read as the reverse complement.
CAGTGAAGTGTGGTTAGTAATCCGTTGTCTGAGGTCTGTTTCTTTCCAGTGTGATAGAGAACCTCAATATTGACTCCAAAGGGCATAACCTTTCGTGGTCTTCTTCTGATAGTGTCCCTGTGTTGTTAGATGATGTTCTGCAGAAATCACAAAGAATAAACTCACACATATGTACCATCAGGCTGCAATGGGAAGTTAGGGGCAAGCAGAAGGGGGATCATGCACTTGGATTAATGTCATGCTGCATTTGTCAACACAATGCCTTCTCAACATTTCACAAGCAATGCAAAACACAGGAGTATGCAATCCACACGTTTATATTTTAAAAGAGTTGAAAGTGTAAATTCAATAGTTGTCATATAAGAGGCTGGCATATACATTACTACATGTCCTTGCAGTAAAACTTATCAAGTACTCTGTAACCATCATCCCCAAAGTGCAATATGAAGCTTTCGTTTATGAAAATTACATATTAAAGACATAAAACGACCAAAAACCAACCTAACTGTCCTTGTTTTCAATTAAGTTGGAATATTGTTAAGGAGACCCAAATTGTATTCCCAGGCTTGCTGATTAATTTCCTCAGGTTGGTTCTATCATTCATTTCCATAACTTTATTATTCAGGGGGATAATTGCTGCAAAAGAAATAATGATTCAGAAAGGTAATTCTATCTTGACACTTTTGCAGGACTTTTTGCAGATGCTTCATACCTTAACGAAGACTGGAGAAATAAGAGCTTTTGAAAGATAATTATAACTTCTTTCTTCCCTGTCCATGTTATTGATTCTTCATACACAATAGCAAATGTGTTTCAATGAAATAGCCAGATTTCAAGTACAACTAACTAGTTTTTCTTTTTTATTGTTCTGTTTTCTTTAAAATTTGCTCTCTTTTCCTTGGTATAATATTTTTCCTCCTTTCCTTTCTTCTTTCCACCCTGTCTTTCTGTCTACCTATTTTTCTTCTTCACAAATTCATTCATTTTTAGTTATTTTGTATTTTTAGCATATGGCTTTATTATCTTTTATTTGCCATTGTTATGTTCATTAGCTTTAAATTTATGATTCTTAACTACTTTTTTTTCTTTTCTTTTTTTTTTTTTTTTTTGAGACAGGGCCTCATTTTGTTCCCCAGGCTGGAGTGCAGTGGTGTGATCTCAGCTCACTGGAACCTCCGCCTCCTGATTTCAAGCGATTCTCTTGCCTCAGCCTCCTGAGTAGCTGGGACTACAGGTGCGCCTGGCTAATTTTTGTATTTTTTGGTAGAGACGGGATTTCACCATGTTGGCCAGGCTGGTCTCGAACTCCCAACCTCAAGTGACCTACCCACATTGGCTTCCCAAAGTGCTAGGATTACAGGTGTGAGCCACCATGCCCGGTCTGATTCTTAACTTTTAGTTCTTTATCCTCTTCTCTCTCATCATCGTCTTCCACAGTAAACTCCTATGTCCCTGATCTTGTTCAAGATATGATGCACCTGTAATTTGGGGATTAAATAATATTATCAATAGCTCACCCTCGCCAGTCTGAAAGTGTAACTGGAAGAAAGGCTTTTGGGGAACTGCATTCACTCATCAAAACCCAATGTTTTCTCCATTTCTGCCCAACAGCCTCATTTCAAGGTGGAGCACTCGTGTTGTCACAGTAAAGAAGGGGTGCCTCCTTCTCCCGTCCAGAGAGAGTCTGTGCATCCATACTTCCTTTTCTTTCTTCACTTGATTTCTTTGCTTTATTTTTTTTTACCTTATTTTCTAGTTTTTACTTAATCATGATTTTATTTACTGTCTGTATTATTTTCACGTTCTATTTTGCTTTTGGTATTTCTATTACTTTCTTAGTTTTATTTTTTCTTTTACTTTTGTGTCTTATGACTTTTGATCACTTGCATTTCTGTTTTCTCATTGTTTATATTCCTTTCTTACTTTTCTTTCTTCCTTAACTACATTTTTATCATTTTTATTTTCTAATTTGTTTTCCTTAATAATTATTTTTTCTTTTGATTTTAATGATTTCCTTTCCCTCCCTCTCTCCTTAATTTTCACTTTCTCTGTTCTTTCCCTTTTTTTTTTTTGCCTGCATTCATCCACATCCCCCTCTAATTTTTTTTTTCTTTTTCTTAACATTATTTCTGTTTCTTTACATTTTCTGTTCTTGACTTTCTTTCTCCCTTATTTTTTCTTTACTTTCTCTTTTGGGTTATTTTCTGTCAGCACTTTCTTTCCTTTTGCTTTTCATAGATTAGCCTATGATTTTTAATTTTATCTAAGATTTATGTACTTCCATTTTTCTCTAGTTTGTTGATTCTTTTCTTAATTTTTCTACATTTATACATTATTTAACTTTATTTTTCTAATTAAAATACTTCGTTTTTTTACATTCTTACATTTTTTTCACATTGCATAATTGTGTTATTTTCCTTCTATTATCTTGTATTTAATTTTTAATTCTTATTTTTATATTTTATCTCACTTGCATTTTTTATAGATGTACTGCAGTGCCATGCTGGGTATCTTAAAGAACAAGGCATTGTCCTCTGCAGACACCCAGGCTGCAGACTTCAAGGACTGGAAGAAGAGCTTTGCGTCTTCTCTCTTCTCTATACAGACACAATCTGTAGCAGCAAATGTGTTACAGATGGACAGAAGCTGGGGTAAGTTGGTGCTCATCCTTTCTTCTTATCAAGATGAGAGCCACAGCAGCCCCTCAGTCCCCAGGCCTGGTTTTCTTCCATTCACCGTGCTGTTTTCCAAGTTGAGGCTTTTAGGGCAGTAGGGAATTCTGCCTTGTTTTAAATAAACCTCTCCAAACTGCTGCTGCTGCTGCTTTAAAAGAGAAAAAAAAATCTTTTATCAGAAGACAGAGCATTTTATTTCACACTAAACTTGAGGTGTATAATGCATTTATCTCTGTGAGAGGCAGGTACCTCACTGACATAAACGCACACCAAGGGGTGAATAAGTGATTATCATATTAATTTCTCAGAGCTGGATGTTATGGGAGAAAAGCAGAAAGCTTAAAAGCTTGAGATTCGTAACACGGAGAGAGCCCTGGGAAGAGAAAAGGACAGAACACAGAACCTGGAGAGAAATGGCTTCTCTGGAGATTATAAGATACAGGCTGGATTCATTTCTGGAAATGGACACTTTCACGTACAAAGGGCTTAAGAGCTTACATGGCACATTGGCACACATTGTACTTAATTTATTGAAATTGCTTACAACCTATTCTACCTTTATCAAATGCTTTTCAAGGACATAGTATGAAGAATACAGTACTGTTAAAAATAAAGACAAGTCCCTGTATTCATAGTAATATTCTAGTTGAGGGATGACAGAACGTAGACAAATAATTGCATTCTATGTAGTCACAGGGTAAAAATATATTGACAAAGAGGTAGAGCAGAAGAGGCAGATAGAGTGTCCTGCAGAAAAGAGGAGCTGTGTGTACTCCTTTGAGAGGGCAGCTACAGAAGCTTTCTGATAAGGTGACATTTGAGCAGACAGAGAGAATGATCCATGCATGAGTGTCTGTGTTGGGGGAAGGGAGAGGGATTGCAGGGCTAGGGAGTAAGGTTGGGGGTCCTAGGATTGCAGGGCTAGGGAGTAAGGTTGGGGGTCCTAGGATTGCAGGACTAGGGAGTAAGTTTGGGGAGTCCTATGACAGAAACAAGGAACAGCAAGAAAGGGGGTTAGTGTTGCTGGAGTGGAGTGAGAACAGGAGACAGTTGTAGGGAAAGACATGGGGAGGGTGGCCTAGAGCTGACCATATGTAGGCCTTGAGCCCATAATGATGACTTCAATGTTTACTCTGAGATGAGAACATCATTAGTAATCTTGAGCATAGACATGCTATGACATGACCTTAAATAAAGAAGGAATGTTCCAGATGCTGTTCAAAATAGAACAATGCAGAGCAAAAGAGGAAGCAGGTAGCCCCGTGAGGAAGCTTTTAAATTTCTCAGGTGATAGACAGTGGTTGAAACTAGGGTGACAGCCATGAAGACAAGATTCTGAGGACAATTTGAAGATGGAGTGGGTAGACTTTACTAGTGGATTGGATAATACATGAAATGTGGGAGAAGTAAAGAAATACTGAGTTATTTCAAGATTTTTTGGTTTACCATCTAGGAGGATGGAGTTACCACTAATTGGGATAGTGAGTGGAGTTAGGGAGGAGAAAACAAGCAGTAGTGAATCCAGATCCTGTGGGACATAAAGGCAGAATTTGGCAGCTCTCTTAAAAAACAACAACAACAATAACAAAAACTCTCAATTAGCTACTGGAAGTTATAAGGAATCAGTGCAAGTGATGGTCTTGAAGCTTCAGCTTCATTAGCTCCATGCTAGATCTTCTGAAACTACCATTTCAGATTTGGGTATTTTGAGCTTGAGTTACTGTGAAATATCAAAATAGAGCTGTTCCCTGATAGCTCTTTATTGGAATCAGGGTTAATAGATTTCAATGAGAAAGTTCTCATCTTCTAGAGGGCATTAAAATTCTGGAAATAGACTGAGCAAAAAGCCAGAGCTATGAGCTTTGGGCATTCCAGGGTTTAGATAGCAGGAAAATGAGGAAAAGGCCGCTATTGAGGTAGGAAGAGGACCAGTACTCTCCATTTTTGGCAAATGCAGAGATCAACTCCTGCAGTCTGAGTAGGATATAGCATCTCTCACAATCACTAATGGCCAGTGAGGGAATGCTTATAAATGGTAGCTGCCATTTTTTCCCATGACTTGTTCCTATCATGCCCACCTTGTTGAAATAGTTTGTTTCCACGACTTCTTCGTCAGCCCTTTACTTTCCTTTTACTCGTTGGTGCTGTTTCCTCTGAAATTCTATTTTGATGTGCCCAGAGCTCAGTTCTGAATATCTTTTCTCTATTACATTCTCTCTCATCCAGTCTTATATCTTAAAGTAGAATCGTATCTACTCAAGACTCCAGATTTCTCTCTTCAGTGCTGACCAGTCTCCTCAAGTCCAGACTCATTTAGAAAATCTCCTGTATGACAGGTGAACATCACGTATGAACTTACATTAAACTTTAAAGGCCAAAAATAGAATTACTGATTTTTGTTGATAAAACTCTTTTCCATTTCTTCCTCAGTAAACTGCTTACCACACACCCAGTTATCCAAACACAAAACAACAGGTTTTCTTGATTATTTTGTTTCACTCCAAAATACAAATCTGCCAGCAAGTCTTATGTGTCTATTTATTTGCACTGCCACTGTTAACCCACTGGCTTAGGTCAACATCATCTCTTGCCTGGATAACTGTAACATTACTGAATGTCCTGCTTCCCTCTGAGCTACCTATATCCCACATTTCACCAGAAACCAGGGGGATGATTCAGACCATGGTTTAGGTTGTATCACAGCAGTGATGAAAAGCTATCAAGAGCTTGAATTTTACTTATAATAACTCCAAATTCCTGGTCATGGCCAAGAAGTCCATTGCCCAATCAATGATCCATCTCACTGTCCTTGGTCCTTCCAAACATGGAAGCTGTTTGGAAGTGGAGCTTCCTGTGCTCCACCACTCTGGCTTAATTTCTATTCTTTGAAAAAGTTGACTCATGATGTTTCAGCCCAAGGGCCCTTGTTTGTTCACCTCCTGGCCTGGAGGGACGCTTCTCCCAGATTGCTATATGGGCTACGCCAGGTTTTCACATAGCTTTCACGGAACATCCTGTCTGAAGTGGCATTTTCTGCCTCAGCTCACCAGTCTGTCATGCTATTCTCTTTTACAGCATTAATACAACTCATCCTTTTCTTTATTTTTCTCCATGAGTTATTTGTTTTTTCTTTCCTTGTTTCTTATCTGTCTCATGCCTCCCTCGTTCTGCAATAGAATCCCCAAGAGAGGTTTCTCATCTGCTTTTCTCTGTGCTTTTTCCCCAGGAAGGAACCTCTACCTGGTACAAAATAAGCATTAAAATATTTATTTAATAAATGCTCAGCTATCAAATTGAAGACCTTGGAATGAATTCCAACTGTGTCATTTGGCTATTTAATATTCATTAATGACATGGATACTTTAAGAGGTGCTGGAAATACCTTGAAAAAATACTCAGTTACTTACCTCAAGTACTTTAGGGTTAAATTTGGAGACACACACATATAAATGGGCTGGTTTAATCCAGTGTATTAATTACAGCCAAAGGAGAGGGAACAATGATATGTATGGGAACACAGAAAAGATGATTCAACTTTAGGAAGCCCAGGAATATTTCAGGGAGAAAGTTCCATCGAAGCTGAGACTGTAGAATGAGGATGAGTTTCAGGAGATGGTGCTGTGTTGATTGGGGGGCACATCTCATTCCATGTGCACAGTCCTAGATATGAGGAGGAGGTTTGCTCATGTGGAGAGCTGCAACCTTCTCATTGTGTCTGAAGCATTTGTGACAAAAGGATCCTCATCAGAGGTCAGTTACAGTGAGGTGAGTCTAAGACCACCAGGCTAAACGAAAGATCAATGTGATGAGGTAGAGGAAGAATAGTGCATGCTACAGAGTATAGTGCATGGTACAGGTCCCCAGGGCATGCGTGAAGGAAACATTAGTAGGAGGGAATGAGAAGCCATGTAAGGAGAGCAGACAAAGGTGAGACAGTCGTGGAGCAGAGTTTATCGAGGACAAAGCTTTTGAAGCCCATCAAAATATTCTTTCCACCCATAGGCATGTCTCCATGGGGCCAGGGATGGATATGTGACTTCAGTCACCTCCCTAGGGATTTTTAGAAATGGGGAGGGTAAGACAGCCTCTACTGTAAGGGGCTCAACAAAACCAAACTGAAATTAATAGTGTTACAAGAAGCAGGACAAGTAATGTCTGGAGATTCGGTCCCAGTCCTGCCTTTTTGATGGGAACTTCAAAATTCCAATCATATTTCTGGTAGCCTTGTTACCTTGTTGTTGTCTGACTTGAATAGTAAGTTTGGAGACAGCTAGGTCCTCACAATTTGAAGTAGAATTTATCTGATTTATTTCAGACTCACATCCAGGTAGAAACATCAGAAATAATATGTTGCTTCTTTTAGTTATTTTATGTTTTATTTGTTTGTTGTTTGTTTTTAAGTAAGAGAGGGTGAAAGAAACATGAACCAGAAGTGAAAGCGTAAAACTGGAAATATTTCCCCGTGACCCCTAAGGGTGAGGACTTCTCATCTTTGGTCTGGCTCTGACTTGTGATCCTGAACATATTCCCCAGGCATCCTCATTGAATCCCCATCGCCTGAGCGTGAAATGGGCTCTGGAACACATGCTCTCCAATTCCTTCCTGACTCTGCTATTCTAGGTTTCAGCATAGGAATGCCCAGATGCTACTGAGAAATGTGAACATATGGATGTATTTCTGACCTGCTGGAGTATGCACTGCCTCCTTAGTTACCAGGCAGAATGAGCTCATTACCCAGGATTTCACAGATGTCTCAGGTCTTCATTAGGAAAACTATTTGGATCACAATTTCTTAAAAGCTTTTCAAAATATTTTGCTTTGTCTCTCATTTGATTCTTGTGCCTTTTAGTATTTGGTGGGGGCAGGGTAAAAATAGAGGGAAAAAAAGAAAATTACCCCCTGACACAAGCACTTGTTACAGAGGAATTCTGCCATAAGTAGTATTATGTGGAAAGTCTTTCAAAAGTATTAAGTTCAGATTTAAAAACATTTAGGATTGCCTGCTTGCTGACCAGCCCCAGGATAGGATGCTGGGGTTACAAAGGATAATAAAACATGGGTTCTATTCTCTAGCAGCTTATGACCTGCTATGAAAGTATCACCAACAGGTTAGAGTCTGTTAAGTGTTAAGAGAAAGGTAAACATGGTTCTATGGGAATTCCAAATGGCCCAGTTTCAAGTTTGAGGGTTATAAAGTTTGCCCCAGGAATCTCTCATGAATTCCATGTGAATTAGACAAGACCTTGTGTATGGAAGTGTTTTATAAATATGTGATGAGAGACATAGCTTTATCAATTGTTATGCTATCAATCAATTTTGCAAATTTTCTCAGCACAAATGAAACATTTGATCACATTGCTAAGGCCCTTCCAAGGCCCTGGAATGTGTACTTGCCAACAAGATGAGTTAGAGTTTAAGTTTTATTATCTTTCCAATAGTTTGCCGGGTCCAGTTCAAAATAAAAATGTGAGGCCCTTTGTTCTTAAAGCATTAAAATTATCAAGGAATACATCCAGACTGTGAGCATCAGAAAAAACACCTGAAGACATTGAGCCTATGTCCATGGGTAATGACAGATGAGCATGACAGGAGCTTCAGAGTGAATAGATCCTTATCCTCTTTAGCAGCTCTCAATTGCAAATTTTCTAGGGAAGATCCCAGGAAGGTACCTGCTGGCTTTAAAGCAAACTCTTCTACAGGGATGGGAAAGCATGTAGCATTTTGTAATCATTGAATGAATTACCTTAGCTTTCTCTATTACCTGGATTCGTGGATTTGTCTCCATCTCCAGCCCTTTCCCTTTCTGCTCACAGCTATTAGGGGCCTACAGTGCATCAGGCATGGATCCATGTTAGAAAATTGTCCCAAGGATAACCAGGACCTGCTGGAGCACAGGTATGTGGGGACCTCAGTAACAAGGGCCAGGGGCCTGCAGCAGTCCTCCAGTCAGTTAGCCACCAGTGCTCAGTGGAAAAATCTAGGAAGAACCCCAGGTCAACAAAATGGAGGTCAGGACATGTGGCAGTAAAAAGGTCATATTCCTTATATGTGAATCATTTGGAGTGTTGAGCACCAGAGAGTAATTCTTAGAAACTTCTGAAGCATCTCTTGAATACTGCTGATTGGATTAGAAATCTGCTCAGGTAAATGAATGTCAGTCAGTCCAGTTCTAGGAAGCTGGAGAGCGAAGCTAGGGGACGATGCTGGAGCTCCAAGGATTAGATCAGAGACCACGAACCATGTGATCTCTGGCTTGTGGATGAGCAATTGGCTCTTCCTCTCATGAGGCACTGTGGTAAAGTAGACCTTGATCTGAATCCTGGCTTAACAAATGGTGTGTTGTGAAATATTTGCTAAATAATCTCTATATTAAGCTTTATATATTTTATTGGTGAATTGAGGGCAAATGAATTGGCTTAGCCTGGGTTTCTCAGAAAGCAGAACCTCAAAGAAAGGCTCAATTATAGCATTATCTATCTTTTGAAATCAGGAGTCAGTACAGGAGCCAAGATGTAGGGGAGAAAAAGCCAATGCCAAGATACAAGTGGAGTCAAGTCACTGGTTCCTTGAGCATATCAGGACCTCCAATTCAAGAAAATAAATGGGGAAGCATTGATGCATTGATTAACCTATGATTCTGCTCAGGCTGTGGTATGATCTGAAGATTTATGTTTCCCCAAAGCCATTTATGGAGATCTTAACCCCTAAGGTGACGGTATGAAGAGGTGGGGCCTTTGGAATGCAGTTAAGTCATAAGGGTTCCACCTTCCTGAATGAGATCAGTGCCCTTGCAAAAGAGGCTTGAAGAAAACTGCTCTTCCTGCCATGTGAGGACACACAGAAGGCACCATCTATGAGGAATAGGCTGTCACTAGACACCAAATCTACTGATGCCTTGTTCTTGAATGTTCTGTCCTCCAGAACTGTGAGCAATACGTTTTCGTAGTGTATAAATTGCCTGGTCTGAGGTATTTTGTTGTACCAGCAAGAATGGAGTAAGGCAGGTTGTGATAACAAAATACCATAGACTGAGTGGCTTAAACAACAGGTGTTTATTTCTTATGGTTCTGGAGGCTAAGAAGTTCAAGATCAAAGTGCTGGCCAATTTGATTTCTGGTGAGGGTCCTTTTCCTGGCTTGCAGGTGGTAGTCTTTTTGTTTCTTTTTGTTGTGTCTGTCTGTCAGGCCTCTGAGCCCAAGCTAAGCCATCATATCCCCTGTGACCTGCACATACACATCCAGAGGGCCGGTTCCTGCCTTAACTGATGACATTATCTTGTGAAATTGCTTCTCCTGGCTCATCCTGGCTCAAAAGCTCCCCTTCTGAGCATCTTGTGACCCCCTAGTCCTGCCCACAGAGAACAAACCCCCTTTTTCCTTTACCTACCCAAATCCTATAAAATGGCCCCACCCCCATCTCCCTTCACTGACTCTGTTTTCGGACTCAGCCCACCTGCACCCAGGTGAAATAAACAGCTTTATTGCTCACACAAAGCCTGTTTGGTGGTCTCTTTACATGGACGCAAGTGAAATTTGGTGCCGTGACTCGGATCGGGGGACCCCCCTTGGGAGATCAATCCACTGTCCTCCTGCTCTTTGCTCCGTGAGAAAGATTCACCTACGACCTCAGGTCCTCAGAACGACCAGCCCAAGAAACATCTCACCAATTTCAAATCTGGTAAGTGGCCTCTTTTTACTCTCTTCTCCAACCTCCCTCACTATCCCTCAACCTCTTTCTCCTTTCAATCTTGGTGCCACACTTCAATCTCTCCCTTCTCTTAATTTCAATTGCTTTCATTTTCTGGTAGAGACAAAGGAGACACATTTTATCCGTGGACCCAAAACTCCGGCGCCAGTCACGGACTAGGGAAGGCAGCCTTCCCTTGGTGTTTAATCATTGCAGGGATGCCTCTCTGATTATTCACCCAGGTTTCAGAGGTGTCAGACCATGCAGGGATGCCTGCCTTGGTCCTTCACCCTTAGTGGCAAGTCCCGCTTTTCTGGGGGAGGGGCAAGAACCCCAACCCCTTCTCTCCATGTCTCTACCCCTTTTCTGCTTTTCTGGGGGAGGGGCAAGAACCCCTCAACCCTGTCTCCTTCACCCTTAGTGGCAAGTCCCGCTTTTCTGGGGGAGGGGCAAGAACCCCTCAACTCCTTCTCCTTCACCCTTAGCAGCAAGTCCTGTTTTTCTGGGGGAGGGGCAGGAGCCCCGACCTCTTATCTCTGTGCCCCGATCCCTTATTTCCGTGCCCCGACCTCTTATCTCTGTGACCCGACCCCTTATTTCTGTGCCCTGACCCCTTCTCTGCTTTTCTGGAGGGCAAGAACCCCTCACCCCTTCTCCATGTCTCTACTCTCTTTTCTCTGGGCTTGCCTCCTTCACTATAGGCAAGCTTCTACCTTCCATTCCTCCTTCTTCTCCCTTAGCCTGTGTTCTTAAGAACTTAAAACCTCTTCAACTCTCACCTGACCTAAAATCTAAGTGTCTTATTTTCTTCTGAGATGCTGCTTGACCCCAGTACAAACTCGACAGTAGTTCCAAATAGCTGGAAAACGGCACTTTAATTTTTCCATCCTACAAGATCTAAATAATTCTTGTTGTAAAATAGGCAAATGGTCTGAGATGCCTGACGTCCAGGCATTCTTTTACACATCAGTCCTTCCCTAGTCTCTGTTCCCAATGCAACTCATCCCAAATCTTCCTTCTTTCTCTCCCTCCTGTCCCCTCAGCCCAAACCCCAAGCATTGCTGAGTCTTTTTAATCTTCCTTTTCTACAGACCCATCTGACCTCTCACCTCCCCGCCAGGCCGAGCTAGGTCCCAATTCTTCCTCAACCTCTGCTCCTCCACCCTATAATCCTTTTATCACCTCCCCTCCTCACACCTGGTCAGGCTTACAGTTTTGTTCCATGGCTAGCCCTCCCCCACC